>NC_000002.12:232035072-232338102 GCF_000001405.40 Homo sapiens | reverse complement strand
GGGGCAGCACCCCACAGCCTTCTCCACCCCAACACCAAACCCCCAGACGCTCGCCTGTCTGTCCCTGCAGATACTTGGCTCCAGGAGAAGGTTCTGGGGACAGGAACAGATGGGGTGACCGTGGCCTCTGGGACATCTCGGGGGTGGCAGGACACACAGACGGAAGGCCGCCTGAGGTGGCTGAGCCCTGGAGGAGGGAAAGGCTCCCAGGGCAGGTGCGGGATGTCTTTGGTTGCCTCCCATAGCCAGCCCCGTCTGACGGTGGCAGGACAAAGGCAGCAGTACCCAGTCACTGTCGCTGCGAGGCACTCTGACAAGGGACCCTATTGAGTGTTTCTTTGAAGAAAATTCACTGTAACCAGATCAAATGAGCTTGTTAATCCGGACACCCCAGGAAATGGTGCAGGGGAACAGAGGCCGTGCTCACCATGGCTTTCATCCTAGTTTCTGGCAGCTCTCGGGGACGCCAAGCCACGGAGCTTCCCCCACGGAGGGGGAAGGAGTACAGGCTGGGGTCAGGCTGGCTGGGGAAGGGACTGCCCAGTGGCCAGCCAGCTCTGCTCGGGACTGAGGCAGGTGGGATCCGTGTCACCCAGGCTGTGTCACCAGCAGCCAGTTTCCCCTCCTGGTTTGGAAGGCACTGGAGGGCCCTCCTCCCCTCCCCCAGGCCCAGGCCGGCTCCTCTGTCCAGGCTCCCTTGGTGCTGCCGGGGCACCCACTCACACCAGAGCTGGGCACAGGACCTCACAGAGTGCTGCTTGAGGAACTGAGGGGAGGGGGTATCACAGGACCCATGACTCCCACCAGGCCCTGCGGAGCTGGTGCAGAGAGGAAGTGGGGGCAGGGTTGGACACAGTCACATTCGTCAGACACAGTCACATTCGTCAGGGTGATGGGGGCGCTCTCAGTGTTGCATACTAATTCCATTTTTAATCAGGCAGAATGAGACTCCAGTATCAATCATCTGCCAGGCAGCCAGCTCTGAATCGTGTTGGAACTGACAGGAAAGTTCCAGGTGTTGACATCGGCTCAGCAGCGAGGGGTGAAGCCTGAACTGGGTCCCTTGCCCTGGGTGCAAGGGGCATTCTGCTGCCCAGGCTTCCCAGAGGCGCCCTACACACCAGATGGCACTCCACACTTGATTTTATTCTGTGACACTGAGTTGCTGAAACCCCCCCATTTCCTGGGCAGAGGAGGGCAGTAGGGCCCAGAAAAAAGGGGGGCCAGCCTCCCAGGAGGACTGGGGCCTGCTCTGCTGGGGTCACTGCTGACCAGGCCTCAGCCTTCCTTCCAGCCCCACCCTCTCCCCTGCAGTTTGTTTAAAAGTTGAGCTGCAAAAATTAAATAAAAATAAAAACAAACCCCTGAGTTGTTAAAAACCAAATTAAAAACCCCCCTCCGTGTCAACAGGTCCTAAAGCCAGTGTGGCGGGACAGGCAGGCGGGGCAGGCGGGGCAGGCGGCTGGTGGAGCTCAGCTGGTGCTTGAGTCCTCGGGCTCACCGTCAGACTCCTCCTCCTCCTTCTCAGGGCCCAGGTGGCCCTGGGTGCCTGGCCGCTTCAGGATGGCGCTGTACTTGAGGGCTGTGGACTCTGCCTGCAGGACCACCTCCACCAGGCTGAAGATGGTGATGACCTGTGCAGAGCCCAGCCGTGAGGGGACAAGGATGGCAGGGCCTGATGTCGAGGCGCAGCTCTGCCTCCATCCCTGCAGCAGGACCCCTGGCCCCTCCTTCGGCCTCTGGAAGCCTCTGCTCGCCTGTCTGTAATGGGGGCCCCCTCCAGGAAGAATGCCCTGGGTCAGGGCAGAGTTGGGGAGTCAGATGCATCCTGAGCGCTCCCAAGGCTTATGAAACACAACCTGAGGGCCTGGGTCCGCGTTCAGGGCACACTGTTGGTGAAAACGGTTCCAGACAATTTCTTGGGTGTAAACTCATAGCTTTCATCAGGTTCTCTAAAGGACCCTAGAAGGCCAGCACCCCTGCATTAGCGGGACAGGCAGAGCCCCTCCTCTCTCCACTGTGGTTGCCCCCAAGGAAGGGAAGGTGGTGCCAGAAAGCAGGACCCACAGGAGGGGGTCTGGGTGAGCTGGGAGGGCCCTAAAACCCCACCCGGGAGGCTGCAGTGCTGGGGGAGCCCAGGGGACACAGATGAAGGAATGAGGGGCACCGCAGGAGGCAGGAGAGGGGTCATCAGGACTTAGGGGGCTGGGACACAGAGGGGTTCTGACCTGCTGTGCTGGCTCCTGCTCCATGTCCTCAGGCTCCCAGACCAGCGTGAGTTCCGGCTTCTTGCCCACCTTCTGGAAGTGGTGGGACCGCAGGGCCAGTGCCTGGAGTGCAAACACCAAGCCTCAGGCCTCAGCTCTGGATGCTGCTGCCTGCCCTTCCACCCTGGAGGGCTTCAATGCTTGGAGGCGGCCCTCAGCCCTCGGCCCTGGCCCACCCTTGCCTGGCTGGAGGGAGCTTCAGGGAGGCCCTGCCAGGCCACCTTCAGCTGAGGCAGCAGGTGAGAGTGACCAAGGGCCAGGGGTGGGGGCTGGGAAGGCCCGTGGCTCTGTGTGCTATGGGGGGCAAGTGGTGGGGGGTCCAGGGCTGACTGCACTGAGGTGGGGACAGAGAACTGTGGCGGCGGAGCGCTGCGCCCCCTGCTGGTGCCATCTGTCAGTGCAGGCAGGGCTGGGCCCACAGCAGGGTGAGCTAGGCTTGAACTTCAGGATACAGAGCCCCCAGGGTCCGCAGGGGGACTCTGTCGTTCCTCTTCTGCCCAGCTCCCGGTTATGAACACCACGTTTACTGCACACAACGGGCTGGACACTGTACTCCCAGGGCACTCTGGATGTTAGGAAATTCAAAGCCAGGCACAGAGGCAGGTGGTGACCTGCAGACCCCAGGGCCAGCTGGAGCCAAGCCCCTAAGGCAGCATTAGGACAGGCCCATGTCCCCTTGGAGAGAGAACTGTGAGTCAACAGTCACTCAGGGCAGGAGCCGAGCCAGGGACAGCTCTCTTCCTTGTCTTCAGGGGACACAGTTTCCAAAGCGGCCACGGACCATTCGCTGGCCTTTCATTCCTTCACGTTCCTATAAACACAGTCCCCAAAGCCTGCACACCCTGCCGAGCTGTACTGGCCATGGAGGGGCCTGCTCTCTGGTTCCTGGGTCCTTGGGGAAGGGGGCCAGGCCTGACCCTGGGCCTGGAGCCACCATCCCAGGTGGGAGAGCTGGGCGTCTCAGCAAGGCCCATCAGGTGGGCTTTGTGCTAGGGCTGGGGGAGCGAGGGGTGGAGTGTGACCCATCACAGCCTGTGCCCCTCCAGTGCGGGATGGCTTGGGCTGCCCTGCCCGCCCCCGGGCTCTCCCAGGGCACTCACGTTGCAGTAGATGCGCTTCTGCACGCCGTAGCGCAGCACCAGCACGTCGAAGGCTTGCTTCAGGATGCCCATCACCATGGCTTCTGACTCCAGGGGGCCACTCTCCTGCAGGGACAGTGCTGCAGCCATGGCACCTCCTGGCACTGCCCTGGGCTCCTCGAGGCCTCCTGGTGAGCAGGTGCCCAGGAGGGTCGGGAGCCAGAGGGAGGTGAGGGGCACCAGGCTGGAGGGCTCACCTTGACCAGAACAGCAAAGAAGAGACTGGTACTGAGCTCCTGCACGCGCTTGGACGCCATGCGGCGGTCGTTACAGTGGTCCGCCTGTTTCTGCAGGGTATCGGGCGCCATGTCTAGTCGCTCCCTATAGCCTGGGAAGAGGGGGTGAGGCATGAGAGTGGGAGCCTGGGGGGCTGGGAAGAGCTATGGCTGGGGGATGGGCTGCATGGCGCTGCACCCCCGCCGACAGATTAGGACCCCAAGCACCCAGCTCCCAGGGCAGCAGAAAGCGGCCCTTCGAGGTCAGCGCCCTCCTCCCGGCTGTGTCCAGGGCTGGCTGTGGGCTCCATGCAGCTTCTGCAGCACCGGCCCGTAGGGAGAGTTTCCAGGCCAGGCTCCCCTGCACTTGGGTCGCCCGACCCTTGGACCTCCGCTGTCACGGCAGAATGGTCTTGGGCCACTGAGCACCCACTGTGGGGGTGGGCAGCCCTGAGCTGGCCCAGGTCTGCCCTGACCCCGACTGCACCCCTCACCTAACGCGGCAGCCAGGAGGCGGTGCACCAGGACGTCGGCAAAGCGGCGGATGGGCGAGGTGAAGTGTGTGTACAGGGGCACATTGAGCGCGTAGTGCCGGAACTGCGCTGGGTCCTGCAGCAGCCCCGAGCAGAAGTACAGTGCCATCTGCGGGACGGGATGGGTCAGAGCCTGACAAGCCCAGAGCTGCCCAGCCAGGCCTGGAAGGCTGGCACCACCCACAGCCTCACCGTCGGCAGCGATGTGTGGACAGACCTAATGGGCTGCTGGTTGCTGAGTGACGCCAGGGAGGACTGGGGCCAGGGCCCTTGCTGCACAAGGGGCCCCAGGGGGAGGCCAGGAGGCTGGGCAGAGCCCAGGGGTACCCATGTCCTTTCCAGGAGACAAATCTGGCCTGCCTGGGCCTCCCAGATGCCCTCAAGGTGGCAGCACTGAGAATGGCCTGGACAAGCCCACCCTGCTGAGGACCAGGGAGCCAGGAACCCCCAGGATGCTGTCAGGGTAGGGGGCACGAGCTGAGCCTCCGAAGTCCAGTCCCTGCTGAGTCACTGCTGAGCACCACCAGGAGGGAAGAGTCTCTGGCCTACCCTTCCCCAGCATGGGGCCGGGGCTGCTACTCTCGCCCAGGAAGAAGGAAGAAGAAAGAAAGGTAGCGGCGGGGGGTGGGGGAGGAGGAGGAGGAGGTGGCGATGGCAGAGGTGGAGGCAGAGGAGGAGGAGGAGGCGACAGCGGAGGAGGAGGAGGAGGAGGAGGAGGAGGCGACAGCGGAGGAGGAGGAGGAGGAGGAGGAGGAGGAGGAGGAGGAGGAGGCGACAGCGGAGGAGGAGAAGGAGGAGGTGGTGGAAGGAGGAGGTGGTGGTGGTCGAGGAGGACAATGAGGAGGAGGAAGAGGAGGAGGCCGCCTGCGGTTTTGTTGGACCAGGGGCTGCAGACGCTGTCTGCTGGAGACACAAGCAGAAGCCAAGGAGCCTGTGGGTCTTTGTTCAAGGAGGCAACGTCCATCCTCCCATCTGGCCAGAGTGGGAGGAGGGAGAGAAAGCCCAGGATGCGATCCCCTGCCCTGTGCAATACGGGCCTCAGGCTCTTGGAGCTTCCTCTCCAGCCTAGGCCCACCTTTGGTCGGGGCCGTCCTCATCCCCTCTGGCACTGATCCCGCCCAGCTGAAGCCACGCTTCACCCGGGCACCTCTGTGCTCGCCAATACTCCACCCCACAGCAGTCAAGGGAGGCAGTTTCCGGCCTGCCAGCCTCGGCCCTTCTCGTCTCTGACACCTGACCCTCCCGGGGGCTGAGACACAGAGGGCTGAGTTCCAAAGGCCCTTGTGCTGGGCAGGAGGCAGGACTGGGGCAGGGGGAGATACCGAGAGTCTCTAGGGACCAGCGCATAGCCCGTCCCAGCTGGGGCCACAGCCCCTGAAGCTGTTTGTCCTGCAGTCCCCGAGCTTTCAGGGCTGGGTGTCAGGGCCAGTGCTACTGCCTGGGAGCGAGTGAACGGGTTCCTCGCAGAGGTCCAAGGTCACGCCTGTATGTCTCTCTGGCTCCCTTGCTCCCTGGCTGCTGTACACACTCACCCTCCTGTGCCCTTGGCCAGACAGACAGCCGGCTCCCGTTACTCTGTGCACACGGGCCCTGGAATCCAGGGCGCAGCTGATGGTGACCTGCTCCGCTCCCTAACTCCACTTCCCTTCCAGCCCCTGCTGGGCCCTGGGTTAAGTCGGGGGCAAGTCTCTGGGGGAGGTGGGCACAGCCTCCACTCCCAGACATGTCTGGGCTTTGTTCTCAGTGGTGGCCCAGTTCCCCAGATGACCTGGGTGAGGTTGATGAAGGGCCCTGGCCCCTCTTGGCTGGTGGAGGTGGCTCAGGGTCGGGTGGGATGGGTGGGGACCATGGCTTTCCCACAGGCCCAGCCATCCCTGGGACAGCCCTCGGACAGCCCTGGTGTCCTGATGCAGATGCTCACTGGGGACTGTGTGCCCCCTCACACCTTTCTGTGCTCTCTGCTGCTGCCCTGCCCTGTCCCCACCCCAGTTCCCGGGGCTGAGGAACAGGAGCACCGCAGACCTGGTAACTCTCTGCCATCGGATTCCCGGGCAAGGGCACCTCTGAGCTCCCTGGGAGGCGAGCCAGGAGAATGCAGGCTTTTCGGGCTCTGGCTAACTCCGGAGCGGCTCCGATCTCTGGAGCTCCAGCTTGGCTTGTACCTCCTTGGAGGTGATGGCGTCAGAGGCAGGGACATGGGAGGGGCCCCAGCAGGGCAGAGCCAGAGGCAGTTCTGGGACTCAGGGGCTGCTGTGCCTTCTCTGCCAGGCCTAGAGCCGCTGCAGTGTAGAACAGAGAGAGCCCAGTGGGCACGGCCCAGCCCCTCTCCGCTGTGGGTGCCACAGGTGCTTGGCTGGGCAGACACTTGTGACTGGGGGCAGGTCACGGTGACCAGGCCCAAGCAGGCCCTGATGGCTTCAAACCCAGCAGAGCTTGAAGTGTCAGAAAATAAATCCACTGAGGTCAGCTGAAGCCATCAGTTCTTGTGAACAGATTGAATCTGCCGAGTGACCGAGCCCCTAAAATACAGCCTGTCTCTGCCCCTGGGCCGGGGTGGGACCCAGAGCCGACCCATCAGCATCCACTGCTCCCGCTGACCCGAGGGTCCTCTGGGGTCCTGGTCCCAGGATGCTCGGGCCCTGCATGGGGGAAGCTCAGCCTGGGGCGCTGTGACAGGCATCCCAGAGCAAGCCCAGCTGTCCACCCCACAGGCTGCCACCTCCCTGCAGGCCCAGGCCTAGGCCCCCGGCCAAGTCCGCTTCTTTCCCACACTGGCCAGAGGCTGACAGCTAGTTCTGGACTCCACATGTGGGGATGGAGGCTGCGGAGTGTTCCCTGGGACAGGAAACCACATGGGACCCTGTCTCTCCTCCAGGACCCCAGCCTGACAGGAGGTCTCAGTAGCCCCTCAGCTCCAGGGCACTCTGTCCTTGAGCGAGTGTGAGCAGGAGACAGCGGCTCAAACTCAAGAGGCTCAGGGTGCCCCCTCCTAGGTGCTGCCTGGGGTCGGCCTCCTCTCCCACCCTCTGGCAGAGGAGGAGCAGCCCCCGTCCACCCAGCCATGTCCAGAGCAGGCAGGAACGGTGGGGGCCTGTGCTTGCACGTGGAGGTCACAGGTCTGGGGCTAGTGTGCTCCTGGGAGCAGGGGAGGCCGGGGCTGGGCCCTCCTTACCTGCATGGGCCGGGAGCACATGTTGGTGAGCACCTCCTTGCGGGCCAGTGAGTACTTGTCATCTCCAAATGTTTGGGTCAGGCTTTTCTAGAAGCAAATCCCAGAAACCTATGTGACGTGTGGTCCAGCTCGGGCAGAGACTCTGGGCCCTGTCATCCGCTGAGCACCTCATGCCCGGCTCTGGGGGGAGGAGTTGCCTGTGGGGCTCAGCCCTGCTCAGAGGGGATGGGTGGGGAGAGGGGGCAGCCGCCCACACCCTGTGGCCCACACTTCCATGTTTTTGCTGGCTGGCCTGGACTCACTGGGCTCCAGCTCTCTGGCCTGGGGCACCTGCCTTCCCCTCCCAGGGTTGGGCCTGGGTGAGATGTCTCCCTCCTCCAGGACCACAGCCAAGGCCCTGGGTTTCTTAGCTTTGCCCCAGGCAGGGAGCACCTGAAAGTACCCACCAGGAACATTCCCGGGATTCCTACAATTCCAGCCCCGACTCTGAAAGCCTCTGGGCCCAAGACCAGCCCTTTCTGGCCACAGGACCCCTGCCCTCTGCTAGGCCTCCAGGGTCCCCCCGCTTGGCACAGTCCTGGTGAAGGGGCAGGTCCCACTGTCAGGGCCCCTGTGACTCAGAGGGGCCCTTTCTCCCAGGGCCTCCTTCCCTACAGGAGAGACCTGGCTGAAGGGGAGGGACTCTGGGGGGAAGCAGAGGCCGCTGGACCACCCCACCTTCCAGGTCTTTCTCTTCTTTCCCCCAAGCAGGGCCTCCCCCGAATCCTGCCCACCACTCACATTGAGGGCTCCTGCGGAGCTGAAGTCCACGGGCAGCCCCATCTGGTCGCAGAATTCCACCAGGTCACTGAGCATCCTTGTTTGGGGCGGGGGGTGCCGGCGCAGCAGGGCCTGCTCGGGGAAGGCGCGGTGGATCTTGTGGGCCACTGCCATGTTGGCCAAGAGCATGAACTCCTCCACGAGCCTGCAGAGGGTGGGTGGGATGGGAGGGACCGCTGGGGTTTGGGGACAGGTGCGCAGGCTTTCCCACGCTGCAGCCGGCCTGGCTCTCTATCAATCACCCTTCAGGTCTCAGCTTAAAGACAACCTCCCAGCTACCTCATCTCATGTGTTCCGCCAAGTCCCTGTCTTGCCCAGCACCCCCATGGTCTCCCTGCACCAGTTGGTCTACACCGCCTTCTCCTCTGACTGGTTAGCTCCTGTGCTGGCTCTCCCAGAGGGGGACCCTGGAGAGCAGGGAAGCACCCATCTATTAAATAATTCACTGCAGCAGCCCCAGAGCTCAGCAGCCCACCCAATCCAGAGAAGGCACCGAGGAAAGATCTCTGCTGAATGACAGGATGCCTGGAACACTCGGGCAGCCCAGGCTGTAAGAGGGCACCATGCTCGCCCAGGGCATGGGAACCCTGGGGCCCCAGCTCAGCCCCTGCTCTGAGGGCTCCCTGAGGCATGTGGCAGTGGTGAGTGGACCAAGGACCCCACAGTCCCAGGAGTGCTGGGCTCCCTTCTCCTCTGGGGACGGTGCCTTGTTGGAGGGAAGCCTCCCAACAGGGTCTCTGAGGGTAGACAGGACAGTCTGAGGCAGCAGGAGGGAAGCCCTCACCAGAGGACAGGGCAGGAGTGGGGATGGGGTGAGACCCCAGAGTCACCCTTTCAGGGGCTGCTGCTCTGGCTTTGCAGCACTTGGGTGTCTGTCATTAGACTCAACAGTCACTGTGAATGGATGTGGCTCCCCACAGAAGGACTGAGCAGGCCAAGGTCCCAGACTGAAGGAGCGGGGACCGATAGGCGATGTGGGACATGAACCAGGCAAAGGCTGGGGGGCTGGTATCACACAGCACTGAGGTCAGCACCACTGACCCTACCACCAAATCTGGGGCAGGAGGCCACGCACTTCTTTTTCCCGCCTTTGGTGGGACAAGAAGATCACACATGTGCACAAGAGCTGGAGCCTGTTGTGATGGGCCAGCCTTGGGCATGTCCTCATGCCTTGGTGACCAGGACCCTCTTCATGGGGAAAGCCGCCCCCTCAGGGAGACATGGGGCTATCGGGGCCTTGACCAGCCTGGGGGGACTCTGCCTTCCCTGCCTTTCCCCAGCCTTCATGCCCAGCCCTGAGCTTTCCCCTTGAGTGAGAGAGATCAGGGAGGAAGCTCCCGCAGGCCTGGCTGCAGCCAGAACCCTGCCATCAACTTCCCTTCCTGGAGGTGTGAGTAGTGCTGCGGGTGAGCCTCGTCATCTGGCCATGCTCGTGGAAAGAAAGCCAGCCACCGAGAGAGAGAGCCCTGGCATATAGAGCCCCTCCTCCACCCAGGGTGGGCCTGCCAGGGCAGACGTGTGGCTGTGCTCTGCCAGGATGTCCTGAGAGCATATCTGCCTCCCCAGGGAGCCTGAGATGCAGAGGAAGAAGGGCTGGGAAATGCCCCAGGAGGGCAGGCACCACCTGGAGAGGAGGGAAGCCAGCCCAGCACCCCTAGCGCCTCCCCTGGGGACTAGTGGGGACTTTTTTGGGCTGGCTCATGGCACACAGTAAGGCAGGTGACAGCTGGGATGTGTGACCACAAGGATCAAGCTTCAGCCTGCCCTTCTACCACACAGGACACCCAGCAGGTAAAAGGAGGAGCATCCATGTTGCCCTCTGGGTGGCAGTAACGGCCTGTGATGTGCCACCCCACCTCCCAGCCCTAATCTGTGCTTGTGCCCACCACTTCCTGCCAAAAACCCTGTGTTCAAGCCCTTAACCCACTACAAGTCTCCCAAGCCCAGGTTTGACTCTCAGCTCCACAACTTTCTTGCCGTGGGATTCTGAACAAATCACAGAGCCCTCCCCATCCTCTGTCTCAAATGCAGGACAGGGGTCACAATGGCACCTGCTCAGGGCTGTCATGGACGCAGAGAAAACAGGTTCTGCACTGGCAGGCCCTCTGCCTGATGCATTGAAAGCCCTCAGGACGCAGGCACTGTTCTCCTGTTGCCCCACCTGCCCCCCACATGGCCAGCTGGGGGTCTCCTCAATATGCCCTGTGATTTTCATCCCTGCCATCAATCTGTGTTCCTCAATTCTTTTGAAGCCTCCCTGAAAAGCAGGCTGCAGTCCCCCACATGAACACTGACTGTTCTAGGCTCACCTGTATCACTGTCTGGTGCCATTAGACTGTTCTTATTCGGATTTCATAATAAGATATTGTGAACCCAAGAGGAATCAAAATTCCTGCTTGAAAAATAATCTGATACTGGTCAGGCCATCAGCACGGAAATACTTCAGATGCACACAATCATGCGTACTTTTGCCCTCTCACTCCATAAAAACTACTATGTGCCAGGCACGGTTCTGGACTTTTCTCCCCATGCAGTCGGACAATCCTCCTGGGCAGGAGCATCCAGGCAATTCTGTGGTGCCTGCTTTCCCCTCCAGCCCAGCTGCAGGCTTGCCGGAAGAGGGACAAGTGTAGCCTTAGGCCCGACCCTGGGCTGCATTTTGCAGTGTGGCCAGCAGGAGGCAGCATGACCCCATAGCGGGCAGCACTGAGGCTGCAGGCTAAGGAGGCCACCAGGCGGGCAGGGTGAAAGAGCAGGGCTGTGTGAGGTGGCCCCTGGTTACTCCTCTGTGCCCATGCCCCACCCTCTATGGGTTTAGGAATTGAATATCTGGGGGCCTCTCAGGGCTGAGCCAGGCTCCTGCTCTCAGTTCCTGCAGGCGCTCTCCACATCCCTTCTCATGGTTTTCAGTAAACACGAGGACAAGGACAGGAGGGAGGGGACAGGGAGAGGGTGGGGCCGCTGTGGAAGCCCCTGCCAAGACCACAGACCTCAGGCAAGCTGCTTCCCTGGCAACTCCGCTACCTGCTCTCCCTGGACCCCCAGCACAGTCCCAGGAGTCACCTCTGCCCTCGACAGTGAACAAGTGCACTCTTGGTGACCTTGAACGTGAAGCCTGGTGAGGCTATGGAGGAGAGGCCCACCTTGCCAGGGCCCTTGGTGTGGCTGAGTCTCTGCTTCCCTTGCCGTCTCAGCCTCTCCCTCCCTCCTGGGGCTGGGAGTCAGGACAGCACCTGTGGAGCTCTGGCCCAACTAGTTAGGCCACATTAAGCAGGGACCCAGACAAAGGTCAAGGGCACTGAGGAGGGAGCTAGCACCACAGAAAGTCCACTTCCCAGGTGCAGCCTTGGCCATGATGTTTGAGGACAGCTGCAGGGGCTGTTTGGTGCCCTCATGTCCTTCTGATGCTGCAAGTAGCAGATGGGGGCAGAGTGAACAGGTAGGCTATGAGTAGGAGTGAATGAAGGTGGGGCTGACCCCTGGCTCTGGCGGTGGCACCCTGGGGTGGCTGGAAGGTGGGTCCCCAGTGGAGTTTGGGGACAGAAAGGTGCAGGCCAAGCCCAGCTGCCAGCAGCCAGAGTTGCACCGAGTTCAGTATTCGCCATTGCAAATGGGACCTGGCACCACGGGTCAGAGAACTGAGCTGGACGGTGCAGGGTGGGTGGGGTAGGGAAGGTGGGAGTCAGGGCTCTCATCTGCGGCCAGCACAGGCTCCACAGTCCCCCACCCTGTCAATTCCCTGGTGGGCCAGCAGGTGGCGCCCAGCCTCTTTCTCCCCAAGGTCCTGGGATGGGGAGGCTCCAGCTTAGAGCCTAGGCGCTCCTATGGGAACCCAGGGCCAGAGATGACCCGGTCAGCAGGGCCCTCTCCCCTGACCTCCTCCCTCCCTCTCCTGGGGAGCTGTGCTAGGTGCACAGCCTAGGCAGCCAAACCTCCGAAACGCCCCCAAGCTATCCTGGGTGGTCAGGTTGAGCCGCTCCACACTCTGGGCCACGGGAGCCCCGAAGGGCGCAGAGTGGGCACTGGGGCTGCTGGACGGGAGGGCGCCCTGCCCCCTGCCCTGGCCTCATACCTTCCTCCTCTGATGTGGGCACTGGCCCTAGTGTCACCCCACTCCTCCCAGCACCAGGGGCACAGGCGTGAGATCACTGGGCCCTGCGGGGGATGGGGCGCTGGAGCTCAGGGACTGCCTGACAACTGCTTTCCGAGGGGCTGGGAATGGCTGCCAGCCAGCATCACCTTCCAGAACAGCAAGCTAAGGCCTCGGAGACGGGGGCCTTGGATCCAGGCCTGGCATCAGCCAAGCGTCTGGAACCTGCACCACCAGGGCCCCACCACTCTGGAGGTCTGGGGTGGGGCTGTGCTGTGACAGTGGCTGCAGGGCCAGGACCCCAGCTCCTCGGCACTCACTCCCAGCACCTCTCCTCCCTGGTTCTGGGCCTCCCTGGGGCAGGAGGGGGTGGGGAGGGGGAGGCTCAGGTATGAGGCTCAGCGAGCCCCTCACAAACTGTGGCAGACAGCAGAGAAAGGCCACCAGCCCCCCGCACACGGTACACACTCCCCACAGCAAGGGTGACACTGGTAGAGACAGAGGTTCCCACAGTGCACAAACGTTCCTCTAAAGAAAAAGCAACAACATCAATATATGAAACGCAGGGCTCTTCATGCGTTTACGACAGGGCGTCCTTCACCCTGAAGGTGCCGGCGAGCATCAAGACTGCAGAGCCAGCCACTGGGTGCCGCATTCCTGCTGGCTCAGGTGGGACCTGTTTCTGTCGCATCTTAAAGGACGATGCTGGGAAAGGCTGCTCTCACCCTGGCAGGGCTCAGAGGTGATGAGATGAGAAAGGGGTAAAGCGATCTGCTCTTCAGAGGAAGCCTGCCTTCCCTGACCATCGAGGAACTGGATCTGAGTATTTCTCTGCTCAGCTGAAAGGCTGGGGCTGGGTTTTGATAGTCAGGGATCCAGGGCATCTGTGGCCAGGAAGGTCCTGTCTGGCAGGTGGTAGGGGTTGGGGGGTGTCCCTCCCCTCTCCTGGCCCTGCCATGGAGACAAGGGGCTTCTCCTCAGTGGCTTGCATGGAATGCCAGCCCTACCACTCACTTGCTTCTTAAGCTCATGTAATCTCAATTTGTTTCCCTGTAAAACAGGGAAGCAATGTTCAAGTTCCTGGCCTCGAATAAATAAGACATTATTATTACACATCTTATGATGTGACTGGCCTGGGTGCCCCAACTCTAGGACTTGGGCAAAAAACACAGTAAAAGCAACATTTCTAGAAGTTTCTTCTGCCTCCCCTACCCTCACCACAAAGCCACCCTCTGGCAAGGAGGCCAGAGGTGTCCCATTTCAGATCCATGCACCTGATAAAGTGCTGACAAACTCACCTCACCCCTTCCTCACACAGGACACTCAGAGAGTGGCCTTGGAAATGAGCGGGAGCCGGGGCAGAGGGGCAGGACCAGTGCCCAAAGCTGAAAATTAGTCCATTTTCAAAGGCCAAAGGCAAATGTGGGACAGAAACAGCCTCTTCTGCCCTCAGCCACCAGGGCCCTTGTCACGCTCTGTGGGAGGCTCCTGCTAATGGAATGAGGCCACTCACAGAGCTTGTTCAATTAGCTCTTGCTGAAAACTGCTAACGTGGCTTTGATAAGAATTGCTCCCAGCCAATTTCAGCCTCATTTCTTCTGCAGACCAAATTTTCCACACTTGGGCACACGCTGCCTGTAAGCTCCAGAGCCCTGGGCTCTGCCGAGGCCATGAAGGCAGCTGCTGGGCCTGTCTCAGAAGCTGTGTACCCAACCATGGCCTCTTCTCCATGGCTGGGCAACCCATGGGGTGCAGGTGATGGCCACCTTTACGTAGAACCTGCTGTGTTCTTAGCAGCTGGAAATTGAGTGTAGTGTGGTGGAAACCGCAGAGCCCTGGGAGGCAGGGGTCTACGGAGCACTGAATTGCAGGCTGCTGGGGAGGGAAAGTGGAAGAGATCTTGGTGGCAGCTCTGTTCCAGGCCAGGCCGGGTGGGGCTGGGTGCCTGGGAGCTGGAAAGTGGAGGCCTGGAGAAAGGGAGCCGCAGGCAGAGCACCTTGCCTGGGTCGGGGAGGGGGATGGGGAGAAAGTGCAGCTGCTTGACTGATGGACCCCCACCCACAGCTGGCCATGCACCCTGCTGCCAGTCTCCAGCAGAGGGTGCCGTGGCCTCTGGGTGGCCCACCAGTCACAGCTCGGGCCTCTCGCTGACCCCTCTCCTCCTGCGCGCACTGCAACCTCCTGAATGCATTGGACGTTCCCATGAAACCACAGAGAAATGAATGGGGCCCAGTTCACAGGCATGGAAAAGCCCAGAGGAGAAGGCCTCTGGAGCCAAACATCATATGCCTGCAGGGGAGGCCAGAGCCAGGTTTCCTAGGCTGGGAGGCTCAGTCCATGGCAGGGCCTTTCTATAGGTGAGTGGGCGGGCCCCTGCTGTAGCCAGACACATTCTGCACCTGTTTTTCTAGCTCCAAAGGAAGGAAGTCCCCAGAGGCTAGATGGCCACATTTGGGCCCTCAGGCCTTGCCAAAGGGAGCCCCAGTGGCCGTAATGGGGAGCGAAAGGAGACTTGCTGGGAGCTGGGGCCGGGCTGACAGTGCAGAAGGCCCTTGTCAGCATAAAGCCAGCCCAGAAGCCTCATTCGCTCCCCAAGTTCGGGCTCTGCTCCCAGAGGTAGGGGCGGCCTGCAGGCTGGCAGCGGCCCTGCCCCCAAGCAGAACCAGGTGCCAGTCTGTGCTGTGTGGTCTTGCAGAGCGTGGTCATTAGGGCTTGCTGGCTGCTTTATGGTGTTGACACATAAGCCTCTCTCCAGTGCCAGCCCCTGCCCAACCGGAACTGGAAACAAGGTCCTGAGGAGGGGTGGCACGGGCACACAGAAGCCTGGCCACCTGGGGGAGTCCCCACAGTGCCCCCAACAGCTTTGCTTGCTGCCCTGCTTGCTCCTGGCCAGGGGTCCCTTTCAAGCCCCAGCAGGGGAAGCTGGCTTCGTAGACTTGGAGCAAGAACAGAACTGGGCCATCACAGACTTAAGGAGGCCAGCTGGGCCATCGCAGACTTAAGAAGGCATCGACTTCGGTTTTAAAATTAGGCTCTGGGTAATCGGATGTTCAAGGAAGAAGGGTGTTCTGGAATGCACAGGTCTTTCTTTCTCTCCGTCTCTCTCCTGCACATACACACGCTCTTACACCCACACGTTACCAAGGCAGCCACAAAAACGAGAGAGAAGCCTGGGCTTCCTGGGACCTTGAGCAGCTTTGCTGCTGCAAGTTTGAACGTGTGCTCACATCTGAAAACTGCTCCTGCCCAAACGGCTGCCAGGTCAGATCCCCTTCAGCAGGGCCACCACCCCAGCCACACAGCCACTAAAGTCTGCAGGGAAACAAGCGTAGAGTGGTCTCTGCACTTCCTCATCCACTCCTCACTGGTCCCCCACACCCAGTGCATGGGGAGGGGACTGTGGTCCTAAGGTGACAGAGGGAGATGGTGTCTCTGGGAGGCCACAGAAGTGACCACAGAGGTCCCATGCCACAGTGTGGCAGGGCTGGATGTGGAGACTGCCAGGCACTTTGCCACTCTCGGTCCATCTGAGTCTCAGAAGTCAGAGTTCTCATGCCTGGCAGGAGCACAGGGAGCTCAGTGAGCTCGAAGGGCTTGCCCAAGCTCCCAGACCCAGGGTCCCTGACACCCCATCCATGCTTTGTCCTCAGGTGACCCTGCATCATTTGCTCTGAACCCTCTGAGGAGGAGGCAGCAGCCAAAGGCTGTGCTGACAGTGGGAACTCAATACAGAGCCCACCCTGAGAGCACATTGCTGCCCAGGGGTCAGGCACCCCCGTAGTCAGCTACGTCACTACCATCATCCTGCCCCTGACTGCTAAGGGCGCCTCCTCCCCTCTGCCAGACCACAGCAGCTGCAGAGCCCAGGGTCACCCATCTGAACCTGGCTTTCCACCTGCCCGGCCAAGCCCCAGGGACAGAGCCTTTCCCCTGGCCTGCTCCCTGCCCCTAGGCCCTGAGGCTGGTCACAGGCACAGGCGCACACACATGGCCCCCTGCAGCCACCGCCTGGCTGGGCTGGGACACTGTTGCCACCTTGGAAGCCTTGTTTCCAGGCCCCCCTGGAAACAAAGGGGGGGCCTCTTGTTTGCCTCTGTCCCGCTGCAGTTGGATGAGGGCAGAAGCAGCACTCAGGCCCGCGCCACGGCCTCCCTGATAAGGCTGCCCCCTCCTGGTTGCCTCAGGCTCAGGCCCTTTCCTGTCTGAGTCGCCCAGGGCTGAGCAGGGTTGCTTTTCCTGCTCTTGGTTTCGCGTCACTGCCGAAGGCGCCCTGTGCAGCCTCTCCTTTGCTGACGCTCCTCCCACCCCCCACAGAGACGCACTGGGCCTCCGGGTCAGGAGGGCAGGGCAGAGTGGGCCACGGGCCACGGCAGCAGTGGGATGCGGAAGGCCCCTGCCCCTCAGATGCCTTGGCCCACATGACATCATGGCCCCTGGGTGACAGCTGGGCCTCAGGTGAGCCTCTTTCTAGACTGTTCCAAGAGGGAGTTTTTGTGCTGAGCTCGGAGCTGGGCAATGCATCCAGGCATCCCCCATGTTTTCCCTGGTGAGCTCCATACAGTCAGAGAAAGCTCAGGAGGTCTCCAGGTCAGTCCCTCGCCCAGGTCTGAGTGTGGCATGAGGTCCTTAGCTGCTAGTGCTCTGGGGGTCCTTGGTTGTCACACTCCCTGGCCCCCCGCAGGCTTTTGCTGGCCTGTTCCTTGCCTCAGCCCTGCTCACTTACTGGCCACAAGGAGATCAGTGCCTCTGTTCCCAAGGGACTCTTTGGGGCCTCCTCATGGGTGACAGGCACCCAGACTCTTAGGCCACCCTGGATTTCCACTCTGCCCCCTCTGCTCCCCGCACCCAAGCCCACCTTCTCCACTCAGCAACTCGTGGGGCTGTACAGGTTCAGTTCACACATCTCCCTCCCTGGCTCCATGGTCCTGTGGGCTGATTCTAAACCACATCTCAACAGTGAATCCAGACTGTCCTTCTCTGGAGGCTAGTTTTCCTCTGCAGACCATAGGCTGTTGGGTGGGGAAGGGAGGGGAACACCTAGCCGTGCCCATCTATGTATCCCAGAGCTGAGCAGCACATGGAGGAGCTGGTGAAATGTTTGGGGGAACAAATGAGGTATTTCAGAGACATGACTTGCTTGTTTGCTCCACAGAAAACGTTGAGTGCCAAACAAGACTTATTTTCAGGGGTGGAAGCACAGCCCCCTAGTAATAAAGGACTAGGAGTGGCAGTTATGGCTCCTGCAACTTCCCTTCAGCTTATCACTGTTGAACCAGAGGTGTATGAACTTGGCAGAAGAAACCCAAGATGGCTTCTGCTGGCCTAATGGGACAGGCTACATTTGCCTCGATACATTCTTACTGCCTGTATATGGTTATCACTTAAATCCAACACAGGTGACAGGTGACAATGTCACTGGGACTCATCTGTTGGTTGCATGATGAATGAATTCTCTCCTGCAAGGGCAGCCTGCCTCAGTATAAACATGAAACACAGAAGATTAAAAGAAAACTCCTTTTGTCTTGTTTTTTTTTCCACTGAACTAACGCTCGTCTTATCACCCCCTGGAACACAGCATGTTGAGTTTGGCAGAGCTCTGCATTCATTCTGTGACTTTTAAAATATTGACACACAGTTTTATGACCTAGGTTCAGAGCGGTTTCAATGAATGTGTCCCCCACCCCCCCCAGAACATTCTGGGCTTCCCTGACATCTTCATGTGCCCACCCCACGTGGCACTGAGGCCCCAGCTCTGCCCTCTCTTTGTCCACAGGAAGGGGTAGGGTGGGTGGGGTGGAGGGCGGGGAAAACCATAAGACTGCTGGGTTTCATCTCCACTCCTACCCAAAGTCAACCAAAGACTGCTGAGTGCTCTCGCACAGCCTGTGTGAAGACTTCAGCCCTTTCCCCGACGCCACTCTCATTCTACCTGAGAACCAAGACCAGAACAACCTGGATTAGGCCCTGAGTCCTTTCAGGCAGGCTGGGTCAATCGTAAGTCAGATGGTGAGGCCAGACCATGCCAAAGCGTGACTGGACCTGAGGGCTCTGCTTCCCTGAGCTACCACTCTGGAGGCCAAGCCCATCTTGTAGGGCAGCCTGGGTTGCAGAGGGCAGCCCTGTTTATCCAGGATTTTCAGATGCATTAAGAAAGCTCTCCTGGTACCTGGGATGCTGACTAGCAATCTGGGAGCTTCTTCACAGGTAGGTTAGGCCAAGCCCAGGCAGCCAAGCCCAGGCAGCCTTCAGGCCTCCCCTGGGTGAGAATTGTTGTTCCTGGTAGAGGCTGTAGCACCCAGAACTCTCTGGCCTCAGTCCAGCTGCCTCTGCCTGGGAGGAGGCCTTGCCCAACACCCCAGGAGGGCCCTGTGTGGTCCGCTGAGCTGTGCAGCCACCAAGATGGAGAGTAACTGTGCTGTCTGATTAATGGTGCTTATGCCTGTCCATTTACCAGTAAATCTTTGTGATACTCAAGCCCAGTTCCTCATGTGCCATGTTTGGCTGTTGTGGAAGTACTGTCAAATGGTCATTTGCAACAAAACAAAGAACTGGCTGCTAGTTTCACCAGGACATGCTTATACGTAGCATGCAGTCCAGGGTGTGTCCACTGTGTGCCAACCACACAGTGTCGTGTGCACCCCACATGGGAAGGCCAGTGTGGTAGGGTGCTGGGTGCTGTTGCCCTCTGCTTCTCTCAACCACCACAGTGTCTTGTGTGCCAACCACACAAGACACTGGGTGCTCCTTACTCGATACCATCTGCCCAGGAATGGCCCAGCCAGCCATGTGGGAGCAGACCACACCTCCCTGCTGGGTATGGAGGCCAGCAGTGCTAAGACTGGCAGTAGGAGTTCTGAGAAAGGAGTGGCCATGGCCACTGCACTCAAGGAACATGAAGGGAAGACCCCCGCCCTGTGTTGTATCTGGAATGCTCCTGGGGTTTCAGGGAGAGACGGTGGGGAGGTGGTGGGAAGAAGAGCCATTCTCCTTCTATCCATGATCTTTAGGGATTCCTCCTCATTCCAACAAGCATGACAAGATGGAACACAGAGGCTTGGTGAGGCGGCTCTCTGCTCTGCTCAGTTCTCCAGGGCTTGGCCAGGCCTCTTCCCTCTGGTTCTTGTCCCATGACTCTGTCCTGTCACCTTCTCACTTGCCTCCCCTGGGGTGGGTTGGGGCCTACAGGGTCCCACACTGACACTCCAGCCGGGAGAAGCAGAGGGCAACAGCACCCAGCACCCTGCCGCGCTGGCCTTCCCATGCGGGGTGCTCACAACACTGAGAGCCACTCCCTGCATCCTTTGTTCACCTCCCCCCTGGCCTTTGTCACCCCCTTGCAAATGCTGTCTTACATACCTGTCTTCCTCGATGGGCTGTGGGCTTCAAGGGAAGGAACTGGGCCCTTCTCTTGTGCTCAGTGCAGTACCTGGCACTAATAGGCGTCCAATAATGTTTGCTGGACAAGCAAACGAATGATGTTTACAACTGGGCCAGAGAACACTTGGCGAAACTGGTCCTCCAACCCACGAGGGTGTGGGCAGACTTCTCAGCGCCCTTCCATGAACTCTGAGGACTTTCCTAGGGGTCGTTTTCTAAGTTTGATGGTGGGAAAGGGCCCATGTGGCACAGAACACAATTCTGAATATAAGGGCTTCCTGAAGATTCTTGCAAGTTACCCTTGTTTGAGCCCAGCTTCCTGGGCACCCCGACCACTACTGGCCTCTGGCCTCTGGCCTCTGTGGAGGCCTGGCCTTGCAGGAGTGGGTTCTCCATTGTGGATCGGCAGCTTCACTTTATAACAGAGCCCAGAGGGCAGCAGCAACTTGCCAGTATTCTTGTATTGCTAAAGTCAGGGGGGAAAGGTAGGGCACTGTCAACCACACACAACCTGGGTAACCTTAGGCAGACTACTTAACCTCTCTAACTTCTTCTACCTACCTCGCAGGGTTATTCTAGTGAGGATTAAATGAGATAAACTTTGTTATCTTATTTAACATTATAAGCTCTGACCTATTGTTAACTATTCCATAAATATTAGTGTTATTATGAAAACCTTCTGCACTGAATTAAGGAGACAATTAATTCAGTGACAATTCAGAGACAATTAGAGGTGTAATTAAAAAATAGAAGAGGCTAGGAGTGGTGGCTCACACCTGTAATCCCAGCACTTTGGGAGGCTGAGGTGAGCAGATCCCTTGAGGCCAGGAATTCGAGACCAGGCTGGCCAACATAGTGAAACCCCATCTCTACTAAAAATACAAAAATTAGCCAGGCGTGGTGGAGGGCACCTGTAATCCCAGCTACCCGGGAGGCTGAGGCACATGAATCGCTTGAACCCGGCAAGCAGAGGTTACAGTGAGCAGAGATCGGGCCACTGTACTCCAGCCTGGGCAACAGAGTGAGACTCTGCCTACCTTCTACCTCCCCACCCCGCCAAAATAGAAGAATGTTAGGAACACAGAACATGAGAGGAAAAAAGAGCAAATACTGCATACTCCCAGGAGACATTTGTCCAGCATCTGCTGAACACCTCTGTGTTCCCAACACTGTGCAGGGGCTGGGATGAAGTGACTGTCCTTGCTCTTGGGCACAGGGAATCAGATCAACACACACTCACTCCCCTACCTCCCAACCCCTGTCCAAATCTTATTAGCATAAAAAGTGGCTTGTTTCCGCAGCACTTACTGCCTGGGCGAGGAAAGCCTTTCACACACATTCTCCACACTCTACCCACAAATGTGTTTCCCTTCCATTGCAAGGACTGTCCATGGGTCATGAAGCCAAGGGTAATAACCTGCCTCCCAGGGCACACAGCGAGGTACTGGTGGTTCTGAGGCTAATGCTGCCTTAAGGATGTGAGAGTTAAGCTCGATGACACTAACAGCTGGGAAATTCACCAGGAAAAAAGCCCAAAGGAATGAAAAGTTCCTTCCTCTTCAGGAACGGTACAATGAAAAATCACAACAATGGTTTCCTAGAAGATTTATGACACAAAAGATAGCGACCAGCTAACTGATCTTTTATCTACACCAAAGACTTAATGACAGGAAACAGATTTAGATTAAACTGGAGGGCTGTTAAACTAAAGAAGAACAATTCAATAATAAGCACAATATCTTGCTTACCTAAAACTTAATCACATTTGATCTTATGTCTTTGAAACATGAAGCAGAACCAGGAAATAGGCAGAAGCAGGGCCTGTGGGCAGCCAGCGCAGAGGTGGGGCCGGGAACCCAAGTGTGCCTCCTGGGAAGTCCTTCCTTCCCACCTCACTCAGAGCCTTTCCTCCCATTGAACAGAATCCTAACAGCTTGCCTCGGCTTCCTCACAGATTCCACGCTCCCCACAAAGCCTCATGCTTGGAGTGGCTGGAGAGGGTGCTACAGGTTCTCCGGACAGCCACGGAGAAGTGACAACTGGCCCTGACTGTAAAGGCAGAGACAAAGACAGGGCAGGGCCCCAGCAAAATCAGTGAAAATACACAGCATTGTGTGGACATCTAGTGTGGAGGCGAATGACACTGTGGAGTACAGGGGACCCCATTAAAGAACAGGACATAATCGTAAGGAACAAGGTTTTGGCGCCTGGAAGAATAAATCCTCTCTGTAGAATGACTCCTTCCTTCTTATTCTAGGTAGCACAAACATTAACAGATTT
The DNA here is from genome assembly GCF_000001405.40 of Homo sapiens. Taxonomy (NCBI): domain Eukaryota; kingdom Metazoa; phylum Chordata; class Mammalia; order Primates; family Hominidae; genus Homo; species Homo sapiens. The sequence continues at coordinate 232,316,210 of NC_000002.12, read as the reverse complement.
ATAGAACAACAAAGGCTGTGCTGGAAGCTGATGAGCCGCTGCCCAGGAGGCTACTGTGAAGCCGCAGTGGCATGCCAGGGCTCGCGAACACACAGACACACCAATGCCAGGGCACTCAGGGAAGGGAGCTGCTGAGAGCGGGGTCCCCGACCCCAGGTGATGAGCCATGTCCTCTGCCATCTCTGCTACCCATTCATCACAGTCTACTCTCCAGTTTGGCACCTACCCCCTACTGGTAACCCGGGCTTGGAGGGTGGACCCTGGGTCTCACCTAGCTTTGGGGTAGGTGTGGGGTCACATGGGGTTGGCTTGGGGGTAGCCCAAAGTCAGTGGAATGATCTATGTTGTTCATCTCAGCCAGGCCTTGCTGTGTTGGGCTTTCAGAGCAGCTGCGGAAGTTGGCCACTTCCTCTTGCTTAATTCAGTGGGCATGAGCTGGGCGCTTGCTCTGAGTCACTCTACGAAATCTTTTCGCAGCTGTGTTCCGGCCATCAGAGAAGCATCCGCAGAACAGACAGCAAACATGTTCTTCTTCAATACGTGAAGCAGCCACTAGGCGATTTATAGCCATTGATAGCCTGTGCCTGTCATCAAGCACAGCAATTCCTTCAGGCTCTAGAGGCTTCCTGCCCAACCACCAAGAAAAAGCCACAAAGCCTCAGAGAGCTGGGAGTGGCAGTGAAGACAGATCAGAAACACTACCCCACAGATAGCACAGCCAAAAGCTAAGAGAGCCAAGCACATCTGGTTACCTGCCAGGCAGCCACAGAAGATGACAACCATGGGCACCTTTCTTCAGGCTCAAACCCAACATGCAGTCCTATGACCTGTTTCTTTTATGGGCTAACCTCCTTGAGAGTATATCTCAGACCTCTGTGGCCTGAGCCTGGGCTCTGGGCTTTCAGTACCGGAGTGAGGGTTTTTACAGCAGAGACATTTGCTACTTTAAGTACCTGAATATGCCCTGGGTCTGGGCCAGCACACCGGTATGGGGGTGGGGAGGGCTGGAGGCGCTCACCCCACTTGCCAGGAATTGAGTGTCCCTGTTCATCAAACAGGGACCTGGCCTGAATATCACAGTCTCTTCTAGAACTCCTTGAAGTCTTGGGAAGGGGCAAGCCTCCTTGGGTTTAAAGACCGCCTGGCAGTACTATCTGCTTAAAAAGCTTAGCATGAGGGACCAGAGAGCTGGCTTCCCCCTGGGGATGCAAACCTGTGGTTGGAGAAATACCCAGAGAGGCAGAGAGAGAAACGAGTCATTCCAGGACCTTCTGAGAAAGGTATGGATGTGGCAGGTACAGATATACGGAAAACAAAAATGGTCATTCTCACCGACCCTCTGTCACTGGTAAGAACACATCTTCATGTGCTATAAAGTAACTGGGAAAGAAAATCAAAGAGCTCCGAGTCATGCTGGATTGCTGCAGCGCCAGGAGGCTCCCCAGAATGGAGGGAGCTGCAGTCCATCGCAAAAACATGAAGAAAGCAAATGGCAACGTGACAGACAGGAAATCTTATTCAAGAAAGGGAAAGTGTTAGCTGCTTAATGTAACTCTATGTTAAATCGACAATGAAAACATTTACTCTTTAAGGTCTTTAAGAGTTTTGAAATATCTAGTTTTGAGAGTTCCTGGTGTTCTAGAATTTTCTGTCTCATAGGGAAATCTCTTGGGGCATCCATGGGTATTTGGGCTGCAAAAGGTGGAGTGTGAGAATAGTGAGGGGCATTCTCGGGCTAGGGAGCTCCCTTCAGCCCCAGGGCCCTGAGGCCTCCGGGGCCTGCTCGGTTTGGGTCTCGACCCTCTCTGTCCTCTTCATTCCTCCAAGTCTCAGCGAAAGGGATTCTGTGAACCCATGTAGGATGCATAACCCTCAAAATGGGACAGCTGAGACTCTACAGGGCTTAAAAATATAGGATCTACCTTGCAACCTGAGCAGCCCGCCCAGGAGGAAAGCCTTCAATCCTACCTCCCAGCACCAGACAACAGGCGACAGAATGACAGCACAGGCTGGAGAATGCCCTATACTGGGCCCAGTGGGTGCTGGGCCGGTGCTGAGGAGGGCTGCAGCCCTTTAGGGCCACAGGCAGGCCCAGAGGGCTCCTTTCCATGGCAATGGAAATCAGGGAAAGGTGGGATGGGGCAGGTGATAGTGTCATATGGTTTGGCTCTGTGTCCCCACCCAAATCTCATCTTGTAGCTCCCATAATTCCTATGTGTTGTGGGAGGGACGTGGTGGGAGATAACTGAATCACGGGGGCAGGTCTTTCTCATGCTGTTCTCATGATAGTGAATGGGTCTCACAAGATCTGATGGTTTTAAAAATGGGAGTTTCTCTGCACATGCCCTCTCTTGGCCTGCTGCCATCCTTGTAAGATGTGACTTGCTCCTCCTTGCCTTCTGCCATGATTGTGAGGACTCCCCAGCCAGGTGGAACTGTAAGTCCAACAAACCTCTTTCTTTTGTAAACTGCCCAGTCTCAGGTATGTCTTTATCAGTAGCATGAAAATGGACTAAAACACAGGGATATAAAGAGATTTGGGGTAGGAGGTTACTGGGGAAAGGAAAAGATGCTGCATATACCTGTGAGGCAATAATAGTTTAGCAACTTTTCTCTCGGTCATCTATGACAAAAGTGGTATTTTTACGACCTCGTGGGTTCACGTTCAATATTCTACCAAGGAATCAGGGAGCAGTAAAGAGAGCATGGGTTTTGAAGTCAGACAGATCTGTTTGAATCCTTGTTCAAATGTACAGCCATGAGATCCTTCTGTAAAATGGCCAAGGCAAAACCTCCTCACAAGGTTAAAATGAGGAGTAGCAGTCTTGTGATAAACATTAGTTCCTTTTCATTTAAATAAAAAATCAGATATCATTTTCCTAGCTCCTAGCTCATAAATCACCACTTAAAACTTAAAAAAAAGTTCCCAAATTGAAAACTCATCTTGGGGAAAAATAAAGTGTATACTAAAGAGAACACCAGTAAAAATTTTCATTTTCATAATCTAAGAGTGAGTTTGTGGTAAAAACTCTTCTGTTTGAGATCAGGAACAAGACATAAATGCCTATTATTATTATGTCCAGAAATACTGTACAGTGCAATAAGGCAAGAAAAATAAATACATGGCATGAGAATTGGAAAGGAAAAAGTAAAACTGTCATTATTTGCAGATGACATGATGAGGTACACTGGAAATAAAAAAGCATCTACACTGAACTGAAATATTGTTATGAAAAAAAATCTACAAATTATTTGAACCTAATAAATAAATTCAGGAAAGTAATTGATAACAAGGTCAACAAAAATAAACCATGTTTCCTTGTATTAGCAACAAAGAGAAAATTAAATTTACAAATACCATTTAAAATAGTACCACAAATCAAATACCTAGGAGTAAATCCAATGAAACATGAGCAAGATCTCTAACAGAAAATTATATTGAGAAAAATTAAAGAAGCTCTAAATAGAGGGAGGTACCATGTTTGTGAAGACTCATTATCATAAAAGTGTTGATTTTTCCCAAATTGACATATGGATTCAAAGCAATCTCAATATAAATCCTAGCAAGTTTGTGTGCATGTATGTGGCAACTGACAATCTGATTCTAAAATCTATATGGAAATGGAATGGGCCAAGAATAGCATAGGTGCTCTTTATAGAAAAAGTCCAAGTTGGAAAGTGTAGCTCTACTGGCTATCAAGATTTTTATACAAACATGAAGGTAGTGTGGTACTGGTACAAGAATAGATATATAAACCAGTGACACAGAATGGAGAGCAGAAACAGATCTGTGCATATGGGTACTTCATTTTTGACAAAGGTGGCAGTGCTAAGCTATGGGAAAGTATTTTCAAAAAATGATGCTGGGTCAACAGATACCCATATGAAAAAATAAACTTGCTGTACCATTTTCAAAAATCAATTCTAAGTAGATTCTTTTAGAATATAGACAAAGATTTCTTAAATGGTATACAAAAAGCATTTAACCATAATAAAAAAGATCGACATACTGAACTCCATTAAAATTAAGTACTTCTGTACGTTAAAATAACACCAGAGGCAGTAAAAAAGCAAACTACACAGTGGAAGATATTTGCAACATGTATAAGCAACAAAGAACTGATATCCAGAATATAGAGGACTATAAATCAAGAAGAAAAACAGAAAACCCAGTAGAAAAACAGGCAAGAAATTTGAAAAGGCACTCTACTGAATGGCCAATAAACAGATGAGCTCTCACACACTGCTTGTGAAATTACATATGATTTCAGCAATTTCATTCCTATTATATACTCAAAAGCAACACATGCATATGTGCACCAAAAGACATGTACAAGCAGATTTATAATAACCCCAAAATGGAAACAATACAAATGTTGACTGAACAAATGCAGATTGGATAAATTGATGAATGGACTATAGATGCAACAGCAAAGATGAATTCTCACAAATATAATGCTGAAAGAGAAAAGCTGGGCACAAAAGAGAATATAGTAAATAATTCCATTTATATGAAGTTCAAAGCCAGGCACAACCAATCTACAGTGTTAGAAGATAACAATGGTGGTATCCTTTTGGGAGGAGTGAGGGGCACATGGGAGGCTCCTGGAAGCTGTAATGTTCTATTTATTATTTATTTTTAAATAAAAATTTGTTAATTGTCGTTACACTGCCCGGGCTGGTGTCATACCCCTGGGCCCCAAGCAATCCTCCTGCCTTGGCCTCCCAAAGTGCTGGGATTATAGGTGTGAGCCACTGCACCTGGCCATGTTCTATTTCTTGACATGGATGTGTTCATTTTCTAACAATTTCCTTGAACTAGATGCTTATAATTTGTACACTTTTCTCTATGCATGTCATAATTCAGAAGTAAGTTTTACAAAGCAAGCTTATTGTAAAAACCTATTTTCCAGTATGTGCACTACAGAAAAAAATAGCAGAATGCATAAGTCACACTATATGCTGAGACATGGACCAGTGTTCCTGTGTGTGTACACTGATGTATGTGACTGGTCTGTGGCCAGCACAATCTGCCGATTTTTGCGGCTCCCCCATTTCCTTGTTTGGGTCAGTTCTGGCCTCAGAAAGCCAGAAAGAGCTGAAGGTCTAGTGATTTCTACAAAGGGTCCTGAGCACCATAGCTCAGCAGCATGGGAAACCTCTGCCGAGGCAACTGAGTGCTATAAAATATGACTTCAGACTCTGTCCCTCCCTGGTTCTCCCAGCAAGTGGGGAATAGGCACTGACTCAACACAGCTGAAAAAGAGCTCCTCCTTGTCCTGGCCCTTTGCAGTTCAGATTCCATGTGGAGGAGACTGGGTGACTGTGACTCCAGAGGAGATGGAAGCAATACAGGAGGCAGCTGTGCTGCCCCAGGCCTTGCTGCCCTCCCTGCTCCTGGACCCATGGGCAACTCAGTGCCACTTCTGTGTAGTTGTTCTAGGGCCCCACACCTGCTTGCATCAGATAGCTGGGGTAGTATCCAGGGAGAAGCCTGCTGGATGGTCCTCTTATGTACAGCTTGACCTTGCACAGGGCACCTATCAGGGCATCTGTTTCTCTCTCTCTAAAATGGGAGTGTTCATACCCTCTTCTCCTCTTCCTGTAGATAAAACTGAGGTTAAATGAAGCACTGCTTGTTGGCAGACAAAATATCCTGATTGCTGCTGCACGGAGTGAGGTGAGAAGAGAGCAGAGCATAGAGAGCCACGGCCATCCCTCTGTGTGGGTGGACGGTGGAGAGACACTCCCTTCGCTGAACACTACCCGAATCCAGCAGTGGAAGCAGGAGTTGTGCCTGCATCATGCTGATGCCAAACACTAACGGCTGTGGTGGAACAGTGAGCTCACACCTGCACTGTGAGTGGCTGACTCCCACGTGCACAATACAGCTGCAGGCTTGCACCCATGAGCTCACGCCTGGCACCTCTCTGGCTGCATCGCTTCCAACTTCCCCCAAGCCCCTCCTCTCTCTTGATTTCAAGCCCCCCTTTCTCCTAAACTAAGGCTTCATCAGGAACAAGAAAGGCCTTCTTCAAGCTAACCTGGCAGTGTCTGGGAGGCCTGGAGGCTCTCGCCCTCTGCAATGAATGGCTCTTAGGTAACACTGCTGCTTAGCCTGAGGAGCTGGCATCAGTTCCAAGGTGCAGACAGAAAGTGTCATTTCCAAAGTACTGGGAAGTGTTGGTGCTGGTTTGAAGTTGTCAGAGCTGCTGGGAAATATTTCCTCTGCTTATTCAGGATGAAGGCAAAGGCAAAGAACCAAGCAGGGGGGAAGCTAATTAAACAGGACTTCATCCAGGAACACCCTGCTCTGTCCCCTCCTCAAGTGCAGCAGCCAGGAAGAGGCATCACTCAGATCTTCTACTACTGACAATGTCCCCAACTGCAAGTGCTCTGATCCACCACTGCATCTGCCCTGAAGTCACACTTCCTGTGAGCACGCCTCCAGGGTCCTAATGCAGGCCAGGTCCTGCAAGATGTGAGGATCCTCCAGCAGTCAGCTTTGGCTTTGGCTTTGGCTTTGGCTTGAGGACTTTCCGTCAGTGAACCTTAAAACTGGGCCGCAGGTGGGAGCCATTGTGCGGGCCTGTAATCCTAGCTGGTGGGGGTGCTGAGGTGGGAGGATCTACCTAAGCCCAGGAGATTGAGACCAGCTTGGGCAACATGAGATCCTATCTCAAAAAAACAAAACTAAACAAAAAAACCTGGGCCGTAGCCTGAGACTCTCCCTACCCAGCCCTCCTTCCTTTCCAAATTCCTTCATAAGGGCCAGACTTGTGTTGAGGTCTGAAGGCTCTCTCTGCCTTCCGCTACTCTCTCCCCTTTCATCCTTCACAGGCATCTTCCTCCATATGTTTCTCAACATCCAATCCCATCTCAGCATCTGCTTCTCTGCAGATCTGAACTGACGCAAGTGGGACAGGAGTGGTTCTGAGGAAACAGGCAGAAAGATAGAGTCTGGGGAGTGGCTCACTCACTACCTAGTGGGCAAAGGGGATGCTCTTCTGAGTGGTGTGTGGGCAGGGACAGGCCCTGGTACAAAGTTGTGGCTCAGCTGCTCAAAGACTCACCAGCAGTGACCTGGGAAGAAGCTCCTGAGTCACTGTGATAATGCCAGCACGGGAAAGCCCTGGGATGCATACTGTCTACAAGGGCTGGTTGCTGTAAGGTGAAGGAAGCCCCGGGCCTGCCCCTGTTCCCTCCCCTCATCCTTCACAGGCCTTCCCCCAACACCTCTCGTACATTAATCCTGCTTGGGGTCCACTTGTCAGAGCACCTGAACGAACCCATCACATCCTCCATGATAAACACAAAACAACAGAGAACCGCAGTGTGGTTTTAGGGTTGGTTCTCTAGGTCTATTGTGTCTAGAGAGTGTGTTCTGAGACCCCGGGGGATGCCAAGCAGGCTAAGCCCCCACGGGCAGGGGGCATGTTGGGAAGCAGAAAGAACTATGTGCTCAGGTGCTGGGGAAGAGAACCCAGGTGTCCTTACAGTGACCTGAGCTAGCAGGTGCCTGTGGGCTGGGGAGAGGATGTACAGCCCAGAACTGCCCTATCCTCTGGAAGGCTGCAAGGAGTACTGTCCTTCAAGGCAGGCTCATGAATGCGGCAGACACTTCAGCCGAAGGAAATCAATCCCACAGCGTAGCTCTCTCTCACACATCTAGAGGCCAGCTAGTAAGTTTAATGATGTGTGTTTCAAGGTCCCAAAATGAGTCCAGTAGCTAGGCAGGAAAAAATGGAAGATTTTCTCTTGTTAAGTTTAGCAAACTAACCTGTTCTAAGAGTAAGAACTGCAGTAAGGCAGAGGACCTGGCTGTGAGTGTCAAGGAGGCTCTGAGAGGTCCGCAGGGACAACGGATCTGCCAGCAACTGCTGGCCTCACTGTCTGGACCAAGTGAGGCACAACTGCCAGCAGGGCAGAGGAGCAGGCACCCCAAAGCTAGGGCCTGGGTCTGCCAGGGTCTACTACAAGGGCCAATCAGGCAGGTATTCAGGGCAACTGCACCCCCAAAACTACGAGGTCTTTATAACTAACACAGCCACATCACATACCACTGAATGGATGGTGACCTGCCAAGCAGCGTGACTGGCCTAACCCAGAACTCTGATGACAAGTCAGAAGCTGCCCATCTGACCTGGGGTTCACAGGGACTGGAAATCCCAGGATTTCCCAGACAGCCTTCCCAAGCAGGCCTGCTTAGAAACGGCTGGAATCAGCACTCCCTGCAGCTTCCTGGCATGGAGAGAAAGGCAGGTGTCATGAAGGCACAGCACAGGCTTTAGAATTTGCCACAACTGGCCAGGTTCTGCCCTTGACCTCTGTGGCCTTGGCAGGTGAGCCTCTTCAGACTCTTCAGTTTTGGTTTGTTTTTATTTTTTATTCTGTACAATTGTGAAAATAATAAAACCTCTCAGACTCTCACTGGTTTTATTTTTATTTTTTATTGTGAATATCCTTCTTGAATGGTTTTAGACTAGAACTAACCTGGGTAAGCCCCTTGCCTGGTGTCTGCGGGCACTCAGAAGATGGTAGCTCCCATCATGATTATGGTACATGGATCATAAAGTCTAGATGTCGTGAACAAGAGTATAGCCTTGCAATCGAATTCAGCTTCCACAAGTTTGTCTGACATGTTTAATGCTCTTCATAGCTATCACTGTTCTTCACTACCCGGCAAAAAATGGCAAAAAAAAACTGATGTAAGTGACTGTAATTACCACTATATTTAGAGTTAAGCCACATTTTTACAGCTTCTTTTCTCCATGTTAGCTCTTCAGAATTCACAGCTATCCATGAAGACAGTTTCCCTGATGTCATGTGTAATTTAATCATCATGATAATCCTACGGCAAATGAAAAGACAAAGCTGGAAAGAAGCTTGACTCCTCAGTAGCCATGCTCCCTCCCTTCCTAAAGGACTAAATCAGGTCCCCCACCTTCCCTTCATCAAGCATTATTTGCCAGATAGTGGATTAGGCACTGTGGGTACTGAAATGAAAAAAACAAGACCTTGACCTCAAAAGCATCAGGCCAGTGGCGGAAGCCAACAAGCAAACCCACAACTGAAAGGCACAGTGCTAAGAGCTGACATGGAGCAGACAGGCACGGCACAGGGCCACGGGGAAGGCACATCTGACCCAGCTTTGGTGGTGCCTGTGAGGGGTGTGGAATGGCTTCCCAGAGGAGAAATACCTAGCTGAGAGTGGAAGGAGAAGCAGAGGTTACCTAGATGGGTGGGCACGGGGTTCTGGGAAAGAGGGATGTTCTAGAAGCAGAAAATGGCATGACAACAGGGACACGTTGTACGCAGGAGCGTGAGGTAATCTGGTACAGACAGCATGTAGGGTGCCAGGGCAGGAAGACAGGATGGGTCTGTATGGCAGGCAGGTGGGGTGGGATCACAGGGCTGGCTGCCTTGCTGCTGAGGAGTGCCCAGTCCCTTCCACTGGCACATGGGCCTCTGTTGGCAGCATCAGCGTTTATTCAGCTCTGTGGCCCCAGGGCCTAGAACTATACAGGTATATAGCAGATATTCTCTATACATTTGCTAAATGAGTGACCATATTTAAGTTTATTCAGATCTCCGATTCTGACAAGATAGTAGACTGAACTGATGTGGACCTCCTTCCCAACACAAACACAGAGAACTAATAGATAAAATATACCAAAATAATAATTTAAATATATTATTGAGTATAGAAGAATAATGAGAAAATTCTCAGATGCTTGAAGTGAAAAAAAAATTAAGTCAGAGCTGTAATTTTTACCGTGGCAACTGGGGGCCGGGAGTATCAGACGTTGATACAGTTACAGGAGCTAAGATTTTAATGCATGCAGGAGGCAGAAGACCTGGCCATGGAACTGAAGACCTGGTCATGGAACTGGAACTGAGATCCCCACATAAAGCCAGGATCCTGGGAGCTGTTGGTCTTTGAACAAAGAATCAGGAAGACCTTTCTCACAGAGCAGAGGAATGGCCGTATGTGGCACAGACCAGAGGCATCTCCTATGAGAAATGGAGATGTGAAGCCCACACGGCACATGGGTGAGGAGTCAGAATGTGGCCTACCCAGGAGGTGAGACTCCTAAGCCAAGGAGTTAACATCCAAACTAGCAGGACCTATGAACCTCCCTGGGTCTTGGCAGAACATATGCAAAAGTGATAAGATAACACATCCACAACCCACAGTATGTGGAACTCCCACTAAACACAATCCCTACTTAAGATGATCTTTTTTTTTTTTTTCTGAGATGGGGTCTTGTTCTGTCACCCAGGCTGGAGTGCAATGGCACGATCTCAGCTCATTGCATCCTCTGCCTCCTGGGCTCAAGTGACTCTCCTGCCTCAGCCTCCCGGGTAGCTGGTCTTACAGGTGTGTGCCATCACGCCCAACTAATTTGTGTATTTTTAGTAGATACAGGGTTTCACCATGTTGGCCAGGCTGGTCTCGAACTCCTGACTTCAGGTGATCCTTCTGCCTCGGCCTCCCAAAGTGCTGGGATTACAGGCGTGAGCCACTGCGCACAGCCTAAGATGATCTTATGATAAAAAAACAAGTTGCAAGAGAAAATGAACCACGTAAGAGTGAGTCAATAGACACAAGAAATAAGAGAATTGGTACTCTTGGAACTAGAACTAAAACTCTTCAAATAACTGGAAAGAGGCTGTAAAATAAATACAACCAAAATAATTAGGGAGATAAAAGAAAGAATAGAAATCATAACAGAAGACTAGGACACCAAAAAAATTAATTAATAGTAATAGGCGGATTTTCAAAAGCACCAAACAGAACTTCTGAAAATTAAATATAAAAACCAAACATGAGGACAGGCGTGGTGGCTCACGCCTGTAACCCCAGCACTTTGGGAGGCTGAGTTGGGCAGATCACCTGAGGTTAGGAGTTTGAGACCAGCCTGGCCAACATGGCGAAATCCCATCTCTACTAAAAATACAAAAAAATTAGCCCTGCGTGGTGGTGCGCGCCTGTAATCCCAGCTACTCAGGAGGCTGAGGCAAGAGAATCACTTGAACCCAGGTGGTGCAGGTTGCAGTGAGCTGAGTTTGCGCCACTGCACTCCAGCCTGGGTGACAGAGCGAGACTCCATCTCAAAAAATAAATAAAATAAAATAAAAACCAAATATTCATATTGGGAAGGGTTATTAAGCAGCCGATAGTAAACTGCTACAAGGAGAATAAAGTGACAGACACTTTTGAGGAAGTTGCCTACAATGCAGCATTAACAGATACAGAAATAGAAAAAAGAGAGGAAAGATGAAATAAGATGGTTTCTAACAAGTTCCAGAAGGAGAGATTAGAGAGAACCAAAGAGAATCAAAGATAATAGATAAAAATTTCTAAATGAGAACTATATTGAGTCCTAAACAATATAAATAAAAATGAATCCACTCAGACATAATGTAGTAAAACTGCAGAATGCCAAAGACAAAAATAAGGTCTAAAAAGCAACCAGAAGGAAAAGACACACACACTCACTCAGGCTGCAGAGAGGACAGCCGGGAGGCCAACCAGCTAACGGCAGGAAGAATAGCTTGCAAAGCAGCTCCACAGTCCTGGCAGTGAGAAGGAGGGTAGCCGTGGGGATGGAGAGAAAGGAGCCTTCTGACAAAGCTCCTTGTCTGTGAAGGTCACCACCATCCACACAGTAACTCCAAAGTCGGAAGCATTCACTTTCCTCATCGTTGCTGCCATAGCACTCGATTCCTACCACTGCCAAAGTGCATATCATCCCACAGGGTGCTGGAGTGCGCTTTGCTCCTTATACAAACCCTGAGGGCATGCACTGGGTCTAACGTATCTTTGCCTCCCCCATGTAACACACTGTACAGAGCAGGGGCTTCATAAATGTGTAACTGAATTCTCACAAATCACTTATTCACTCCTGAAGGTCTTGTTCCTTGCCCTATATCCAGAGATCTCCAAACTTCAATTTGACAAAAATGACTCTCGATCACTCCTTGATTAACTGGATTTAGTGTTAAAGACAGGTAAAGTTTTCTGCAACAGAGAAAAAAAAAAAACCAGTCACCACCCGTAGACCCACGGTGGCATCTGCCAGGGGGTGTGAGGCCTCACACCTCCAGATGCAGACTGGAGCAGCTTTTGGGAGGCTGACAGAATAATTCAGGGTGGAGAGCTTTACTAGTTGAACCCAAGGCACCATAGGACAGCTTCTCTCTTTCTTCTAATGACCTCAGAGCTTTAAGAATGTTTACCCGACAGCTGTGCCTCTAGCCTTAGAGAAGGCAGGGTCCAAGTCCCATGAGAAATGGACAAGTCCTAGGGACTGTCCTCCCTGGACCCCAGAGGTAGAGATTAGCCCCTTTATGTGAAAGGAGAACAGGATGACAGAGAGCCAAGGATCAAAATTATCAGGCACCACCCATGGACCCGAGGGCCACATTCTTCTTCTCTGTTGCAGAAAACTTTACCTGCTTTTGATACTGAATCCCGTTAATGGAGGGCTGATAAAAGAATCCAGAAAATATAAAAATGGAGTGCCCATTTTCCGGGCCATTCCATTTGAAAGGAAAGACTATTTGGGAGAACCATCCAACAGCCTCAGCACTTATTCAGAACAACTTTTTCTGCTGATGGATTGAATTTGGCAAACAGAGATGAATGCTAAAGTGATTACAAATTGTACTGCAGGGAATATCCAAAAAGGAAAGGCAGTAGTTTCAATAATCAGTTGTACCAAACTAATACTCAAGCTAGCTTTTTCATCTGTAGAATTTCCTCTCTCTGCTGGTATTGTCTTCATGTTACTTAGCCTGAGACAACATGGGCCCCTTAAGGGTCTGGGCTGAGTATCTTCATTTCCTAAATAACACTATTATGCCAATATTTGGATTCAGGCATTGTAGGGAAAATGACCCTAAATGGAAACAGAGGAACACAAACAGGGAAGGGTCTGGGGGAGACAATAAATCATAGTCAGGATTTTGGGGTCCTCCGTGCTTCATAACTCATGAGTGAGGAGTCTGCCTTTGACAGAGCGTCGTACACAACCAAAGGCTGTGAACGGCAGGCACACCAGCCTCTTCCCTCATGAGTACACTGTTGGCAGAAGACTTTCTGGGAAGATGGAAGTCATGAGCCAGTTTTTCTCTTTGGGAAGAAGAGGCAACAAGCACTTCCTATGGGCATTCTATATGTGAGACTGGTGATGACACACTTCAACATGATATCCCGGCCAGAGAGCCCCATGCAACCCTGCCAGAGAGGTATTATTAATCCTACTATTAATAATTAATTAACAATTAATAATTAATCCTACTATTAATCCTACTTCATCCTATAGATGAAGAAACTAGAGGCTCAGGCCGGGCGTGGTGGCTCACGACTATAATCCCAGCACTTTGGGGGGCCAAGGCAGGTGGATCACCTAGATCAGGAATTCAAGACCAGCCTCGCCAATATGGTGAAACCCCATCTCTACTAAAAATACAAAATTTAGCTAGGTGTGGTGGCAGGCACCTGTAATCCCAGCTATTCGGGAGGCTGAGGCAGGAGAATCACTTGAACCCAGGAGGCGGAGGGTGCAGTGAGCTGAGATCATGCAATTGCACTCCAGGCTGGGTGACAAAAGCAAGACTATCTCAAAAAATAGAAAAAAAAAAAAAAGAAGAAGAAGAAAATAAATGAAACTAGAGGCTCAGAGAGGTTAGGAAAGTTGTCTAAAGATTGAGAATGAACCCTAAGACTGACTCTAATACAAGCAAGAGAGAACCAGAGAAAGCAGTCACCAAAGCATTTGATCACCATACTTTTTTCTTTTCCTTTTTTTTTTAATTATTATACTTTAAGTTCTAGGGTACATGTGCACAACATGCAGGTTTGTTACATATGTATACATGTGCCATGTTGATGTGCTGCACCCATTAACTCATCATTTACTTTAGGTATATCTCCTAATGCTATCCCTCCCCACTCCCCCCACTCCACTACAGGCCCCGGTGTATGATGTTCCCCTTCCTGTGTCCAAGTGTTCTCATTGTTCAGTTCCCACCTATGAGTGAGAACATGCTGATCACCATACTTTTCTAGATCATGGCTCCTATCTGATTTCCTACACAAGTATTTTCTTTTAGAGGTCTTTGGGGGCCAAAACTTATTCATATTTATAAACCCTAAGTTATCTTCTTACATTGCTTGGTCTGATAATATGCTAGGAGCTATGGATCAACCAAGACACAGAGCTAGGCTGGGCATGATGACTCACACCTGTAATCTCAGCACTTTGGAAGGCTGAGGCAAGAGGATGGCTTGAGCTCAGGAGTTCAAGACCAGCCTAGGGAACATCATGAGACACTGTTTCTATTAAAAAAAAAAAAAAAAAAAAAAAGAGCTAGGCTATTTTCTCTTCTCACAGTCAAAGACAACATAAGTTGTTGCCACCAGATATGTGAACAGCTAAGACATAAACTTAAAGGACAGAGAGCTGGTGTCCTTCTCCCATTGAATAAATACTCTTCAACCTTTTCCCAAAGAGCAGAGAGTCCAGCAAGAATTGTTAAAGGATGTCTGGTCAATCCTTCCTATGATTAATTAGGGGTACACACCAGTTACTATGGCATTCTCCTAAAGATAAATTACAAACAGTCATCATGTCTTGAAGGTAATCCCAGTGGAGATGTGGTAACGAGGGCACCCGGTAGCCTCTCTTCTACCCTAAACAGCACCAGAGGTCTTGAGGAAGGCCCAGGTTTCTCTTCTGGAAGGTCATAGACAGTAGACAGTTCTACTGGCATGTGCCTATTTGTTTCCTTCCACTGAATAAAATTAAACAGCCTGGATATTTAGACAATGAGACCAGAGTACATTCTCCTTAAGTCCAGGATGGGACTGCTCTTGTCATTGACTGGGGTTTCTAAGTAAAAATACGGGTCACTTGTTTTCCTTCTATTCTCTCCCCAGAGTAAACATGATAATGTTGACTCTGCTTCTCACAGCCGTGGTGAGTCACCCTGAGTGAATTACTTTAGTTCCCTAGACCTTAGCTTCTGCAAATATGACAATAATAAAATAACACACCGGGGTTGTTATGAAGATTAAATGAGATAACAAATGTAAAGTCCCCAGTACTGTGCCTAACACATAGGAGGTGCTCAATGGTAGCCGCTGTCATTACCATCATTGTCATCATCGGGGCACAGTTCCTGTGCCTCATTCACCACCACTTTCACTGTCTCACAAACGAAAATACACAGTCAAGGAGGCAGTCTGTGGCTGGGTGTGGTGGCTCATACCTGTAATCCCAGCACTTTGGGAGGCTGAGGTGGGAGAATCGCTTGAGCTCAGGAGTTCAAGACCAACCAGGGCAACATAGGGAGACCCTGTCTGTACTAAAAATTTAGAAAATTAGCTGGGCATGGTGGTGTGCACCTGTAGTACCAGGTACTCGGGAAACAGGTGGGAGGATCACTTGAGCCCGGGAGTTTTGGGCTGCAGTGAGCCACGATTCTATCACTGCACTCTAGCCCAGGTGACAGAGCAAGACCCTGTCTCAAAAAAAAAAAAAAAAAAAAGGAGCAGTCTATGATGTGGAAAGGAGGTGCTATGAAAGTATGCAAGGTGCCACCTTTCCAACAAGGGCACCAATTTAAATCTCTGTAAGTACCCGGAAATCTCCCAACCATTAATATAAAATTTACAAGGTAGATAATCACAACAAAACCCATAAACCTAAGTATAGGCAGATAGTGACTGAGAACTACAACAAAGCCAAAGTCACACAGTGAACCAAACAAGCAGGCACATGACTGGAGACCAAGAGTGGGGAGGGTCTGGGGGACATCTGCAGCCTTGAAAGAAGGTCTGCTTCAGCATCTACTTCTAACACACCACAACTGCTCCTCTGCAAGTGCTCCAAGTTCTATACTTAGGGGCAAAGAGATCTTACAAGAGGACTATTTCTGTGCCAGCTATTTTCTAGTATAGTAGTAAAAGGTGTATTCCCTTCCTGACAACCACTTAGCAATGGAAGCTCAGTGTCAGAAAGCCCACAGGCACCACTGCTGCACACATGTGAAGTGACACTCTTTCCCACTGAGTGGCTTACTTGTTGCTCTCGCGGTACTCATAGATATGACATCCTTGAGGCAATCCGGTCTCGTGGTCCAGAGTGAAAGCAAGCTTTAGCTGAAGAGAGAGAGAAGAGAAAAAGAAGTTTTAGGCAGCATGCTCTATTCATTCCAATAGCTGAAATGAAAAAAATAAAATCAAACGAAGTCACACTCCCTCAAGTCAATGTGTTGTGGAGAACCTGGGCCTGCCCACTCTGGGAAGAGCCCACACCTTACAAGGACCCCATCATCAATGATGACTGTCAGCAAGACTCTACTTGTTCATTCAGCATGCAACCAATACGTTTATTAAGCACCTATCTTGTGCTAGACATGAGCTAGCTGAGAGGGAAAGAACAGTGACAGCAGACTCTTTTCATGGGTCTTACCGTCTAGCAGAGAAGACTGACAGCAATCAAATGATCACACCAATGAATGTGCATATATGTGTAGAACTTCAAATTAAAATAGGCTCTCTGAAGCAAGAAAAAAATCCCCATGTTTCCATGAAAGTGAAGAGCCTGACCTGGATAGAATGGGTAGAAGGGAAGGCTCCTCTGAATCAGGAGGAGGAGGGATGGGGAGTGGAGAGGGTTCTCCTGAGGAGAGAGCACAGTGAGTGCAGAAGCCCTGGGGCAGGAGCTGCAGGATGGCTGGTGAAGTTGGGCGCTGATAGATCCAGGGACATGGTGGGTGACTCTGGGGAGGACCTTCTTGGCCACACTGGAATTTTTGGCCTTTACCTTAACAGCGAAGAAAAGAAAAAGAAGGAGTAGATGAGGTAATCAGAATTCTATTTTGGCAAGACCCCTCTGGCTACAGTGCAGACTGCAGACCACAGACCACAGAGCAGAAGCAACATCCTGCAGGAGGCAGCCACTACAGTCAGGGGAGCGGCCAGGGGGGCTGGGATAGAGTGAGAGAAATGGACAATTTGAGGTACATTTTAGAAGTCGAATCAACAAGATATGCTGGTGGATTTGATGTTGGCAGTGGTAAGGAAAGAAAGGAAGAACTCAAGGACGGTTCAAGATTTTGAATCTGAATCACCAGTCAGGTGGCTGATCCACTGCTGAGAGAAAGACTGAATTTGGGGACTGATAGGGAGTCAAAGGTTTGACTTTGGACATGTTAACTTTGAGACACTCATTAGCTTTCTTCAGTTATGGAAGATCAGGAACAGGAACTCTGGGAAAGTCTTGGTTTCTTTCTGGATTCCAGAGGGCAGTGCTCAGGTGAGTGCTGAACTTCCAACAGAGCTCAAGGAGGTGCAGCATGCCCTGCTAGAGCCAGTTGGTTATGACAGCTTTAACATTCCAAATGCAAGCCAACTACTATGTTTATAAATTCACTGGGTTTTTAAAGCACTAGGGAGATTTTAACTAAAATTAACTGCACATTAGGAGGATACATTATTATAATTTTTTTTTTAACTACAAGGCTGCGAACACAGCTAATGATCTGCATCATTAGATACTGGACGATTTTTCTCTTCCTTAGTGGGAAAGGAACTCACAGGAATGGTTTGTCCTCTAACTGACCCAGATGAAAACACAAAAGCAGAAACAAGCCCTTCTCGACCATCATGAAGCCAGAACTTCAAGTCAAAGGCATGTTTGCCCTACAGAGCACCACTTGAATCTTCCCAGCCCTCTCCTTTGTGAAGTAAAACATAATTTTAAAAGCATCTATTAGTTACAACCCTTTTCTCTTTACCTCTCTCTTTGCAGCTGAGGTCAGGTCTATATTCATTCTGTCCATTTTGAGTCTGCATTGCTTAGAAATTTTCATATGATTTGACTCAGTGATTTAAGTTATGAATTTATAGCTTAGAAAAATCATCAGAAATGTAGGAAGAAAAGTTTTATTTGCAAAACTGTTCCCCCCAGTGTTATTTATTGGAAAGACTAAAAAGTCCAGCAGTGGCAAAAGGTTAAACAAACTATGCTATAGTCACACATGGAATAGCAGGTAGTTGTTACATGGCTTAGGGAGAATTTTTACTAACCCAGGAAAAATAGGTTGGACAGATGAGATAAAGCAGGATGCACACTTGATTATACAGTGTACCATGAAGACTATGTAAAAAAGGACAAAGACTTCCTAGAAGAAAGACTGAGGCCAGATGTGGTGGCTCATGCCTATAATCCTAGCACTTTGGGAGGCCGAGGCGGGTGGATTGCCTGAGCTCAGGAGACCAGCCTGGGCAACATGGTAAAACCCCATCTCTAGTAAAATACAAAAAATTAGCTGGGTGTGGTGGCACGCACCTGTAGTCCCAGCTACTCAGGAGGCTGAGACACGAGAATCGTTTGAACCTGGCGGGTGGAGGTTGCAGTGAGCCCAGATTTTGCCACTGCATTCCAGCCTGGGCGACATAGCGAGAGTCTGTCTCAAAAAAAAAAAAAAAAAAAGACTTGGAAGGAACATACCTAAACAGCAACAGTGCCTATCACTAGCTGAGAGGTTCCAGGTGATTACTTTCTTTGCATTTTCCAAATTCTTCATAAGCATACACTGCTTTGACAGAAGACTAATAGGTTTTCCTCCTTATTTTATGACTGGTGATTCTTACAGAATTCTAAGCCCTCCTGGGTTTCCTGTGTCTTTTGGTCCCAGTTTTCTGGACAGCTGGTCTTAGCTGAGTGTCTTATGCCTGTCCTACTAGCCACTAGACCCAAGAAGTATAGTATTCAGCTTCTCAATCAGTATCTAAGCATCCTTCTTGCTCCCTTATCATGAAAGGTGTCACTGGGTCAGAGAGGACTTAGCCACTGGGCTGGCACAGGCATGCAAGGGAGATGAGCTGGCAAGGCAGGCTGCACGTAGGAGTGTGTGAACTTCACTTCACCAGAAGAGAGAAGCCATGGCAGGTTTCAGGGCAGAAAGACCAGCTCTGATGGTCAGGTAGAGAAGGGCTGAAGTGAGAGAGGGCATAGAGAAATGCCTTAGAGGGGGCTGCTGCAGTAGCCCAATGAGATGATGAGGATTTGGCTTACGGAGGTGCAGTGGCGTTGGAGACAGCTAAGAGACAAGACTTGGAAGTACATACACATCTAATTATGTGCCAGTAACATCTGGCATCTGCCTCCCAGACCCCACACAATGCTGTGGTGACCAGCACTTAGTCCTTAGTCATGAAGGAACTATGGGAAATCTAATTGCAGGGGGAGTCTCAAAGTCAGGAAACTATGTTCACACCAACTCAACAATAAGGCAAGTCAGCAGAGGTGGTGATAGGGTAGGGGAGAGAGAGGACTGGAACAGAAGAGCAGTCATGTTTACTAAATGGAGGACTCACATTTATTGAATGCCTACTGTATTAGTCTGTTCTCACACTGCTAATAAATACATACCTGAGACTGGGTAATTTATAAAGGAAAGAGGTTTAATGGACTCACAGTTCCACATGGCTGGGGAGGCCTCACAATCATGGTGGAAGGCAAAGGAGAAGCAAAGGCAAGTCTTACGTGGCGAGAGGCAAGAGGGCTTGTGCAGGGAAACTCCCATTTACAAAACCATCAGATCCTGTGAGGCTTATTCACTACCACGAGAACAGCACAGGGAAAGCCCACCCCCATAATTCAATTACTTCCCACTGGGTCCCTCCCACAACATGAGGGATTACTAAAATTCAAGGTGAGATTTGAGTGGGGACACAGAGCCAAACCATATCACCTACCAAGTAAAGGCTTTCCTTTATCCTGACAAAAACCACTTAAATTAGGTATTGCTATTTCCTTTAAACAGATGAGGAACTTGAGGCTGAGAAAGATTAAGTAGTTTGAGCAAACCACAATTAGAACTGGAATTTTAACCAAAATCCATGCTCCTTTCACCTCACCAGCATTACAGGACTTGGTGATGGTCTGGAGATAAAGTCAGTGAGAGAGGGAAGAGTCAACAAGTGTTCAGGATTCTCTGGCTCAGGCTGCAGGGCAGATGCTATTGCTACTCACCCTGACAAGGAAGAAAAACAGGTTTGGGAGAAGAGTTTGAGTTCAATCTGAGATTGCGGATTCTAACATACCTGGGAGGCATCTAGTGGAGATGGCCAGTAGGCTGCTGAACATACAGTTCTGAAGTTTATAAGCAAGATTGTAACCTGAAGGGATAAGAGAGCCCTGGATAGAATCCTGAGAAACACCTGTATTTAAGAGCTGGACAACAGAAACTGGGGAGTGGCTATGGAGTTCTGAGTTCTGACATTATAGAAGCCAAAGAGAGAACATGCCTCAAGGAGGGCATAGTCAGCAGCGTTAAATCCTTCTAAGAGGTCAAGTAACAGAGAACATTCCCAAACAAGGAATCCTTTGGATCTATCAGAAAAGACTCTTGCAGGGAGTGCTGGGGGCAGAGATCGGGGTGACAGGTTGAAAAACGAATAGAAAGCCAGGAAATGGCAATCATGAGTGAATACAACTCTTTTAGCAAATTAGACAGTGCTAGGGAAGAGGCAAGATTCATGAAATGGAATGGGAAAGGATGAGAGGATGTGAGAGTGTACTGAAGGTGTTTGAAGGGAGTATATTTAAAGATGACAGAGACTTGTTTCAATGCTGACAGGAAGAAGGCACTATGGATGGTGGAGTAGAAGACATTAAGAGAGACAGAGAGAACTGCAGATTCAAGGTCTCTGAGATGACAAGGGATTGGATCCAACACAAAAGTGGAACCCCTTTCTTGGCTGCAAGAGGAAGGAAGATGGGCAGCGATAACAGTAAGATCTGTGGATTGGGCAGGGGGGATTTAGAATGTCCTAGTATGATTTTTTAGGTTCTTTCCTGAAAATTAGGACACAAATTATCTGCAAAGAATGGGGAGTGTGATGGGGGAAGGAGTTTGAGGAAAGTGATGAAGGTTTGAAATTGCTCCTTTGGAGAATAGGAAAAACAGTTGACCTGGGCAGAGCATAAGGATTGCCAGGGAGTATTGCCAGGGAGTATTCGGAGGCCACAGGATCTGAAGTTACTGTAGCAAGCATCTGTCCCACTGTTAATTTTTTTCTAGCAACTTAGACATTAGTGTGAAGAAAGTTAGGTTGGTCCAAGCTGAATATCTGCCAGGAAGGTATGAGGGAAGAATAAGGGGGTAAGGGAGTGGAGATACAATACGGCAGCATATGGACCAGGAGACCTACGGGGGAACAGGAAGGAAATAAATGGGAAAGAGGCTGATGGGAAGAAAACAGAAGGAAGCGGCTGGGTGACAGATGTCTGGAATGGAGCTAATATTTATTAAGCACGTCCTCTGTCCTAAGCATCTCTCACGCTGATCTTATTTAATCCTCGCAAGAGCCCTGCAAAGCCGGTTCCTACCTCTATGTTACAGGAGAGTTTATTAAGTATTTGGCCCAAATTACCAAGTAAGTGGCACAGCTGAAGTATGGTCCATGTTGCTAATCACTGGGTGTAGTGTCTGAGAGGTCAAGGAGAGGAGTGTGGGAGTCACTGGATAAGGGAGTTGAAGGGGCTGAGGCCATGGTCAGAGAGCAGGCTGTGTGTCTGACCTTGGAGATGGCTGGTCAAAAACAAGATCCAAAAAGAAGTCAAGGAATGGAGAGCCAAGGGTCTGGGTAGGGATAAGGGTAGGGGATCCTTCATGAGGACTGAAATTCACCCAGGATGATGGTATGCTGTTTCCACAAAGTATGTCCCTACTGGTGTGTAGGTGCTTACCATGTACAAGGTTCAAAAGATGAATGAATGGGTCCATCTGGTTCCTGTAGCAAACACGGATGCATAGCTAGCAGGCATTTCCTCCTTGCTAAGGATGGCCTACTTTCACTCAGCTATTCATTCCCCTGTCCTGCTCCCCATTCTAGGGGGTCCGGGGGGAAGCAGACCCAACCTCTAGCTCCAGGGCTGGACGTGACAGCTCTGAGGTAAGAAACCTAAGCCAATCAGGGCATGGCATTTCCTGGCCCTAGAAACTGGTTCAGGAATGGATGTGTGACCCAACCGAGGCCAATGAGGTACGAGGGGATGCTTGTTGAGTGCTTCTGGTCATGCGGGCCAGAACTGCTGCAACCAGCTTGCCACCAGCCTGAGAAGGGAGCCAAATCATGGAGGACACAGACTCCAAAGACTGACAAAGTGGGCAGCCAGTGCCTTGGTGGAGGCAGGCCTGGTCCCTGCCACCTCCGGGCCCTCTACTGCCCTTGTGTAATTTGTGCTCATGCTTCTCCTAAGGACACTGACACACAATGTATCTTCCTACTCCCTTGGCTATGTTCTCCTAATCCGCTCTCTAGAACATAGCTGTTATTTTCCTGAAGCATAAACCTGGTAACACTTCCCTCTTTAGTACCTTTGACGGCTTCCTGCTTTTGGAGATATGAAAGTGAATTCAACACAGCCCAGGCTCGCTGAAGGTTGGTTGTTCACATGAACAAATATGGACAGTAACAGAGCAATGGAAAGAGGTGGGCCTGTGCTCGGGAGGGTGTGCCAGCCAGGGAGGCCCTCAGGACAGACAGAAGGAGTCTTACAGGACAGGGAAGGGTCACTCTCCAGCTCCTGCAGAGCTCCATGCACTCCCCGACGCGGTCCACTTCCCTGAGGGGTTCAGAGCAGACCAGGCTCTCTTAGGCCTCTGTGCCCTTCCTCATGCTCCACCTGCTTCCAGGGGAGCCCTTCCTGCCTGTCCCTCCTCTGTCAAAGTGGCCCTGATCTTTTGTTTTCCCCTTCGCTGGAATGCCAGAGGTATTTCCCCCAGAGAATCCAAGGGTGGCTTCACCAGGTCTCCTGGGCAATCGGTGTCCTTATCACTGTCACAGCAGGTGTCCAATGTCATTCCTTCAAAATAATTTCTTTTTCTTCAGTAAATAAATTCTGCCTCACGTCTGCCTCCTGCTCAGTAATTGCCACCAGATGACCAGCTGTGGCTCAGACACTCTCAGTGTTCAGGTGTTGCCATCTTGTCAGCACCCTCAAGAGGCACAAGCTCCTTCCCTCAACAATGCTCACTAGATACTTCCTAGCTATCAGGCACGGCAAGGAACCAGGCAGCAGCAGCGCTCTGGCCCTAATCACCACCTGCAGGGACCACCCACAGAGCAGCTCAGCTTGGGAAGTCAGCCTGCAAGAATGGCAGCCACTCAGACTTCACAAGGTCTTTCTCTCTCCAGAGGCAGCTGCCATGTCAAGCAGGAGAGCTCACCACTACCCAATCCTTTCCCCAGGAACAGGCTTCCCTGGGTGGACAGTTTCCAACTGCACAACGGTCCTGGTATTGAGTGAAGAGGGAAGGAAGTGAAGGACCCAAGAGGCAACAACAAGGTTGCTCTGTCAGCTTCCACCAGCAGAGGGCGGAAGCCTTCAAAAGGGTTCAGTTAGAGGCAAGGCTTTCATCCCAACAAGGAAAGGGCAGTCTCCCCAGGGCAGAAAATGGGAGAGCCTTCTCCTTTCAGGGGCTCAGGCTGAGGTCACACAGGAGGGCAGGCTCCAGGCGGCCAGAGCATGAGACTACCACTGGGTCCCCTTTGGACCTAGGCCTCCTGCTCTAGGGTGGGGCCCCCAGGAAACTGGCCTTAAGAGAATCGCGTGGGTGAGCTCTAGGAGCCTGGATGAGTTGAAGGGACTAGGACCCTTGGGAGAGGAGAATCTTCCCCAGACTCTGTGGGAACATGGGATGCAGGCCCTGTTGGGGTTGTTGGGCCTTTGAGAGGCCCTCCTTCCGCCCGTCTGAGCTTTCTGGGTAGGATGACAATGGAGACAGCAAGGCGACCCTCCCAGCAGATGGCAACAGGTGGGTAACAAGAATGAGTGACTGAGGACTATGTACAGCTTCCTCAGGCTGCTCAGATTATTGCTGCTTGGGGATGGCACTTTAGGGAGAACTTAGGGGCAGAAACAATGTCCTAGGTAAGCAGAAGGAGGGGTGTCCACTGAGTCTTTTAATGTAACTATTAAAAGATATGTGACCTTATTTTGGATCCCAGCCTGGTGAAGACAGTGGGCCAGGCTACATTCATAAGAATAACCAGAAGCGTGACGAGACAAGACAGGAAAGTGTGGCTAGGCAAGCATGCCAGGGGTCCCTCTGGGCTACTGAACAGGTAGATCTTTGGCTGGCCCAGGCACACAGGCAGCTTTGTCAAACAGCCATACTTGGAGAACGTCATGCAAGGGCCACTAGGCACTAAACTCCATCAGTTAGGGAAGACGCCACATCAGAGGTTTCGAGGCTTTGGAAAAGTCCTGGCCTGACCTTGGAAGGGCAAAAAAATGAGTTTAAAAGTTTAGGAATTCCCTGTTTTGTTCGCAATACCTCCAAGATGACCTCTCATGGACAACCAAGTCTCTCTCTGCCCGTCTCCTGGAAGGTACTTACAGCCCCAGCAGGACAGAGCCATTCAGCTTTCTCTGCAGACTACTCCATGAATGAGCAGGGGAACCTAGGATGCTAGCTCAGAGCTCCCCTCACAGGGGTGTAATGAGGGAGGTCACTGGTAAGAGCACAGTGTGAGTTATTTGGCCAGGATTGCTCCAGTTCAAACCAACATGGGTTCTCCAGGAGGCCTGTGAATTTGCTTCAATCTGCTAGTTATTAGGACCAAGGTTCAAACACAGGTCAAGGCCGGCCTGGGAAGCCTCCAGCCTCTCCACGGTTGACTCTTCCCCTCATAGTCCACTGGGTCTTACAGGGTGTCCAACTCTTCCTTAAGCTGAAAGTGGTAAATCCTAGCACAGTTCAAACATTTCAGCTATGCCATTTATGGCAGAATTTAAAAGATCAGAAAAGTTACTTCTACCTGCAGCCTTGGTTTTTAATAGAAAAATCTGATTAGAAGAAAATCACATTTTCAGAGATGATCTTGAGTTTTTCTTCTTTAGTGTTCACTGTTTGGTTTGGATTTCCTAAGTATAATTTCTTTTTTTCCATCTCCTTTTTGCTTTCTTTTATAAGACAAAGATGCTGTGGACTTTGCTTTAACTTGGTTAATGACGATTCTATGGCAATGTATTAAATTTCTTTCTCCTAAGTCCACTGAAGTCTTTTTGGACTTGGAGAGAGCTTTTTAAGAAAGAACTTGCTCATTCAGCAGGATTTTCCTCCCCACCCCAAGCTCTGGTTCTGACCTGGAAAAAATAAGAGTGAGAAAGAGCAAGAGAATCCTGCAGTCCTGACGCTCAACTTCACAAACCACAAAAAAGAACCTTTCTCCAGTAACGTAATCATGGAGATTTCTGGCACCTTGGTCTTTCAAGAAAAATACATCCTTCTGCTGGCACAGGGACCCATCAAACTAAACCCTATTCAGCATGGAGTTCCCGATTCATTAGTGTTGGAAAGTCTATAGCGAGGCTGGCCGCTCCCATTGGATGATGCCTCCCTGCAGCGCCGTCTGTAAACCCCACAGCTGTGTTTTCACTTAAAGCCACTTCTCCTGACTGCGCTGCACCTTGTTCCAGAGGCTTGCTCTGTTCTCATTAAGGTTAAAAATGACAGGACAAGGATTCTTCAATGCTGAGGTTTTACTTTCTGAGAAGAAAAAACGTCTGTCTTTGGAGCTATGGTCAACCCACAGGGAGGGTTGCTCTGTAGGAAGGAGCCAGTCCCAGGAGAAAAGGGCCTGGTGGTAGCATTCATGCCCCCAGGTCAAGCCGCCTCCTCTTCTGAAGGTGACTCCATTGCTCACCAGCACGTCTATGGCAGGAGAGTTCGGCTCACCACTGTCCCACACGACCTGTATTACTGGGTGAGCCCAGCAAGGAAGAGCTCGTCCCTGATCCCAGGGTCTCCTTTAGCAGAACAGGAGCACCTTTACCTCAGCAGCTTCCCGATCAGGACCTGCCCAGTTAGTGGGCCATGTTCTTGCCTCTCACGTGCCTGAGCAATATGCAACAGTGAATACAAAGCATGATGAGCAAGTCTGCGTGTGTCACATGCAGCCAGCTGGAGAGAGAGTGCAGCCAATCTGCTCATCCTAATCAAAGCTGGAGAATTTTTGAGGATTTTCATGGCCAAAGAGGATGACTGCGTTAGAACATCACCTTATCAAACCATTTGTGCTCAGAGCTCAGGGGCCTCAGGCCAACTACTGTCGAAGGAATGCAGTTACCCAAAGCTGCTTCCACAGGAAAGTGCCAGTGCTGACTGCAGGAACTGCATATCACCCCTTCCAATGCACAGAGATGGTTGTGCACCTGGGAAAGATGCTATCTAGATTTCCTTGCATATAGAATATACTAATTCTGTTACCTATCTATCTGCTTTCTAAATAAAGCTTGTGGTCCTGCCCTCAGCAGTGGTCCTACCCAAGCTGCAGACCTTGTGGAAGCCTCCCACAGCTACACAGCCCTGGTCAAACACTCAGCAAAGGGAAGGGAAACAGAAGTAGCCCAAGCGACAGGCTCTCCACCCACTCAGAGATGGTCTACACTTTATCCTGGAATCAGATTAGGATAGAGGATAGTTATGTGTGTAGATCATATGAGCTTGGCTCTCTAGCACCTGCCTTCCTCAAGGGTGGGTTAGTATGTTCCTCTATTTTCACCAGATTTTGTCTTAAGAAATAGCCTTATAAAATCTCTTTCCTGGCTGGGCGCGGTGGCTCATGCCTATAATCCCATCACTTTGGGAGGCCAAGGCAGGTGGATCACCTGAAGTCAGGAGTTCAAGATCAGCCTGGCCAACATGGTGAAACCCCATCTCTACTAAAAATACAAAAATTAGCTGGGCGTGGTGGCGGGCACTTGTAATCCCAGCTACTCGGGAGGCTGAGGCAGGAGAATCGCTTGAACCCAGGAGGCGGAGGTTGCAGTGAGCCAAGATGGTGCCACTGCGATCTCAGACATGAGAGAGGCAAGAACACGGGCCAGTAACTGGGCAAGGCCTGGACAAGTCTCCAAAAAAAAAAAACAAAAAACAAAAAACTCTTTCCTCATTTGCCCAAAATGCAAACGCTGTCCACTGTTGTAACACTGAATATTTCCAATATCAAGCCTTAAGTGAGAAGCTGCTTTTAGGTGCTAAGAAAAATAATTCTCAATGTTCGATGGGGTTTGTTGTAAGAGATAACCTTGTAAACTCTCCCTCCCCCACGCCACCAAGCAGGACGACTGCATCTGTGATATTGAAATCAGAAAACATGAAGCCCAGTCACAGGAGCTGTGCCCACCCTTACAGATGTCAAATTCTTTCTGACACTCCTCTCCTTCATTCTGATTTTCTGTCTTTCTATTATTTAAATGCAGCTCACTGTTCATTTCCTTTGTTGTAAGTCCTCTCAAAATCTTTTTGGAAACAGATGAGGGTATATATAAACAAAGCAAAGTTCTTCAAAATATAAGCCAAACATACATAAAAATATGAGATCCAGGCAAGTTTAAACACAGACTGATGAAACAATGACCATAATGGTAGGCATTCAGTTCATGGAAAAAAAAGAAAACGGGACATTCCCATACAATACTCAGAGCCAGTGATCAAGCTGGCTGTATTCTTGAAAAAACAGCAGAGAACAGAATGATCTTCCAGGGAATTGGCCTCAGTTTCCAGGGACTTGAGGAGTCGGGGAGTTATATAACCCCAAGCGGGGAGCCAGCAGCTCTGACCTTGTCTCTGTTCTCTCCCAGATTCTGGGGTTGGTGGTGGGGTTCCGATGGTCCTAGACTTTCTACCTGTTAAACAGAGCTGAGTTCCTCTATGGTTGTCCTCATGGTTTGTTTTACGGGTGAATGTGAGACACTTTCTAGGTTTGCTGGAAGAAAGCACTCATAATAAGCCCCTGCTATATCAGTTAGAAGAGACGCTCTACGATTTCAGAAGAGCCAGTGCTCACATCTTCAGATGTTTTAATGAGAACCAAGTGGCAGTGAAGAGTTCTCCTGCATAAGGCTGTCTTACGCAGCTAAGAGCTCCCATCAAAGTTCAGGACTTGATTCCGTGCTAATTCTGCTTCCTTCCTCCCAGACAAGGCCAAATATCTGGATAACATATTCCAGAACTACACTGCCATCTCAGGTCCCTTCTGGACCTGGGGCAGCCAATCTACCTCCTTCCCCAGCTGCCTGCTCCCCTGCTCCTACACCCTGGCTTCAACCTGCAACAATGGGGTTAGCAGCACCTCCTGGTAGAAGAATCACTTTCCACTACCATCCAGCCACAAAATGCCCATTGATCTGACATCTCTTAATTGGTCGCTCAGAACAGTCTGGAAGGGACACCTATGGGGCCCATACCTGGGGTTACCTGAAGTTCCTATTCCAAGATAATTAGTTGTGTCTTAGATAGTCTATTTCTTTACAGAATGACATATCAGTCTAAGAGATGCTGTTTTAACTGTGGTAAAAACTAAAGAACCCACGCGTATTGTGAAGTTTAAAACAGTACAGACAAAAGTTTACTGTTAATATGAAATACAAAGACCAAATGGAGGGTATTTGGAAGGGCCAGGATCCATTAAGAAGGAAAATGGGGCTGGGTGAGGTGGCTCACGTCTGTAATCACAGCACTTTGGGAGCTGAGATGGAAGGACTGCTGGAGGCTATGAGTTTGAGAGCAGCCTGGGCAACAGAGCGAGACCTCCGTCTCTACAAAACATTTAAAAATCAGCACAGGCATGCACCTGTGGTCCCAGCTACTCAGGAGGCTGAAGTGGGAGGGTCATTTAAGCCCAGAAATTTGAGGCGGCACTGAGCTATGATCACGCCATTGCACTCTAGCCTGGCAACAGAGTGAGGCCCTGTCTCTATGTAATAAAAGCGGGGGGGGGGGGGGGCGCGGGGGGAAGGAAAGGATAAAAAGAAGGAAAATGAACAAACTTTCTATTTGTAATGCTAACTATGAAAAATTAGCTTTGGTAATAAAAAACTCCTTGGATAATCTCACAGTTGAAAATCATTTAAGAAACTAGACACAATGTTAAATGTTAAAAAAATAAGTTTCACAATAATCTTAGGGGAATGTTTTCATTAAGCAGAAACTTGTTTTCCCTCTAGCTGCCATGTAATCTCTCTAGAGGCTGTAGGGCTAGAACTCAGGGGACAGACAGAGGATCTCAAAGTCTAACTTTTTAGTCTAGTCTAGATCTTCTAGTCTACCTTTCTGCCTGTCAGACAGAGTTTATGCTCTTGCTTCCACCTTTCTGCCAGGGAAACACCTTTGACAAAAGGAAGGAACTTCTGCTTGTGAACACTTCTACCTATGAAAACAACCAATGACAGGCCAGGCGCGGTGGCTCACGCCTGTAATCCCAGCTACTCAGGAGGCTGAGGCAGGAAATCTCTTGAACCTGGAAGGCAGAGGTTACAGTGAGCCAAGATTGTGCCACTGCACTCCAGCCTGGGCAAGAGTGACACTCTATCTCAAAAATAAAACCCCAATAACAGGGGGCTGCTTAGTAGAGAAGTAAAGGGTACAGCCTCTTTAGGCTGCTGGGTTTTGAATCCCAGCTTTACTTCCTGTTAGTATGTAATCTCTTTTACCTTAGGTGCCTCCTATGTAAAAAAGAGATAATAACAGTGCCTAGCTATAGCGGAAACTCAATGATGTTCTTGATGTATTATACAGTAAGGCCAGAGGTTATTCCTGATAATGAGTTGAGATCAGAATTCAAAACATGACATGCTGGAACAAGCTGATTGGGACTCAATATTTCCAAATGTGATCACTCTAAAACCTGAGTAATTTCTACAACAATAAGGTCCAATTTCTTTACCTGAGCAGTATCTGGGAAACACTCTCTCTGTGGCTTGCTTTCTGTAGGACTCCTTGGGCCGCAGCAGGAAGATACAATGCTTCAAAGCCTTGCTGTCTGCCTCAGCAGCCCCACTACCACTACACTGCTCTCCTGTGGCTGTGCTGACACGGGGTCAGCCCTTGATAAAATCAAGGCAGCCCTGATTTTATGACCCAGTGACGCTAGCTCCAGAGCACCAGCATCAGGGAGGCCCTATGCCACTAGATGAAGCTCACGACTGAAAAAAAGCTTCCAAGGCCCTGCTGGGTCAACAGATGTGCCTCCACAAGGAAGCTGCCCAGAACCTCAGCACTAGTAACAACTTGTCCATTAATCTCTGCCTGGGGAAGGAAGAGGCCACCCCAGCCTGTTGGAGCATGGCAGAGGGCTGGCTTCTGACAGTCTGGATACATGAAAATTGCTTCTATCATGGCCTGATTCTTCTCAGTTATTCTCAAGTTGAAACATGTCTCTAGCTGTGTACTTGTTTAACAATCATATTGTCCCAACTAGATTTTAAGTCCCTGTAGAGAAACCCCAGTGTAAGTTTACTCTTTGTGATCCCCACAAAGGCTTTAAGTTAAGGCAATGCAGGGCCCCGTGATAAGCAGTAGGAATCACAGGTTCCACATGCAACCAGAGACTGTGCCAGGAACAAGTGTCCAGGTATCACTGCTCCTATCTTAAAGGTGAGGGAACTGAGGCTCAGGGAGGTTAAGTAACTGACCTGCCCAAGGTCTGGCAATACATAAATCAACCCCGGCCAACCTGGAAATGGAACTCAAACCCATACGGCTCTAAAGTCTTGGCATTTCCTACTGGGCCACACTTCCTGTTTCTTCTCCCACAAACAGGGACACTGTGTTGGAGGCTGCAAGTTGCAACAATTTACCTTTCCCCTTCTCTAGATTCTAACAGAGAACTGCAAATGGCATTAAGAATGTCAGCCTCCTCAAGGCTCACTGTCAATTAAGGTGGGCGCTGAAGAATCAGGTGAGAGCTCAGTAGACTGACCCACCCAGTTGCAGGTGGAGAGGCTGGACTGGAGGAAGGGGATGCCTGGGTGGGCTCCCTCCAGGCAATGTCAAGCTTGGAGCCTGCAGGTGCTAGGTGAGTCCACTCAGGGAGAGCAGGTGAGAGATAGGTTGGCTTCACCTTTTCAATTCAATGAACCTGCCCCCAGTTGTGGCCCAGTCACACAGCTAAGTAGTAATAAGACCTGAACTAGAGCTTCTTTCAGGGTCTGTAAAAGGTTAAAAGAGGAAATGTCAGTCAGCTAGTCCAAAAACTGCAGAACAGAAATAAAGAAAAAAAACCCAAAACAACAACAAAAATTAAGATCAATATAAGAACTAGCATTATCCTATTAAAAATGGGTTGGGGACCCTTATAGCCACTTCCTATTATTTAGTCCAGGGCCCCTATTCAGGACTTCATCTGTAAAATGAAAGCCTCAAAAGGCTCCTGTCTAAGTCTCCTTCGGGCTCTCCTTTCACAGTTCTGTGGGCAAGCACCTGCTAAGCATTCTCTCTGTGGTGTGCAGCTCCATGCCAGGTCCCATGGGAGGTTCAGGATAAAGGTTGGCAAAGATGACTGAGCTGCACTGCCTCTAATACTGAGGGAGCTTAGAGAATGATCTGGTAGAGGGGCCTGCATGGTGTAGATGAGGCCTCAGGTCTGGCAGGACAGCAAGGATCTGAACGATGGATGCACTCAGGAGAGATTCCAGGTGATGGGGAAAAAAACAGACCTTTAGCTCTCCCGGGGCAAAGACCACATGGGGCATGTCCATCAATGTATCCCTAGTGCCTTCCAGAATTTTCAACAAAACAGGTGCTCAATAATAATTGTTGAAGGAATAAATGATCAAAAGCAGAGAAAATAAGAATGAATATTCAATGTTCCATGAATACACAAGAGATTGGTCTGACTGCAAAGTTGGGAGTAAAATTGGGAAAAGATAAAATAATAACATTGATCGTGGTATCGAAGATGATACTAAGCACATCAACACATTCTGCCAGACTCACAGGGTGGGTGCAGTTACCATGCCTACTTTACAGCTGGGAAGCTGGAGGCTCACAGAAGTTGAGAAGCTTGCTCTGGGTCACACAACTGCAGCCCTGATACTTGAGCCCGGGGGCCCTGACTCTCAGTTCAGTGCTTTCCCATAAGTCGAGAGAGCCTAAGCTCACATCTGACAGGCGATAAAACCTGGACCCTCTTCTAGTTTGTGCCCCACTTCTAGGCCAACTTTGACTGTGTGATGTGGCTTGCTTTCTGATGGCAAGCAGCCCCTGAACTGAGACCTGGCTATTTCCTGGGGGCAATGCTGGTGTTGCACACAGAGGAATTAAAAAAAAAACAACCCACTTTTTATTCTGAGATAATTATAGCTTCAGGAAATTGCAAAGGTAGTATAGAAAGGTTCCACGTGCCCATCTCCAATTTCCACCCAAGGTTCCATCTTACATAATTATAGCACAATATCAAACGCAGGAAACTGACATTGGCATAATGGGTGTGTCTAGTTTTATGCCATTTTGGTCACACACGTACATTTGTGTAACTGCCATGGCAATCTACATACAGACTGTCCCATCCTTACACAGCTCTCCCTTGGGCCACCCTCTGCTCCCCCCGCCATCCCTAGCTCCTGGCAACTACCTACCTGTTCTCCTTCTCTATAAATCTGTCATTTTGAGGATGTTACCTAAATGGAATCATACAGCATTTTAAATAGCTCTTCAAATAATCCTAAGGTCAGGACTTGATCCATTTTTTAGATTTTTAGAAGAATATAAAACAACATCAACATCTACCGAGAGAAATGAAAAAGTAAGCAGAATAAGAAATAGACTGGGCCTAGTCCTGGCCCAGTCGCTCACAACACCTGTAGTTCCAACACTATGGGGGTGCAGAGGCAGAAGG
This sequence comes from Homo sapiens, assembly GCF_000001405.40. Taxonomy (NCBI): domain Eukaryota; kingdom Metazoa; phylum Chordata; class Mammalia; order Primates; family Hominidae; genus Homo; species Homo sapiens. Next base: position 232,283,497 of record NC_000002.12, on the reverse strand, counting down.
ACTGCCTGAGCCCAGGAGTTGGAGACCAGCCTGGGCAACACGGTAAGACTTTATCTCTACTAAACTCAAAAAAATTAGCTGAGCATGAAGACACGTGCCTATAATCCCAGCTACTCAGGAGGCTGAGGTGGGAGGATCACTCGAGCCTAGGAGGACTGCAGTGAGCCATGTTCATGCCACTGCACTCCAGCCCGGGCAGCAGAGCAAGACCCTGCCTCAAATAAAAAGAGAAATGATTCCATCCTAGTTCTGCCACCTCTAGCTATGTGAGTTTTGACAAGTGTTTAAGCTCAAGTCTCAGTTTCCTCATCTCTAAACAAGGGTAAAAGGCTTGAGGATTAAATGATCGAATGTGTGAAAGCACTTGGCAAACTGCAGGCTCTCAATAAATTCTAGCTGTTTGTTGTTACTAAAGCAAAGCCAAAGAAGCCTCTGTGCTTCTTTATAGAAAATAAGGCTCTCAGTGGTCACAGATGATTAAGGAAATGACCATGCCAGCCCTTAAATGACCCCAGGTTATTCTTCCTCTTTCTTTGCAAGACTCCAGGATGGAAACAACCTGGGGATTCTTAAAAGGCGCTTCCAACAGGCGCCTTCATGTGCGCAGCCTCATGAGAACAGGCAGCCATCCCCACGCCAGATTCACCAGGGGGCCCTGAATTCAGAAAGTGGGGAAAATGGCCAAGTGCTCTCTGCTTAGCACAGGACGCCTCCAGAACAGCCGGGTTTGTGCAGAGGCCCCCAGCAGCACACTGAGCACAGAGAAGGGGCCAGTGCGAAAGAGAGGCAGGGGTCAGATGTGTGATTGAATTAGGTGCTGCATGGATACTCCTGAAAGCGCAGCCTTACTCAAAGGCTGGATGTGAGAAGGGGACAATGGCCTGAACTGCCCACGAGGTCATCTTTACTATGACTAGCTATGGAAATCTGAAAACATCTCCCCCAAAATCACATATGTGAAGACTCCATTATATAGTGGAAAGAGCACTCGACTTTGAGCCTTTGAGTAGCTGGGAACCTTGCACAAATGGCTGGCTATATCTGAGCAATATGCCCAAGGCCCATTGAAAATGGGACAAAACCAGGCATTCAGAATCCTTCATGATTTATTGAAAGTGGCATTGTCTGTGCCTCTGCATGGCACCAGCAGGGGTGGGATGGGGGGCACTCCTCCTGATGGTGGGGTCACCCCATGGGTCTCCTGTTCCCTTGGACTTTTCAACTCCTCTGGCCCACATTCACTCACTCAACTTTTCTCCTTTGAAGTTACAGAATACGCCCTCATCTATCACTGACATGTTGGGTTTCAAAAGGACTGGGAGTGAATTCCCTTTTTTTTTTTTTTTTTTTTTTTTAAATAAACGAGAAGGGCTCAGCTGGAAAGACAGAGAGTAGGAGGTGAGGAGGGAGGGTGCAAGCAAGGAGGAAGGACGGCTGGTTTCCTCCTGCTCCACAGTAGCCTCTGGGCTCACTGTCAGGGGATGGAGGCTTTCATGGGTGCCACGTGCTGCTCCTAAGTGCCTGTGTGCTCACCGTGGTCTTGCCAATTAGATTTCATATTGCTTCTAGTCCTTCCTGCTGTACTTTGGGAGGTATGAGCAATCCCGATGCTTCCCATGTCTCTTTAACTCAGAGGCAGCAGCCTGTGGCAAGGTAGAAGAGGAGCAGCAGACTTCCGGTCCAGCCACCTGGCAAGCGTCTTTAAGTGGGCAGCTCACGCACCTCAAGCCTGGAGGGTCTCCACCCAATGCCTGCTCTTCCTCCCCTGGGTGGTGCCGATGATGCTCCTGGGTGGCACGTCTTCCTGCCTGTCAGAAACCTGGGCATATCCAGGTGTCCCCCCTCCCTTTTGTGGTTCTGATTCCACTTCTCTCATCTGTTCCCTCCTGTCAGCTGTGTGGCCTCACCTGCATACAGCCACAGCCATCTAACTGGCTTCCTTGATGTCTACACCTTGACCCCTTCCAACTCATTCTCTACAGAGCTGCCAAAGAGATCTTTCTAAAAAAGAGGTCCCATCCCACAACTCCTATATGTAAAATGCTTCAACAGCACCAAGTTGAATTCAAGAAAACATTCATATTTCTTTTTTTCTTTTTGAGACAGAGTCTTGCTCTGTCACCCAGGCTGAAGTGCAGTGGCGCCATCTCGGCTCACTGCAAGCTCCGCCTCCCGGGTTCACGCCCTTCTCCTGCCTCAGCCTCCCAAATAGCTGGGACCACAGGCGCCCGCCACCACGCCCGGCTAATTTTTTGTATTTTTAGTAGAGATGGGGTTTCACCATGTTAGCCAGGATGGTCTCGATCTCCTGACCTTGTGATCCACCCGCCTCGGCCTCCCAAAGTGCTGGGTTATAGGTGTGAGCCACCGTGCCCAGCCGAAAACACTCATATTTCAAGGCAGAGCAAACAAGTTCCTCCAGATCAGCCCTGGTTACATCCCCAACATTTCCCACCACCACTGGGAGCCCTTCCTCTGACACAGCCACACCAATGGCCTGTACATTCCAGAACAAACCAACCCACGGCAATGCTCTGCCTGGGACATTCTTGGAGAAGCCATTTCCAGGCTGCTCTCAACTGCCTTGCCTTACTGGAACTGGAATCTTCTGCCAGCTTCTACAACCTAGCATGGATCACAGAGTGGACCATGCATTTCTTGAAGACAGAGCTGTGTTTTATCTCTCTTGCGGTGATACAGTGCCAATTATCATTGTTGTTTTCTGAGCACTTCGGCTGCAGTGTATGGAGGGCCTCTATGTAGCTTGGCTGAGGTTGGTCATCTCACAGATTTCCATCAAACATTAGCTGCACATCCTTCCCAGGCAAGCAATCCTTGGTCTCTCACCCACACCAGGCTTTCTTCCCACCACATTACACTCCAGCTGTTCTGAGGAAAACTCCATTCCAATGGCAGTCATAACTAGCAAGCTGCCTTGTTGACTATAATTTTTTAAAGCCTCTCAGTTATGAGATTAAAGCATGATTGGGTGAGTCACTGACATGGGTGTTCACATGTAATCGGCAAAGTCCTGTGTTTGGCACCATTCTTCATTTCAACTTTGTGCAACAGTTAGAAGGACTTATCTAGAAAGTTTGGAGGTTTTTCTCTAATCATCCCATACCCTCTTTTCAAATGATACAATCTTCAGTTTGATGCCAAATCTTAAGCCAGAGAAGCCTGGTATCTGTTTAAAAGCCACCCCTCGGGCAACTTCTAAGGCACACACCTCCTTTTCAGATGGCTCACAGAGAGCATCATGCCTGGCAAGGCTCCTAGGACCAACTCCATCCCAAATCTTCTCAGGTGCAACTGTTTTCCAAAAGAAACTTCTAGGCCTGGGCAATATGTTTTAAAAAAGGAAGAAACTAAAATGTAAATCCTAAAATTATAAAACCTTCAGAAGAAAACAGATGAAAATCTTTCTGACCTTGGGTTAGTCAAAGGTTTCTTAGATATGACACCAAAAGCACAATCCATAAAATAGATTGATAAATTGGACTTCATAACAATGAAAAATTTCTGCTTTTCAAAAGACAGGAAAAGATAAGCCAGAGAGAATGGAGAGAGAAGAAATGAAATGACAAGCCAAAGACTAGGAGAAAGTATTTGCAAATCACAAACCTGGTAGAGGATTTGTATCTAAAATATTTTTAAAAATCCTTTCCAGGCCAGGCGTGGTAGTTCATGCCTGTAATCCCAGCACTTTGGGAGGCCGAGGTGGACAGATCACGAGGTCAGGAGTTTGAGACAAGCCTGGCCAACATAGTGAAACCTCATCTCTACTAAAAATATAAAATAATTAGCCGGGCGTGGTGGTGGTTGTCTGTAATCCCAGCTACTTGGGAGGCTGAGGCAGGAGAATCACTCGAACCCAGGAGGTAGAGGATGCAGTGAGCTGAGATTGCACCACTGAACTCCAGCCTGGGCGATAGTGCAAGACTATCTCAAAAAACAAACAAACAAACAAACAAACAAACAAACAAACAAACACACACACCAATTCTCCAAACTCAGTAATAAGAAACCAAACAACCCAATTAAAAATGGGCAAAAGATATGAACAGACACTTCACCAAAGAAGATATGCAGACAGCAAGTATACATATGAAAAGATGCTCAACAGAATTTGTCATTAGGGAAATTCAAATTAAAACCACAATGAAATACCACTATGCACCTATCACCACACCTAAAAAACAAAACAAATAAAAAACTGACAATACCAAGTGCTGACAAGCACATAAGAAATAGAATTCTCAGCTGGCCATGGTGGCTCACGCCTGTAATCCCAGCACTTTGAGAGGCCGAGGTGGGTAGATCACCTGAGGTCAGGAGTTTGAGACCAGACTGACCAATATGGTGAAACCCCATCTCTATTAAATACAAAAAATAAGCTGGGCGTGGTGGCACATGCCTATAATCCCAACTACTCAGGAGGCTGAGGCAGGAGAATCACTTGAACCCAGGAGGCGGAGGTTGCAGTGAGCCAAGATTGTACCATTGCACTCCAGCCTGGGCAACAAGAGCGAAACTCCATCTCAAAAACAAAAACAAACAAACAAACAAAAAATTGCTGATGAGAATGCAAAGTGGTATAGTCACTTTGGAAAACTGGAAGTTCTTTATGAAGTTAAATATACACTTAACCATATGACCGAGCAATCTTATTCCAAATATTTACCCAAGTAAAATGGAAAAAATGGTCATACAAAAGCCTGTAGGCAAATACAGCATTATTCATATTGCCAAAAACTGGAAACTAGCCAAATATTCTTCAACTGGTAAGTGGATAAACAAACTGTGGTATATCTATACAACAGAATACTACTCTGCAACAAAAGGGAATGACCACTGATACACACAACAACATGGACGACCCTCAAATGCACTTTCATGCTAAGTGAAACAGGCCAGACTTAAAATGCTACCAACGGAATGATTCCATTTGTGTGACATTCTGGAAAGGCAAAACTATAAAGAGGCAAAACAGGTTAATGGTTGCCAGGGGCTGAGGCTAGGGAAGAGGAACTGACTACAGAGGGGCACGTGGGAATTTTCTGGGGTGATGGAATTGTTCTGTATCTTGATTGTGGTGGCAATTACATGACTATACGTGTAGCTTGCAGAACTGTACACTAAAAAGGGTGGATTTTACTGTATGTAAGTATACCTTAGCAGGGAAAAAAGTGCTTTTAGCTAAATGTGGCTGGTAGGTCTAGTGCTTAAGGTATTATAAGATTCTAGTGATACCATATAAAATGGTAAAATGTGCCCTTTCACAGAAATGGCAAAAAGAGGATTGAAGAGTTGATTGAGCCCACAAGCAGGAAAACAAATGCGAGTCAAAGCAATAATGAAACACAATTTCCAATCTATCGTATTAACAAACTCTCAATTTAGTGAGAAGCAGTAACAATGCACTATTGTTTCCTGCTGAGGAAAACCTAAATTAGTCTAACCTTTCTGGAAAATTCAGTCATGTGCTGCATTAAGAAAGTTTTGGCCAACGATGGGCCCCATATCTGCCAGTGGTCCCATAAGATTAGAATACCATATTTTTATTGTGCTTTTCTACGTTTAAGTGTACAAATACATAGCACTTGTTCCAACTGCCTGGAGTATTCAGCACAGTCACATGCTGTACAGGTCTGTAGACTAGGAGCAGCAACTGTGTAAACCACAAAGCCTAGGTGGGTCGTAGGCTATCCCATCTAGGTTAGTCTAAGTACACCCTATGATGTTGCACACTGACAAAATCACTTAACGACATATTTCTCTGAATGTGTCCCTGTCATTAAGCAATGTGTGACTGTAATCTCAAAGTCAAAAGCTCTAAAAATGTACACGTACACGCCTTAGGATATATAGAAAAATGTTATTACTCAGTGATAGGTGAACAATGGCTGCTTTTGGTCAATTTCTAAATTTTTATAAAATAAATATGTATTACTTTTATAATAAAATAATAAAAGGTAGTAAGAAAGAGAAAAGTAGCACAGAAAAAAAAGTTAATTTCCTTCAATCTAGTAATTTTAAGAATGTACTCCTAAGGAAATAATCCAAAATGATTTTTGAATTTTATGCATAAGAGTATTAATTGCAGTGTTATTTATAACAGCAAAAACTGGAAACATTCCAGCTGCACCAACGTTAGCGGGTGTGATGCACTCTGGCCTAGTTATCAAAACAGGATGAAATACTTTGCAGCTCACATTTGCGTGACTTGGGGCGTGATGTTCAGAGCTGCATCCCTTTGCCTTCCTTGCTCCCAAATCTTACCCCATTAAGGAACTCAGCACCACCATGCCTAGGCTGATCCCTCACCACGGAGCTCCCTTCAGGGACCTAGCCAAACCAGACTGTTCTGCTTCCCTGCAGGGGGCAATGAGGCTCACTCTGCCTTGCATTTACATTTCAAATCCTCCCCCACCTCCCAGATCGACTGGAAGTATCATAAAGGAGGCGATGTCTCCATGCCATGGCTGCTGATGGCCACCATCGTTTACTGTAGTCCTTCCAAGTTCACCTCTGTGTTAAAGTAGCTCTTCTGTGAAGACAGAAGTGGGCCCTTTCTCACCATCTGGCCACACAGCTAATCCCTGCTGGGTGCTTGCTATGTGTCAGGCACTGTTCCAAGTGTTTTACGGGTACATCTCATCTAACCTAATATTCCTATAACGTAGGTACTGTTATGCTCTCCATTTCACTGACAAGGAAACTGAGGCACAGAAGAGTTAGAGTCACACAGCTAAGTGAGGGAGTCGGGATCAGAACCCAGGCAGTCTGACCCAGGGTCCATGCTCTTGATCACTACATTCTCTTGTTGCGCAGGAGATGTTCAAATAAACAGTCATTGACTGGAAGCTGGTAGCAACAGGAGAGCTGAGAGTTGGGGCCTGGGGCAGTCTGGAGTGGAAACATGTACCAAAAAGGAACAAGTCTGAGCGAGGCCTCTGGGCAAACAGGACAGAACTCCACAGGGACCAACAAGGTAGTCTTGGCAACCAGGGGTCAGGAATCCCAGCCAGGAAACTAGGCAGCCAGGAGGGTCCAGGAAAGATAGGAGCTCTGCTCCCCTCGAGGTGAGCTCAGCTGTGCTCTGGCATAGCCACCAGGGAGGTGGGTAAGCCTGAGAGCTTGGCTGGCAGGTGGCAGGCAGGAGAATGAAAGGGGAGAGCGCCCTGTTATTTACGGGTCGAAACTGACAGTAGCAAATCAGTTTCAAACTGCCTAATGGCCAAGCCAGCATTCTCAGAGCTCAGTCACAGCTCTCTGTTCAAATGTGCTTCGAAACCAGTAGACTCTGCTATTCATTAGCACATCTTCTTATTTAGGAGGCTACCAGCCTCATGCTGACAAGCAGATAAGAAACCTGTTGGGATTCCCTCCCTGGGTGTTGCCCTCATCTCCATCTACTCTGGCAGATTTCCTTTACCCCAGGAGGTCACGATTCAAGGAGCAATTAAATAATTTCTAATTTGTTTTTAGCATTTCTAGTATAAGAGCAAGTTGCTAGGAGAAAACTTTTAAACAGTTCCCACATTTCTAACTGACTTTGAAAGTGGCCCCTTCAAACCACAGCTGGTGTTACTGTAGAACACGAAAGCAGCCACGTGCACACCTGCTGTCCAGGCTCTTCCTGTGCACCCCTGTCCCATCTGCCTCTACGTCTTCCAGGAGACAGTAAGCCACTCTGAGTGCTGTGACCATGTTCTAACCTTGTCTTTGTCCCGGACACCTAGCAGATTACCTTGTACCTGGTAGATACTAAAAAAACATGTGGGCAATTAAAAAGGTAAATCAAAAGGAATATTTTAAAGTTATAAAATTAAAATAATTTAAAGCTCTTAAATTGTCTTTAGTCTAAAAATATCTGCCATGTCACTTAACAAGGGAATCAAGAAGTATTATAAAGCAAAACAAACCGTGCTACAATACTATCACTCTTTTAAAAATGTGGGAGTTTCTTGAGGAAGAGCAGTACCACATTTTCACCTTGTAGACAATACAATGGGCACAGTGTCCCTGGGCACCCATGGACCTCAGAGGTGACATCAGATCACTGTGAACAGCTCTGAGCTAGCCGAGTGATGCCCCACTAAAGGACTGCATACCTCTTCTGTGCCCAGCACCATGCTAGATTTACAAATCTGAAGGAAGCAACAGTAAGACATCTGCCTTCTTAACAGTTATAGTCAAGAATGCAGGCAGGGAGGAAAATAAAAAGGAGTAAAGAAAGAAAACCGCAAAACAAAACGAATGAAAGCTGATGGTGTTCCGCACCAGGCACCTAGGGGAGAGATGGGGAATGGGGCCAGAGATATTGGAGGAAGAGGAAGTCTATTTGGAGCAGGCTTCTAGAGGGAGTGAGGTGTGTAGGGTTGCGGGGATCAAATGGAGGCCCAGACTCTACAGAGGCAAGGCAGGAGGGAGGAGGAAGGATAGGGGTTAGTGGGAAGCAGGGAACACCCACACCAGGCTACCTGACAGAGGCCCCCAAAGGCTGGGGCACTTAGATTTGATGTAGAAATCCAGTCGTTCTCACAGGCTGGTTTGAGATCAAACAAAATGAGAAAAAGATAGGACAATTAAATAGGTTTCCACCAAGTTCAACCAAGTCAACGTAAAAGACTGCTCCATATTGTGAAATTATGTCGTCTTTGTTTTCATGCTAAAATGTTTTCATTTATAAAATAATGAAGATAGTAGATGGTAACTGGCTTTTTAAAGAAAATGTCCTTGCTTGGTAAAGTAAAAAGGCAACAATCTTATTATATCTTGTCTTCAAAACAGTTTTGGAAATCTTACTGATCCATGATATTTACTTAATAAGACTGCAGGCTCTTGAGTGGCAAGGGGAAAGCAGCATTTGGGGAAACTCAGTCTGGCAGCAGCCTTTAGGACAGAGAGCAAACAGAACAAAAGGATTCTGGCCTTCGCAGCAGAGCCCCAGCTCACTGAACAATGAAAACCGAAATAAACTGGGCCTGTCCCAAGAAGCAGTCATGGTTTAAATCTAAGGGTCAGCTGCAAGGGTTCCCCTTCCCTAATGCAGGTTTTACTAACGTCAAAGAATTCCACGTCTCTGATGTAGCTGTTTGGCTCACATATGAGTGACGTGGAGTGTGACATGGAGGCAGGGCAAGGACGTGCAGTGTGTCCCGTGAACAGAAAGAGGAGAGTCCAAGTGCTGCCTAATTATGAGTATAATTACCCAAAAGCCAGGGTCCTAGAGGAGCCAAATTCTGTTCCATTTGTCAAGGCCCCTAACTTGAAAGGTTCACATCTCTGAGAGGAACAAGGGGTGCTGGCTGGGGTTCTGCTCACCCCTGGAAGTTCCTATCACCTGGTCAGTGCAGGAACCCTATGTCTCACTTCATGTCCCCTGGAGATGCGAGGCACTTAGGTTTGAGTCATCTGGGCACACTTTCAACTTCAACCGGGATATAAGTTATCTTCCTCTCTTAGACAGTCCAGCAGCAGCTAACACAGAACCTCTGTCTTATGGGAATTATCTCCATTAAAAGCAAAAATAGGTTCTGATCAGAATTTTGCAGAAGGAGCATTAGACTGCACAGCCACCTTGATACACAAATCGCTTTCATCCCCATCATGGGTCTAGGGACTAACAGCTAATGGTAGCTGACCCTAGAGAACCTTCTGAAGTTTGGTGCCTCCCTACCTTTCCATGCCAGCAGGCCAGCATCTCCCTTCCCAGCATGGCACACTGGGGTCTCTTTCCCTTCCCCTGGAGTGCCCCTTCCACCATGCTCCCCTGAAGGGGACACAGTTGGTCTGAGAAGTGAGCACCGAAGTGCTCAGGATGCCTCAGAAGCACTGCCAGGCCCTGGGGGTGCCGAAGTTTCCTGGCTCCTCACACCTGTTCAGGCAACTCCACCTTGAGAAAGTCCTCATTATACCTTGTTCTAAACCCTGGATGCCCCAGCAAATAATCAAACACCCAGCCCTTTCATTCACAAGGAAAGAAAACCGCCCTGGCTCATAATATGTATCTAATCCTCTTATATAAACACGCCTCTCTTCTAGAGCTACAATCCACTCTCCTGAACACAGCTACCATCATCTTTTTTAAAAGATCAATATGTATAGTGATGTTTAAAGACCTTGAAATGCCTGGTTAAAAATGAGCACTGGGCAGGGGCTGGGGATACAAAGGTGGACAAGATGTTGTCTTTACCCTTAAGAAACTCACAATCTTAGAAAAGGAGACAGGGAAGCAAAAGGAAAATGGCAAGACAATGTGACAGTGTGATAAAGACAGGTAACAGGTATAAATAAAGTATCAGGGAAACCCTAGGAAGGAGGGGTGGATGGGCTGGCCCTGCCTAGGAAAAACAAATGTGAACTTCTCTGCAGCAGGATTTGGAGTTTCAATCTTCAGCTTCAAAAGGTGAACCTAGAAGGTCACAGGGTGAAGGTGGAGAAGGTCACAGGGTGAAGGTGGAGGAGTAGGCTGGGGGTAGGACTTTCTTCATCTATAAGAAATGAGCCTGGATATAGGCAAGCAGAAAGAACCAGAAGGCAAGTGAAATGCTTCTAGAAGTGGGGTGGGAGTCAATTTTGCTTTCAGAGTTCTTCTGAGGATCTGCACTGGCTGTTCTGACCAAGAGCAGAAGCATTAGCCACTGGTCCTCACCAGCAGACCCTGCACTGGAAGGGCACCTAGCAGAGAAGGTCGCACAAGGGCCATCCCCAGTTCCAGTCTGATAGAGGACATGGTTCTCTCTGTCTCTGGCTACTTTCTGCTCTCACTAATCACTCCAATCAGTTTCTTTTTACATTAACTACTTCTGGGCTGTTCTGTTAGATTGCCTTCTAACCCAAACGGTATCAGTAATAGATGGAATAATCTCAGTCTGATATGCATGACTATTTCTCAGTGGGTTCAGCACTCAGAGAGAGGAGTGAGGGGATAAATCCCTTACCTCTCACAGCGTGGGTACTCCATACCTTTCAGCTCCTTTTCCCTTTCATCACAGTGTGGCTCACGGCTTCACCCTCCAAACTGGCCTTCTTTCCCTAATCCCATCCCACCAAATAACCATCGGGTTTGCGATTCTGTCAGCCCTGTTTCAAGAGACTGTGCCCTTGCTTTTATCTTATTGGTGTTTTTTAAAGTACATACAGTTCTCAAATTGCTGAAGCAGCTTGAGGGTAGAAAGTTTGTCTTCTGCTGCCTAAGGCTCCTTCACAGAACTGTGAGCAGTATTTGTAACACACAGGAAGCAACCCTCCTGTACTGGTCGGATATCACCTCTGAGTCTGTATTTTTAACAACTTCCAGAATAATGCAACCTGTATTCCTTCTAATTTTTGAAAATGATGAGTAAATGACTAGGTGACTTGCCTACAAGGAGAGTAAGCACATGAAGAGTTCAGGGTTATAATAATGAGCCACTCAACAGAATGAATCTGATGCTTAATGACACATATTAGTTTTTATGCACTCGTGAACAAGCCAGAAATAGTGGCCACCACACATAAGTGGCTGTAATTAGTGTTGCTTATATATAATTAGGTCAAGTTTTCAAGTTTGTCTATTGTTCATGCCTTGGGATGCATAACCATGGATTGCTTTCCTTGATTCCATAAAGTGTACTAACTAAATCAATCTCTGTCTCTTCCTTTTTCTCAAAGGGGAGATTCCAACACCCGCGACGGCTGAAATTCACGCTCCCAGGTTCTCCCCAAAGCTCAGGGATGCAGCTTGTTCCACCCCTCACTGCTTCCTCCTCCCACTCTCTTCCACGGAGGCTGTCCTAGATAGCCTGAGTGCTGAACAGCTAAGAGGGCACACATTCTTGGCTGTGGATTTACTTTATAAATGAGATGAATAAATTTAAATGAAAATTTTGCTAATATTATTATAAAATTGGTAACTGGGAAAATGTAGGAGGCTAATATTCTTCAAGCCTCGCTGACTCTAGAACTATCTCCACGGTTGAAGTAGTAAGTCGTCAATGTTTAAATGGAAGCCTTGAACTTCTAGCAGAAGCCTTCCTGTACTGTTTACTACTACTTTCAAGAGAAGTGTAGCAATTCTTATGGGAGCACAGATTATACAGAGCGATTCTGTTTTCAACTGGATTTCCTTATAATTATTCATGTCAGACCAACTCAAACAATGCCCAAGAGGTAATACACGCAGGAGGTAAGAGAAAAGACTAGTGAAGTTACAAATGTTCTCTGAGGATCTGAGAATGCAACAACAGTTCTCAGCCCCACTTCAAACACAATGGGTTTCTTTAAGGATTCTAATGAGAGGAAAGGACCTTAACTTGGGGCAGGGGTCATTCCCCAGTCTCAGCATTAGCAAGAGTTTAGCAAGATACTGTCAACCACCTCTTTCAGCTGTTTTAAATTTTAGGACCCTTGTAAGTACTTTTTAAAATAAGTAACACAACGAGAAGTGTCTGTGACACATTGAGCTCTTTGTAGAGAGGAGCTCATGAAAATAAAATATGAAAGATGAAGGAATAATCTAAGACCACAACCACTGGGATATTTCAGAGACCTAGACACCTGAGAGAGACAGAGAGAGAGAGAGAGAGACGAGACAGAGAGAGAGAGAGAGAGAGAGAGAGAGAGAGAGAGAGAGAGAGAGAGAGAGAGACGAGAAAAAGAGAGCGCGCGAGTGCGCCAGAGCTCCGTGTAGGCAGAGAACTCCTGACAGATGTTTCCATCTAAGGTACCCTGATTCACATACTACTGAAGGAGTATAAATTGGTACAACCTCTCTGGAAGGGAATGTGGCAATATGTTTCAGTATTAATCTTAAATATATCCATATCCTTGATGCTGTCATCACAGTTCTAAGACTGTCCTAAGAAAATAATCAGAGATCAGGTCAAAGATTTACGAACACAGATGGCCATGGCCATGGTACTATTATTTGTAGTACCAAAAAAATCAGAATCTAATTTAAATATTCAAAATTGGGGAGTGGCTGAATGTTTAAGAGTATATTCATATGACAGAATATTATGTAGGTATTATAATGTTTTAGAAGATTTTTTAATGACATAGGAAAAACTCATTAGGTAATATTTAAGAGCAGAATATAAATAAAAACTATACATATGTTATGCTAGACACCCTTCCCTCCTGCTATGAAGTGATAAGGGGCAAATGCACAAGGAATTATACCAAAATATTAACCATGGTTATTTCTGGGTGATGGGACTATAGGTGATTATGATTTTTTCTTTATATTCTTGTATTTTCTAAATTTTCTAACATGAGAACATATTACTTTTATGATAAAGCTTCCTTCCTAAAGGAAGAAGAGGGGACCGGAGAGGCCTAGTTATGGAAATCATCATCTCTCTTCTCGACCTCCACCACGGTGGTGTCCCCAGGTGGTACTACCATGTGCCTAAACTGGAAACCTGATTCCCTGATCCCTAGCCTCTGATCCTGCCCCTCCCCTCCGCATCTAATCAAGAGAGTCAATTTGCTACAGGCTTGTCGATTTTCTTCCCTCTCTTGGGTCGGTCCATCATCTTCTCTCACCCCACGGTCCCTACCTCAGGTTAGGCCCTCATCATTTCTCTCTTGGATTATAAACTTCCTCTATTCTATTCACTTTTGGGAGGCTCTTTCTAAAACCCAGTTCTGCTCATGTCACTTACATATTTAAAATCATTCCATAGCTGCCCTGGTTCATTCCTACAGACTCCAAGGCCTAGCCTGTGTCTCCTCTAGCTCCTCTCTCTCTCTGCACCCTACACCACACACCCTGGAACAATCTGCCATTTCTCATCCCTCCCATGCTTGTACCAGCAGTCTGCTTGCCTTTGCAGCCTGGCTAGACCCTCAAGTCTTTTAGAAGGCCTAATGCCCCACTACTTCTGCTGGAAAATCTTCCCTGAACCCCTGAGACTGAGCTGGTCCTCTCCAAGACAGCTCACTGCACTATGGGCAGAGTTCTGTCACATCACTTTACATTTTCTGTGTGGCCTGCTGGCTCTCTCATTATTTTCCTATATTATTTATAGAAAAGCTCTACGACTAAGAAAACAGAATGATTCTACAAATATACTCAACCCTGTGATCAATAGCTTCCTCGTGTGTTTAAGTGACAACATAAATAATAAGACCAAGGAAGAGCCAGACAGGATAAATGTACCCATCCTTCCTACCTTGGATCAAATATATGGTACAAATATTAAACAGCAGAGCTGGAATGCTCATTTCTTGAAAGCGACTGTATTGGAGAGAAGGAACAGAAACAGATTCAACAAAACATACAGCTACATTTGGCAATGGGGGCAGTGTGGGGGAGAAATGCTACACAGTTTCCTTAGCGCTACATTTTGCCATGAGCAGTCCCCACCTTCAGCGCACCTACACGAGGCAGAGCCAGCATCTCTGCAAGTGGGCTTGGGTGGGATGAAGACCTGACTGTGAAGAGCTGCTGAGCTTGCAGAAGTGGGAAATGAGAACCCCTGCTCCTTTTGCTTCAGGCTAATTAAAGCGACCTGCCTGTAAATGGAATAAGGGAACTGATGCTAAACTGATTCATTCCTCTACTCCCCACCTCCCATTGGACTGGATAAGCATGGTACTAATCAAAGGAATAATTTACCTAATTGCATGAAGCCATCCTGAGAGTTAACTTAGCACGACTGTTCTCCATTACCCAGCCTGGCTTCCCTGTGAAGTGATGATGAGCTGCTAAAAGCTCACTGGATAGCAGGGCTGAATTGCTAGCTGGCTGTTTAAGCAGAGGTCAGCAAAGTATGGACCACAGGCCAAACCTGCTTTTGTATGACCCATGAGCTAAGACTGGTTTATGCATTTTTAAATGGCTGAAAAATAATCAAAGGAAGAACAATATTTTGTGATGTGTGAAAACTATATAAAATTCAAATCTCAGTGTTCTTAAAGTTTTGTTGAAACACAGCCACATTTATCCATTTAAAGCAACGCTGGTGTTTTCACACTACAACAGCAGAGTTGAGTAGCAGAGACAGAGACTGCACAGCCCACAAAGCCTAAACCATTTACTATCTGGTCCTTTACAGAAAATATCCGTCAATCCCTGCCTTAAAGGCTGGAACAGGTCAAGGTCATACATAACAGCATTCCACTGCAGCTTGGGTCCCAGGGTATTTAAAAATAATTTCCATTAACAAGGCTATCTTTACAATCAAGTCCACTCAAAGAAACTGCCTGCAGTTTGGGTTTCAAAATTGCACCAAGTAGGATTTATACAAGATGCAGTTGTGAAGCTCCTGGAGTTGAGAGTAATTTGCCTGGGAAGATGGTAACATCAGGTTTTCTCCACCACTACTTCAACTTCCTCTGAATTCCCAAAGTCAGTGACCCAGAAGGAACTGCTCACATCACCTAACCACCTGTCAGGGGACCCATGATGGTGCACAGCTTCCTGCAAACCTCATGCTTATTTTACATGGAAGCCCTCAAACAGAGTGGCTTCTGGGTACTGCCACCTGACTGATGAGGAAGAGGCTAGAGAGAGAACCCCAGCAGGCAGTAGGTGTAGCTTCCTAAAAATCAATCAATATTCCCAAGACACTTTCATAATGGGATTCTTCTGGCACCTGCCACCCTCCCTTGGTATCTTTTCTGAATGCCATGGCTAAGAAGCCTGAGGCCTTGTCTTCACATTATAGTCAGGCAGTCTCTGTAAAGGACCTAAGTGGGAAGGTGCCTGAGAACAGGCTTCGTGTCCCAAGAAGCAGAAGTGCCAGGGGACTCTGTGACCCCTACTCTCAAAGTCTATTAGTTGGGCCTGAATCACTGAGCAAGAACCAGGCAGAGAGCAAACTTCCCACAGTTCCCCTTCTCCCAAAGCTCAAGATTTGGATATGATTATAAAGCATTATGATTCCTTTTACTACAAACATAAAAAAGTCTGGGCCCCTGTTATGGGAGCTCCCTTTTCAGAAATGAGAGACATATGTTATAAATAAAATAAAACAAACATCTATGTTAAGTCCAAGAATTAACTTAGCAGCAGAAAACATGGAGATAGAAGAAACTACCTGGAAGGGGTATTACTCAACCCATCCAACCAAAAAGCACAAGAATGCATTTGGTATCTGCATTTGCTTTCTAAGCAATGAAACAAAGGAGTCATTCATGTACCTAGAACCTCTTTAGAACTAGGTTGAACTGTAGGTAAAGGAGACATTTGGAGCAGGTAATCCCACCTGGAAGGCAGTGCTTCCCTATCTGTTTCCCACCACAGTTCTAGGATATGAACTAGTATATACATATGCTAATATATGACAGCACACTAGGGTAAACAAGACTGCTAGTAGGTGGCCTTCATGGAACTGGGGCCAGACTAGGTGGCCCTGAGGGCTGAGGCTCACTAACTCAGACATGGGTTAGGCAGCTCCGGTCTAAGTTGCCAACTGCAAATACACAATGGTCAAGTTGCTCTACAGTTCTGAGGCTATGACTTCTGAACTAGTAGGTCCCTAACTCAACAAACAATCACCATACTAGTGCCGCACACTCAGCCCCCATTCATTCGGAAAGTCATCATGGTAAACTGACTTCTTGGAAAGGTGAAACTTGTGGTTTACACGCTTATTCTGAACCTAAGGGCATGATGTGTAAATAAATGGTACCCCCTCGCACAGACTCATCTCTAATTGAGGCTAGCTTAAATGGACTTTATTTTTTATTTTTTAAAGGACTGCCACCAAAAGCACGGACATAGTGGTCTGAGGCAAACAAAGCATCAGAGAACAATTCCAAACAGTAGGCTACTCAAAAAAGCACCAAGGAAAAATGGATTTTTGTGAGGACAAGGCAGGCAGTAGGGGCAGGAGAACAAATGCAGTGACTTCTGAATAGGGCCATTTAGCTGATTTATAAATGACCTCACCAGAGTCCTTTGCTGTGGGAGATTGATGTGCTCCTCCTTCCAAAGCTGGGGTCCATGGACTTGTTTTCGGGGGAACCAAGGAATCAACTCCAAGGGTGCAAAGCCCTTATTTTCAAACCTTAATTAACTGGAACCTAATTAGGACTTCGGAGGGTTTTCTTTCCACTTAAAAGGAAAATGTTTTTCTCTCTCAAGTCAGCATGGTGTAAATGAAGGCAAAGTGAACACAGGGCAATTTGAATTTCTTGCATATAAGCAACTCACTTAACCTTTAGGGGCTTCAGCTCTCTAACTGATAAATTGAGAAGGCCAATAGAGACAGATATCCAAAGCCATTTTCAGCAATAAGACTCTGATTCTGAGACATGCCAACAGATCTTTATCTATCAATAATCTGAGATCATTCTTCTATTTTGACAACTATACCCTATCCTCATATGAGCTGGGATCACCTGACAGTCTTCTACAGTTTTTACAGTATTTCATATACTTAATTCAACTGAACTTTGCAACAAACTGGTGGGGTAAAGTCTCTAAAACGTTATGACAGAAACTTTCCTGTGATGTGCTTCAGCAGCCATTGGTTGGTTATTCTAGAAGTTAGAAAAAGAAGAGAATCAAACAGAGGAAGACAAACCCATCACTAAATGTTTTAATTTATATAGATGTATATTCATTCACTAATTTTTTGTAAATGTAAGGCTTTCAAAAAGGGAATGCTAACCGGAATTCTACATAGTCTTTTCTGAATAAACTACACTCACAATTCACTGTTCATACGTTACCATTTGATTTCTTTAAAAAGAATGAGAATTTAGACATTTATGAAGCAATTTGAATACAGAATGCTTAATGGATTTTGTAATTATCCCCTGTTTTACAACTGAATTTTTAAAGACTTATCCTTATCCAGGTCTTTCCAAAACATTTAACTTAGTTTTTATAAAAACAACAGCTTCTTTTTTATGTTCGTATTTGATCGGTTTCCCTGATATTTAGTTAAACTGCATAATTACAACAAGTACAACTGGCCTAGCCAGGTTTGAGAATACACATACCACTCCCCTGGTGGGGGCCAAGGGAGAAGGCAGTACTAGACAGCCGGTGCCACCTACTGCATCACTGATCACTGCGTTTTACAGAGGGAAGGATGAGCACTGGCTGAGATATTGTGGGGCTGGACTAGAGCTGGGGGAGGGAGGCCAGGGATAGAGAGACAGATTTTGGCTCGTTAGCATCCAGTTAGTAGTTAGAATCACAAGAGGTCACTCAGGGTGGGAGTATGGATACAGAAAGAACAAAGGTTGGGTAGATCCCAGGGAATGCCAACCCTAAAGTGGTGGACAGAAGAGGCTTCTGCAAAGGGGGCCAGCAGGACATTACTGGAGATGTACAAAGAGAAACAGAGAACCAGGAGGTGGGTTTCAAAGGGGCTGGTGCAGGTCAGAAGTCTAAGAAGCAAGAACTGTAAAGTGTCCTGGGACTTGACAATCAGGCAGCCACCTGTAAATGAGAAACAGAGTGTGTTCACACTCCCATGAATGATTTCTTAAAGGAAGGAAAGTAGGTATTCTGTAATCCCCTATGCCTTTAGTTTCTCTTCCACCATGTCTGCTGTCTTCTTCAGCATCCGCTCTGCCTCTTGTCTCCCTGTCAGCATTCTCACGCAGACAGGCCTGCTCAGGCTGCCCGAGCCCAGGCTGGGGAAGGAGGAGCAGGAGAACTCCAGAGGCTACCCTGACTCTGCCACACACAGGCAGGACAGGTCATCCACTGGTCCCAATGGCAGCCACTTCTCCCTAGGCCCAGGGCAGCACCTATTTGCAATGCCTGCTTAGAAGCATTTGTGCAAGTCTGTTGCAAAAGGGAGGATAAAATCAGAACTTCAATCAGAAGGCTTTGCAAGGCCTTTCAGATTTCTCCCAGCTGACAGGCTCAGGGAAAGAAGTCTGCATGAGGCGGTCTGGTGAACAGTTCCACGCTCCTACCCACCTCATTTCAGACACGTGGAAACTTCCCAGAGCACACAACAAGCAAGGAAGGAGTGTTTGGGTGAGAAATATAAATGAAGGAGAAAAAAAGTCCATAATACAAAACATAGTCTCTCCTCTGTAATATACTGACAAGCAATGAAAAAAGAAATCCTGGGTCCTAACAGTTACCGACTCTCAGATATGGAAATTCAAGCAGGTTTAAGTGACAGCTACCTAAGTCCCAGAGGGCTGCCAGCAAGGCTGTGAGACTTCAGAGTTATCAATAACAATCCAGGCCAATGTTATTCAATAGCCAGTGTTCTACAGCAGGGGTCCCTAACTGCCGGGCCATGGGCCATACTGGTCCATGACCTGTTAGGAACCAGGCCGCACAGCAGGAGGTGAGCAGTGAGTGAGTATGACCACCTGAGCTCTGCCTCCTGTCAGGTCAGTGGCAGCATTAGATTCTCATAGGAGCTCAAACTCGATTGTGAACTGTGCATCCAAGGGATCTAGGCTACATGTTCCTTATGAGAATCTAACTAATGCCTGATGATCTGAAGTGGAAGTTTCATCCCGAAACCATCCCCTACCCCTGGTCTGTGGAAAAATTGTCTTCCACGAAACTGGGCCCTGGTGCCCAAAACAATGGGACCGCTGTTCTACAGTCTCCTCAGTTCTCTGCATCTTCAGATATTAATCTGGAATTTGTAAACAAATAACTCTTTTTTGGGAGATGAGGTATAAGAAGAAATACTTTTTTTCCAAGCCTTCGTATCAGATACTGGTCAGCTGCCTCCTAAATTTCCGTGTCTCCTATTCTTGCCTCCATTAAAGAACAGGTTTGAGTAGAGACCTGAGGTGAGGATCACAGACTGGACACAGCCTTACCAGGGAAGACCAGCTGGGGGTTTTGGTCAGAGCCACCCACACAGACCCACTCTTTGCCTTGGCTCATGTCATTAGGCCTCGTGTACCTGTGGAATCATACAAAATACAGAATATTTTGCATAATATCCTGTATTTGGAGAGTGAATGGGAGTTAGTTCCTGCCGGCCTCAGAGAACATGATTTTAGTGTGGTGCCTGGAGCAAAGAGAAGGAAGGAAGAGTCTAAGCCTGCCAAGCTGCGCTCATCCACGCTGGGTTCAGGCACGAGTCAAATCTGTTGGCTACACTAAAAAAACACGTACTGACCTGATCCAAACGAAGTGCGCCGTCCACAAAGCGCTGCTGGCGTAACTGCTTGGCAATTCCGTGGAGATTCAAGACGGCCTGGTGTACCTCCTCGCTGCTATGCTCTGGGGAAATGGGGGGCAGCTCTTTCGCAGGGATTTTCTCAGTTGGGCTTTCAATCATGCTCTGTGCATGCTCGTAGCTAAGTTTGGTGCAGGAGCGGATGATGGTCCGGCCAAACCATTCATCAAGGATCTGCAAAGATGGACAGATTACAAGGGAATTGTGAGGACAAATGTTTTTCAGGTTTTTCTTCCTTCAGCCATTCATCCATACACATTCAACAAAGATTTATTGAGCACTGACTGTGTGCTCGGAATGGTGGCAGGTTCAGGCTAGGCACCCAGATGAATCAGAGATGGAAGCTGCTGCCCTCAGGGAGCTTAGTCTCCACCTGGCGTGGAATTAATCCAATGGGCACTGGACACCTATGGACGGTCCCCAAGCACACCAGTGGCACAGGCAAGGCATGCTGGAGGCTTTTTCATTAGTTTCGGTGAGTGGGCATCAATGTCGACACTGAGAGTAGTAGAGGAGAGAGCTGCCAACAATGTGGCAGACAGGGACTCTGCAGGCTTGGGAACAGCTCGGATGTGGAGTGAGGGAGAAGGGGGAGGTGGGGCCACTGACAAAAAGAGTGAACACAGGTGGAGAAGCAAGATGAGGCTAGAAAGAGGAAACCCATTCCGACTTTTCCATTTGGGGCACATATGTAGAGACAGAAGTCTAGAACAGGCTTCTCAATCTTGGCACTGTTGGGCTGAATAATTCCTTGTTGGCCAGGGGGCTGAACTGTATATTATAAAATGTTCAGCAGTATCCCTGGCCTCTATCCACTGGATGTCAGGAGCACCTCTCCCTACCAAGTTGATAATCAAAAATGTCTCCAGACATGGCCAAATGTCTTCTAGGGGAAAGCTGGCCCAGGCTGAGAACCACTGGGCTTGAAGGAGATATACCCAAGTTTAGTGGTGGTGCCAGCCGAGCGGTGGGATTACCACTGAGGTGCATTTTATTATTTTCACTTTTCTGTATTTTGTATAATAAATATGTATTACTTTTAAAACAAAAAAAGGACATTAAAACATTTTGGGGACTCCTAGGTCTGAGGTTCAGGGAGAGATGTAGGTGAGGGGATCTGGCAGGCATTCGGATGTGGGCCTGGGCCGTTTGGAGGTGGAAGGGTCTATGGAAGAAAGGGCGGTTGGGGGAGGTGGGGCTGCTTGGCCTAACACCTCCTTCATGTTAAGGAGAGAAGAGAAGCCAGGGAATGAAAACAGTAGAAAAAACAAGAGAGCTGAGAGAGACAGGACAAAAACCAGGAGTGACCGATGTTAGGAAAAGCAGGAGAAAAGAGCTTTAAGAAAGGGGACTCAAAGACAACACAGGGCACTCAGAGAGCAATTGCTATGAGACAGGCATTGTTCACACTCTCCATATGGCAACTATTTAATTCTCATAACAATGCTATGAGGTAGGAATTTTGCTATCCTCTTCTTCAGTTGAGGAAACTAAGACATAGAGAAATTAAGGAATTTGCCCAAGGTTACACTGCTAGAGACTGGCAAAGCTGGGAACTGAACCCAGGCAGTCCAGCCCTAGAGTCTCTCTAAACCGCAAGTGTATGTCCAATGCCACTTGGATGTCAAGGAGGAGAAAACAAAGACAAGCTCCTGGCATTGAGCATTTGCTGGCTGGTGGTGTTTATGAAGGCTATTTTAGGAAAATATAGGACAGGGGCAGAGTCACACTGCAAAGGTTTAAGGCATGTACTGCAAATGGGTTCTGGAGACGCTGTGAGGAGGGCTCTAGCTCTTCTTACTCCCAGGGCAGCCAGAGCTTCGGCCTCCCATCAGCCTCATGCACACGTCCCCGGTGCTACTCAAACAGCAACATCTTCTGTGTGTGACATGACATGAAAAAACCTGGGAAGCACCAGGTTAAGGATAGGTGGGGGCATCGGAAGCGGAGGCAATGCAACCAGTGTGGATGACCACTTCCAAAAGAACAGGAGGGAAGGAGCGCTTTGGAATGAGCAGAACAGAGGGCTGTGTGGCAGTTGTAGGGTAAAGAAGAGAAACCAGCACTGAAGGAAGACTGAAGACACAAGAGAACAAAAGGGATCTTGGGCCAAATGGAGGCCATCCATCCTGGACAGAGGAAGCCCAGCCTGGTGGGGAGGAAGGAAGGAAGGAAAGGGCAGGAGACCCTGAAGGGAAGAAGAGGGAAGCTGAGAGCATGACTATCACAGAACCCCAATCTATGTAGTTGAGCATGAGGCAAAGTACAAAGGAGGCTAGGTGGAGTTTGAGGGCCTGAGGAGAATGGAAAAGCTCTGGATAAATGCGTGGAAGTGTATTTTCTGTGCAAGAAAAGGGAGGGAGCACCAGTCAAGAGTAGAACATTTTACCTTTTAACCTGGGCTTGCAGACATCCCCCTTGCCTTGCTCTTCACCAGCCAACCCTTCTGTTCACAAGCTCTCAGACAATGCTTTCCGAAAAAGCCAGTTGAAGAGTATGTAGGCATTCCCCATGGGGAAGGACTGAGCCCAGCCCAGGTGCTGTTCACACCACAAAGCCTCCAGGGAATACAGCTTCTGCCCTGAAAGGCTGGAGAGACCACTTTGGTACCTTCACCCTCCCTTAAAGGAAGAATCAATACTCTTGAAAAATGGCAGCCATGGGGTAGAGGAAAAGAATGGTGGCAACTACTCACATTTTTATCCAGAGCAAAGTCTTATAAGAATCTTGAATCTGTAATCACTGACTTTAACTTTTCTTTTAAAAAAATCCTGAAACTATTCTTTCCATATTATTCCAAGAACTACCACTATCCAAAGATATAAGGGATTCAAATAATCTCACAAATCTTCCACTGTGGCAAGCAGGTCTGAATTTGGCTCTCAGGAAGCATGTGTGTGCTGTGGGCAAAAGCAACTGTAGAGTCAATTCCAGGTACCACCTGACAGTCCCAGTGGGGAGTGCCATGTGCAGGTCTCCAGAAGAGTCTGAAGAGCCCCTTTTAGGCTCAGCCAGGCTTGTCCTCTTCGCACATCCACATTTCCTGAAGAGCTGCTCCAGCCTCCTCTGGAATGACAGGGCCATGACCTCTTCATTCTTGTGGTCTCAAGGGTTTCCCCTGGTGATTTAGCTTGCTTCCTTTTCTACATTTCATTCCAAACCCAGTCACTCCTCCTGTGCGTCTACATTGGGCTGTACAGTCTGCCTTCAGCATGCTCAGGGAACGTCAGTTTCAGTTCTATTCCACTGTTCTCTTTCACATTTCACAAGTGGTCTGGAGGTTCCCTCCAGCATCCAGCATTCAGGTCACAGGGTCTGCAGCCTCCCAGGGTCTGCGGTCTTTTTCCCTAGTGAATGCTCCAGCACAGGGCAACCACTGCACCCTGATCGGGCATTTGCTTTCACATAAGCCATGGGTCAAGAACTGCTTTCAAAATCTAGTGAATTTTGGCCAAGCACGGTGGCTCATGCCTGCAATCCCAGCACTTTGGGAAGTCAAGGCGGGTGGACTGCTTGATGTCAGGAGTTTGGCATCCTGGCCTGGCCAACACAATGGAACCCCGTTTCCACAAAAAAACAAAAACAAAAACAAAAATTAGCCGGGCATGGTAGTGCGCACCTGTAATCCCAACTACTCAGAAAGGTGAGGCATGAGAATTGCTTGAGTCTGGGAGGTGTTGGTTGCAGCGAGCCGAAGTTGCGCCACTGCACTCCAGCTTGGGCGACACAGTGAGACTCGGTCTCAAAAAAACAAAACAAACAGAAAAAAACTTAGTGAATGCTCCAGGCCCTCCTCCCTGAAATATTTATGCATAAAACGTAGCAGCAAGTTCCACGAGGTTCCCAGACACCCCTGTACCCTGCAGGCCCACGTCTCCTGGCTCTAAGCACATCTCTGTAGCTCCTTCTCACCCCTCTGATTGCTGGCCCTGACCAGGAGCCACTTGGAATCCTAAGGTATTCCTAAAATTGATTACCTGAGACTTGCCCAAAGCAGCAGCTTGTCACTCTTTACCAAAGCCTGCTCACCGCCTATGCTGGCATTGGCTACCAGTTCATTTGAGCTCCTTTTTTTTTTTCCTTAATGGGCACCTCTACTTTGTTTCCTTATCAGTCAAGATAGATAAGATGTCCCTTCCTAACAGCACATAGGAACACCACCAAATTGGAGACTGCAGTGCTGATGATCACTTTCCCATAGCTGTTTTGCTTCACTTCAGTCGTCTTCCTTAACGCCTGCAACCCTGAAAATCCATCCCAACCTTCTCTTTAAATACACGAAGGGCTGAGGTAGAAGCTTGAAGAGCCATCAGGAACTTCCTGCTCAGGCACAGGGACCTCTGGCAGCCGAATCTACTATGCCTTAACACAGTCCAGTGCTTCTGGGAGTCACACCTGACATGTACTAAAAAATGACTAGGCCAGGGAAAGAAGGCCTGAAACCATCTTCTGCAGACGCCAAGCAGAAAAGAAAGGAGTCTGTTGTCGTCTGACACAGAGAAAGGCAGCAAGAAAGCAAAGATCCAAATGGAGGGGGTCCTCGGAATAGCCAACCTCACAGTATGTAAGGCAGGCCTCTCTGTATGGAACACCTCATTACTTTCCAATTTGGAAACTGGATTCACATCAATGCCCAGTGCATAACCAAAGCCAGTGGCAGAAGACAAAAGGACAGAGTTTTTCACGGAAAAAGTAGAAACAGCAGGGAGAGCTTCAGAAACAAAACACTTCATAAAGAAGATCATGTCTTTCCTCTTTCCTTTTTTTTTTTTTTTTTTTTTTGAGACAGAGTCTCGCTCTGTCACTCTGTCACTCTGTCACCAGGTTGGAGTGCAGTGGCACGATCTGGGCTCACTGCAACCTCCGCCTCCCGGGTCCAAGTGATTCTCCTGCCTTAGCCTCCTGAGTAGCTGGGACTACAGGCACATGCCACCATGCCCGGCTCATTTTCTGTATTTTTAGTAGAGACGGGGTTTCACCATGTTGGCCAGGATGGTCTCTAACTCCAGACCTCGTGATCCGCCCGCTTTGGCCTCCCAAAGTGCTGGGATTACAGGCATGAGCCACCACACCTGGCCCCTCTTTTCTTTCTTAATCACAGGATTTGGGTCACTCTTCTGTAGGCAGGTGAGTTTACTGCACATACTCTGGAATACCACTGTTCAGAATGTCAAATTAAATACAGTGCCAACACTGACTGAAGGCGTATTACTGGGAAAAAACTACTGAAAAAGGAGTACATAATTATGTACTACAGCACTGTAATTCAAGGCCTACCTACTGTACTAAGTAAGACCGGAAGTAGTCTAACACTCGGAGTATTCTTAAACCTACTACTTCTAAAATCTCCTTAACACATCTGGGAGGAGTGCATTGTTCAGCCCATTTTACAGTTGAGAAAACAGGCCAGGAACTTGTCAAAAGTCATACAAACTCCTAAGTGGCGGCCAAGACCAGATCCAGTTAAAGACAGACCCAAAATCTAGTGTTACTTTTATTCCATTTCAGGTGAAGGTCATAAATTAGACAGAGGCAGATGATGAAGTAAAATAAACCAAGTATGTCTCAAACACACATCAACTTTCTATATTGATACAGAAGTATGACCACTTCCTTTGAAAATTATTCAGTTCCATTCAAATGTATCTTTAAATTTATCCTCTGAAAAATGTCAGCACTTCATTAAGATGTATCTCTGGCTGAAAAAACTGCAAGTGGGGTTAACTTATAATCTTAAATAATTAGGTACAAAATCACTTTTGCAGGAGCTCCGGGCTTCCGTATGCAAAATATTTTGTTCAAAAAAATATGAGGAAGAAAGAAACCTTTTCCTGACTGGAACAAAACCAGGCTGTTTGGAGTGACGGAGGGTGGGAGGGAGGTGGAGTGGATTTTGGCTGCTTCTTAGAGCTACGAAAACAGGGCAATCATCCTTAGTAGGGGCAGCCCGGCAGTGAGAAAAGTCAAAGGTGCCAAGAAGCAAGTGTCTGAAAAGGACTAGGCAGAGAGAGGACGGGCTGGAAGAGAGCAGAGAGAGGCAGGTCATGCCTGTGGTGGAAAGGACGCAAACTTGCTAGGGAAGGTCCTAGTAACTGCAGAGGACAGAGGCAGTGGGGTGGCTAGAGCAAACAAGAGGCTACTCCACAAGCCCCAGTCCTCACACTAGGGCCATCATCACTAAGCAAAGCTCAGGCTTCCCCTGAAAAAGGGAGAGACGAACACAGTAAGATTAAGGCATGAATATCTAGACTGAAGCACCATTGCACACAATCCACTTATACACCCAGCAGAATGCTCGCTTTCTCTTCACAGGTGGCTCACTGCAACTTCTGCCTCCTGGGTTCAAGCAATTCTCCTGCCTCAGCCTCCCAAGTAGCTGGGACTACAGGTGCCCACCACCATGCCTGGCTAATTTTTGTATTTTTAGTAGAGACAGGGTTTCACCATGTTGGCCAAGCTGGTCTTGAACTCCTGACCTCAGGTGATCTGCCCACCTCAGCCTCCCAAAGTGCTGAGATTAAAGGTATGAGCCACCATGCCCAGCCAAATATTTATTTATTTATTCATTCATTTATATTTTAGAAACAGGGTCTCGATCTGTTCTCAATCTGATCAAGTGATCCTCCTGCCTCAGCCTCCTAAGTAGCGGCAAGGCAGAGAGAAATTTTGATGTGGAAAGGGGGACCTCAGCAGTTGAAGTTGGCTAGCCTCTCTCGTTTCCAAGAAGGAGGAATGAAAGGTACTTGGGAGAATGATGGGTCTTAAAGGAAAGAGGAGTGGAAAGCAAGGTTGAGGTTGGAACCGAAGAAAAAAGGCTTGGAACCTAGTGACGAATAAAAGGATTCCCAAGTAGCACTGAAGGTTCAGCTGAGAAAGCCCCAACTGGTACACAACATAGTTCTACAATGTCCAATTCTCAGAATGGAATGAGTTAAGCAGGGAGGAAAAGATCTGCTCAGCTACAAGGAAGGGGCAGAGGCTTGAAGGATATGAGAAGATGGCAGGTGGGGAAACTCAACCTTGACTGATGTCAGGTCCCTGGAGCTGGGGAGGGGGCCTGCAGCACAGCAGAGAGCTCAGTTACACATAAAAGGCAGCTTCTCTCCTGTGAGCAGCAATGCTCCAGGACATGAGAGGAGATGCTGGTTGCAGGAAGACTCTGGAGTCTATGCATTTCCAGCACAGAAGACAGGCAGAAAAGAACAAGGAAAAAGTTACCATTGTAAGGGGGCGTTTTATCTTTTATTGTGAATGAGAGATTGGAAAGTTTTAATGGAGAGACAAGGCTTAAGATTCAGAAGGATCACTCTGACAGCTGTATGCAGAGGAGATGACGTGGGGCAAGAGCAGAGGCTGCAAGGACAGTCAGGAGGCCACTGTATCTGTCAAGGTGAGAGAGAATAGCTTGGACGCAGGTATTAGTGCCGGTAGTTAAGGAAGGGGGCTGATTCTGGAGGCATTCAGAAAGCAAAGCAGCGATGACACACTGGCAGACTGGATGCAGATGTAGCATGAGAGAAAGACCAAAGTCAAGAATGACCCCGTGGTTTTTGACCTAAGTAAATGGCTGAAATAGGCGACTTCCATAGTACACTCCAGGTCCTGACTAATCCTGTACAGCACACAGCAGGGATGTCACAGGAGACGCAAACTGAGGATAGCTAATCAATTGTGAGACCCTTCTTTTATTATTCTGATCTTTGGCCCTAAGATTCTAAGGTTCTAAGGTCTAAGGACTTAGTTACTAAGTCAGAGAATAAGACTCTCACAACCAACATGTGAGAAATATGCTAAAAATAAATTATTCAGCGTTTATTGACCTAAAAGCCTGAGCACTAGCTTAATGAATGCATACATGTCCAAGATTTTCTTGTGAGTGTTTAAAAAAAAATTTAGTAGGCGTTAAGAAAACGTTGGAACAATCTTTCTATAGCTGACCATGCCTGCTCCAGAAAGTAAGCCATTCCAATAGACTAAGGAAAAATACAGAGCTTTCTCCACTTCAACTCCAGGTGAGACTGGTGGCTACGCAGCAGCTGTGGCATGATGCTGTTGGCCCTGCTCTGACTCCTTCTAAGTCCAAACCTTTACGCCAAGAGAAGTCACCACTGCATGCAAAACCAGCCTCAGACTTTGGCCACACAGGCTTCGGAGATCCTCCTCTTCATCACTGGGTTCTTGATGCAGGGCTACCCCTTGCCCGTTGGCCTTCTCTGGCTCCCTAACCCTCCCATCTGGTTCCGAACTTTGTTCCCCCAGCCCTTGCTAAACTCAAGCTTTCCTTGCCAGTGTCTTGAGGAAGGACCATCCCTTGGATGTGAGTCTGGAATCTGACCTCTCATTTCATGCATCTTGATTGTGGGTAAGAGATACTCATCCCAGGACTAACCAACCAGGTCTACCTCTCATGTGGTCGCTTGGTCTGGGCAGGGTGTTTGGATAACCAACAGTACAAGGAGTGTGGTTAGTGGGCTTTGCCCTACAACTCTGTCTCTAGTCCAAACTCTCATTACTTCCGATCTGGCTTGGTTTGCACTGAGGCCCACAGCCCCTCCTGGATCCTGTGCCTACTTCACACCTGCTCTCTAGTCCCTAATGCCAGTGGCCTGGGCACCAGACACTACCTCCAACAGAAACCCCAGAGGCCAACTGAGTTACAGAGTTTGCCACTTTCTAGTGCTTCTTTTATGACCCTCATATTTTAGAAGCTCATTAGATTGGGCAGCTTTTTATTTCTTGGGTCTGACTTTGGCAGGCAAAATTCAGACTCAAAGTTCTTTTCTGTTGACTCAAGTTAGCTTTCTTCTATGGGCTTTTATTTTCTGTTTAGTTAAACTTTCACGAAAATAAGCATTTATAAAAACATAAAAGCTACACGTTTTCAAAAAACATTAGAAAATACAAAAAAGTAGAAAAAATTACTCATAGTTTTACTACCCAAACATAACCGCTATTGGCATTCGATTTTATTTCCTACTGGTCTTTTTCCATTCATTTTTTCCCCTATGCATGCTCCCACCCCCACCAAAATATGATTGCTGGCATACTGTCCTCATAATTCCTTCTGTTTTCAGATAGCGTTTGCCTCTTAACTCTTAAAAAAATCTTTAAAAGGGTGCTTTTTTTTTATTAACCCGATATTTAAGAGCCATAAAAACCAAATATAATGTGTATAACTTGTTTTGATCCCAATTCAGGAAAATCTATGGGAGAAAGGAAGGAAATCTATTACGGACTGGGTTCAGAATGACACCAAGGCATTAGTAGTCACTGTTAGGTGTGCTAATGGCACTGTGGTATATAAGAAAATGTCCAAAATTTTTTCAGCTTCATACTAAAATATGTATGAGCGAAATGACATGTCTGTGGTTTGTTTTAAAACACTCTGTCTTGATAGTTGAATCTGGGAAGTGGGGAGGATGGGTTTATTGTGCCCTTTACTTTCATGTATGTTTGAAATTTTTCACAATAAAAATATTAAAGTATACATAGTTCAAATAGTTTTAAAGTATTGTTATGAAAAACAGCAGCCCCCATCCCTCTCTGTTACTTCCCAAGAGTAACTACTTTTACCTCTTTTAAAAGAGTATTTGGATATTAACTTTCTATATAACCTGTCTGCTACTTCCTGATTTTTTTTAGGCATTATTTGCAAACTTTTCACTACAGAAGATAATTTATTTTTTCTTCCATACACACTCCCTCCCCCACCATGCCCACGTAACTATTCTAGTCCTTAATCCTCCTAATACATGACAATGATCAGAATTCATTTTATCAATCTACTATTATGATTACATAAATACTAAGTGTTACTTTTCTTTTCTATACAACTTTTTATTCTCACTGGAATTAATAACTGTCTTTTTATTTGCTTGGTTTTTCTGTGTGCTATGTATATTAATCTACCCCAAACTTTCCACCAACTGTCCATTTGGTTCTCAAGGTATGGTCCATGTACCCCTAGGGATCCCTGAGACCCTTCCAGGAATCCAGGAGGTTAAAACTATTTTCATAAAAATACTAAGGCAGTGTTTGTCCTTTCCACGTGCTGACATTTACACTGGTGGCACAAAAGCCCTCGTGGGTAAAGTGGCTGCCTTGGTGCAAATCCGACAAGCACACCTGTGGCTATTGCACTCCAATACCTCATACTCGTATCGAACAACCGAATGCTCTGGACAGAGGAGTAAAAATTATTAATTTTATGATGTCTCAACCCTTGATTGCTTGTCTTTTTCACTTTTGCTGCATGTAGAGGTACGCTGGTGGTCTTGAGGAAAAGCAATTACATAACTGAGTTGTGAAGTGAACTGATTGCTCATTTTATGGAACACCATTTTTACTTGAAGGAACAACTGACACACAAACTATAGTTTAGACTTGGGTATTTTGGGGAGATGAGAGAGCTCACTCTCTGGTGTCTGTTTTTTATTTTTTTTCATCCACACAAGGTCTCATTATGTTGCCCAGGCTGTGCAATCCTCTTGCCTCAGCCTCCCAAAGTGCTGGGATTGCGTGGCGTGATCATGGCTCACTGCAGCCTTGACTTCCCAGGCTTAGGTGATCCTCCCACCTGAACCTCCTGAGTAGCTGGGACTACAGGCGCATGCCACCACATCTGGCTAATTTTTGTGTTTTTAGTAGAGACAGGGTTTCAATATGTTGCCCAAGCTGATCTCGAACTCCTGGGGTCAAGCAATCTGCCCGCTTCGGCCTCCCAAAGTGTTGGGACTACAGGCGTGAGCCACTGTGCCTGGCCCAACCAACTTTTGAGAAACTATTAAAGTTTGGTGTAGTACAAAAATGAATAGCCACAATTATCTGAAAAAGTTATTAAAATGCTCCTTTCTTTTCCAGCTACATATCTACACATCAACCAAAACAACTGATTCTAACAGACAGAATGTAGAAGCCCACGAGAGGATCCAGCTTAGCGTCCTCTTCTTTTTCTTTTTCTTTTATTTTTTTCAGACGGAGTTTCACTCTTACTGCCCAAGCTGGAGTGCAATGGCACGATCTCAGCTCACCGCAACCTCCACCTCCCGGGTTCAAGTGATTCTCCTGCCTCAGCCTCCCAAGTGGCTGAGATTATAGGTGCCCGCCACCAGGCCCAGCTAATTTTTTGTACTTTTAGTAGAGATGGGGTTTCACCATGTTGGCCAGGCTGGTCTTGAACTCCTGACCTCAAGCGATCTACCTGCCTCGGCCTGCCAAAGTGCTAGGATAACAGGCATGAGCCACCACACCTGGCACTTAGCATCTTCTTTAAGACAGACCTGAAGGACAGTGTAGTAGCTGTGACAGGGATACTGACTATCTGGCCCTTTACAGGAAAAGTCTGCCAGCCCTGATCTAAGTGATTCCTTCACTTCTTTCTGTATTGGATTATCTGCTTCCTGCGTCCCATGTCTTCCTCTTTCTTCATTTACTCCTCCTTCATTTTGGTGAAGCACATCTTCTGGTGGCTTTCTGAGAAAGGGTGTATGAGATGGACATTTTTGTTGAAGCCTTGTATGTCTGAAAATGTCCTTTCCTACCCTTTTTATTGATAGCTTCGTTGGGTACAGAATTTTGGCATGGAGATCACAGTTCTTCAGAAATTAGAAAGCTTTGCTTCACTGTCATCTAATTTCTAGGGTTGTGGTAGAAAAGTCTGAAGTTATTCTGATTTCCGATTTTATCGTATGTCTTTTTTTCTTTGTCCACAGTGTTCTGAAATTTTATAATGATGTGTCTTGATGATGTGCCTCCACCCCTGTGCTAGGCAGTGTGCCCTTTCAATATGGAAAATCACATCTTCCAGGAATGGGGCATTTCCTAAAATTATTTTGTTGATCATTTCTTTTCCTCTGTTTACTTTGTTCTCTATTTCTGGAACGGTCATTGAACAGATATTGTATATCTTGGACTAGTCTTCTAATTTTTTGTCTTTTCTGTCTCTTCTTGGGACAGCTCCTCAACTTTACCTTTCAGTAGGAATCTTGAATCTTTAATTCTTCTAACCTGTGTTTAATTCCCAAGAGCTCTTTTTTTCCCTCCAAATGTTTCCTTTTTAAAGTATCAAGATTTTGTGATACAGCTACCTTCTTTTTTAAAAAAATTCCCTAAAGATATAAGTGATAATTTCTTTTCCCTGCTAGTGTGTTTTGTTCTAGTTACTTTTTCCTGTTTACTTCATTTTCTGTTTGTTTACTTCTTTCCTGTTTTGTTTGTACTCCAGTTGAATTACACATATACTTAAGAGCCCTAGGGCTAAGTGTAAACTCTGGACAGGGTTTCATCAAAGTAAAATAAAGCTATTGTTGAATCAATGCATTAGTAATAGCCTCCCTATTTCACATTAGAAGCTTCCCTCGGGTTGTCTCTTCATATATGGAAATGAAATCCTAAAAAGCTCTGATTGTGCGGGTGAAGCTTATTGTCTGTAAGCTTTACTGTAGGGAAAGACAGCTGGGCTGCTGATTGGGAAACTCTTAAGGTTAGTATCTTTATGTTTTTATTCCTCACTATTCAGAGTCCTCAGAGATTTTCCCATGTCCCGACTCATGGATATAGGCCTGGCGACCAGAATTCTGGGGCTGGCAGCAAAAAGAAAGCTGACACTCTTAACGTTCAGTATGCCAACATTCACTCAATCTCCCCCAAGGTGTCACTGCCATCAAGCATGTTTGATGTCCTCTAGTTCAGACACCTCTTACTTTACCCTGTCTAGAGAACACATTTCTGATCTTCCACTAAGTTATAGGAGGGGCAATTTTTAAAAATAAACTTTCAATACTGTTGTTAGCCTCACTCTCCCCCACCCCTCCCCCACTTTCTAGAATTATCTGGTACTGTCAATTTCTGAATTGTTTAGGGTTCTGCTGCATAAACTGGGTTGTTTCTTGGCTTTCTCTATTGCTGGCTCAGGATTCAGCTTTCTCAGGACTGCTAAGTCAGTTACACTCATCCATCTGCTACCCAGATTCCAAAATTTTGTTGCTGTTGTCTCCTCTCCCACTCTCTTTGTCCTTGTGGGTTTATGTCTTTAAAAAAAAAAATCCTTTTACTGTTGTTTTAGTGAGGTTTTGGGAGGGAATGAAAGTAAATGTGGGTATTTGATCCTCTATCTTTATTTGGAACCTCTTTATAATTAAATATCTTTTTTTACTTCCATTTAATATTACAGTATAAACACTTCCCATGTTCTTCCATGGTCTCTGTCAACAACTTTAATAACTGCATATATTCCACTGAGAAGGCACCAGGGCTTACTTAATCACGACCCTACTTCTGAATGTTTGGAGTTGTTACATTTGCAGGGAGGGGACTAGTTTCTCTTTCATGTATCTCTCTCCTGCCGTTCCCTATGATACGCATAGGCACATCCCGACGACAGGCACAGACATCTTTTTCCTTATGCCCAGAAACCCCTGCTGACATCCTTCTCTCCTCTGTTCTTGGTCTGTGGTTTCACCACCTTGTGCCTTGATTATAGCACTACCTTGCTAATTCATCTTCACCGCTCCAATCATCCAGCATGACGATGCACCACTGACCTTTCTACAATCAGCTTTCTCATGACACTTCAGAGGAACCCTAACACCTACAATTCATTTGTGATTCTCCAGTTTGATTTCACCCCACCTATGTAAACTTCCCACTTTACCTAATGTCCTCCTCTAAACAGGCTCTGCTCTCCTAACTGCAGGCTGGGCTGCCCCTCCTGCCTTTGCCAATCCTCATTCAATCCCACTTACACCCTGTCTCCTGCATAAGCCTCCCCGGCATCACTCTGCTTACTCAATTTCTTCCTTCACCTGATAACAGACAAGAAGCCTGTTCTAAGTGCTTAAGGTCAGTCTTGGCTTCTAAGTGGGGCCAACGGCTCTTCCGAGGCAGGGACTCTGACATTTCTCTATGATGGCTACTCCATACCTCCCTTGTCTTACCACCATGGCACCCAAGCCAGTGCCAGGCACATGGTGAGTGCTTCATGACTCATGGAACAGAAAAGAGGTAAGTGGAGAAAGAAAACGTGTAAGTTGTTACCTTGCCCTCTGGAGTCAGTGTCCAGATCACAGAGAAGGTCAGCTTGTCGGACATGGGGTTGAGGCTGCACAGCTCCTCACACAGCAGCCTGGGAAGCATGGGGACCACCTGTAAATAGAGCACAGGCCCATGAGCACCTTTCTCCAACCCGCTTAGGAGAAGCCCAGTGGGCAGAGTTTTGGTGAACAGCTTCAGCTTTTCCAGAGCAAGCTGAAGATGGAGGTGGCTCTGTTCCCAAAGACTCTGCAGAAAGACCACACTGTTGTATACTTTTCCATGCGCCTCTAGAGTCAAATAGGAATATGAGCTGGGAAAGTGAGGAGAACTGGTAAGGGAAGACAAAAGTACAATGCAAGCAATGTAAAATAGCTACATTGTATTATCTACTAAACCTGAAGCTCCAGACTCAAGAAGTACTTGTGCTTTTGGATATAAGCACTCCAGTTGAATTATACATATACTTAAGAGCCCAAGGGTTGAGTGTAAACTCTGGACAGGGTTTTGTTAAAGTAAAATAAGCTATTGTTATTGTTGAATCAATGTTTTAGTAACTGAATATACCGTAATTTACCAAATTACATGTTGGAACATTAAGAGACTACTTCAATAAAATATCACTAGAGTGATAAAACAGAAAGGATCATACATCCAGGTTTCCTAGATAAACATTGTGATCAACTAGTTATCCATTTTCCCATTTTTTAAGCCTAAATTATTTCTTCTCCTTATTGATCTTTCTGTTCCATAATAAACTGAGTCAACGGTATATACTCTTTAATTAAAAACTGTTTTTCAGCTTACTTTCAAATGATGACTTGCAGTTGTCCCAAAATATTACTTGTTTTTTTTCCTACTATTCCAAAGATGAAATGAATATCTCTGTATCTCCTGAAATTACTTCAAAAACTCTCTCCCATCTACCACTATCTGTTCCTTTTCCCATATTTTTCTTGATTAATGGCAGGACCATCCACCCCACCTCTCTAACTAAAAACATCAGCAGTACTAGCCATTTACTCAACACACTTACTATGGCCCACTTTGGCTTGCAGTGTTGAGCATGGATAACACTGTAACCCCATGCTAGGTAACTGAGAAGTGATAGGCAAAGGGTGGCCATGCTGTAATTGAGGGACATTCAGCAAACTATGTTTCTTTACGGGCAGAAACAGAACAAACCCCAGCGGCTTCTTATTCTGCGTGAAGTATCTGCAACTGTACTCTACTTTAGTACAGTAAATATCTTTGGTATGGAATAGTAAATTCTAGAACTCATGGCCCACACCAGTAACAAATAATTGGCAATTGTTTGGTATTTCTAAAGAATGTCATGTCTTTTAACATCTGTATGAAACTTAATGACTACCTGATAACTCTGGTAACAACTTTTCCTACCAGCCTTCGCTAACAGCTTTTACAGACAACTACCTTTGAAATTTTTTTCTTGCCATTACTTTTGCACCATCAGTTCAGACAATACTATATTTTCTTTGCTAACTTATTTTGTGATGCATTAGAATGTAATCCAAATATTTAACATTTTCTTGTATATGTCAAGTGTTTTATAAAATGATACATCTTCACCTGTTTAAAAATAGTGCACAAAATGGAGAAAGCTTCAAGATGATACCATCTCGTGGTTGAATGATAAAGATTTCACCTACTCAGCCTTTGGGCTATCCTAGGGACTGAATTGGCACCCTCCCCCCCGCCCCCCCCCCCCCCCCCCCGCGGCAGTTATATGTTGAAGCCCTAACCCCCAGTGTGACCGTATATAGAGACAGGGTCTTTCAGAGGTAAGTAAGGTTAAATGAGGACACGGGGTGGTGCCCTGGTCAAATACGACTGGTGACTTTATAAGACAAGAAAGAGACACAAGTCTCTCTCTGCATGAGTAGGCACAGAGAAAAGCCCATGTGAGGACACAGCCATATACAAATCAAGAAGAGACCATCACCAGGAACCGAATTGGCTAGCACCTTGATATGGGATTCTGGCCTCCAAAACTGGGAGAAAATAAATCTCTGTTGTTTAAGCTATGGCATGTTACTATAGGAGCCTGAGCTAAGACAGACTACATCAAGTTTGCTGGGTATGCATTCTTGTGTTCTCCTCTGGGCTGCATTAACAGTTCGTTCTATCAACTGTATTTTGGTAACTGGCTGCTCAGCCACCCAGCATGCTTGTTGCAATGACATCAGTCCAGGGCTTAATGCCTTTTGTACAGATAGTTAGTGTGTCTTCTAAGTGTTCACGGCAGTATCTTACTTTAAGTCACAAAGCTGAGCATCTGACAATGCATTATAATTCCTAACTTCATATTTAGTGTTTGTCAAAAGAAAGTCATTATAACTTGGGCCAGAACTAGAATCTGGAACAGAAAGAAAACACTGATGGAAAAACTAGTGAAATCCAAATAAAGTAAGGAGTTTAGCTATTTCCAAAATAAATGAGCTTATTAAAAACAAAGTCACTGTTTTCATTAATTGGTGTGTGTTACACATTTAAATATGAAATAAATGAATGCTAATTATTTAGTGAAAACCTGATCTGTTTCTATATGTTGGAATTTGGGGTTCAGATATTATTTGCAAAAAGGGCCTCACCACTTAAAAAAATACAACAAGGTCTAAAGACCTTTTTACAGTGAGTGAAGTGCAGACTCAGCAGCAGCATGGTGCAGGAAAGACAGCAAAGGCTTTGCCACCTGAGAGACTTGGGGGCTAATCCTGGGCCCACCGCTTCTTGTACAATTTGGGCAAGTTAGTAAAATTTTGAGTCTTGGTCTTCTTATTGGTAGAACAATACTGAAGATGCTCAGTGAAAGTCAGCTCACTGGCCAGCCCACGGTATCCAAGGTGCACTGTCACCAGGCTCAAGCATCCCCTTCAGCTTTGTGCCCTGGCCCTCTCCCGGGGCACTGGCAACACCAGTCACATGGGCCTTCCCACTGCACCCCCTTCACCTGTCTGTGTGCTGCTCCAGCTCTTGCTTGTGCTGGTCCCTCTTTCTGGAACACCTTTCTGGACATTTTACATCTGGCAAACTCTTGTACATCCTTTCAGATTCAGCTCATTGCCACTGCTAAAAGGTTTATCCAAAATCCCCCAGGCAGAGTGTGTGCTGTGTTTTACACACCTCCCCTGTTCTTTCAAAGAGGATTTGGGGCCATCCTACACAGTCAGCCACTTACTCCATCCTCCCTGCTCTTCTGCTGCATTTACAACACTGTCCTAATTGCTTCTTCAGGTGCCTTGAGTGCCACAGACACTGAAACCTCAGGAGCAAGGGCCAGGCCTCACTCCTGTCTCTCTCTACACCTGATGCATGGTAGGCACTTCCAGTGTGTAGACAACTGACTGGCTTCTGCCCAGGAGATGGACCACCTCTTTTTTTCTATGTTTACTGCATCACATAAAACATTTTATGAAATATACTAGAGACTTATATTTAAACATCTTGACAAAAAAAACTTCATAAACAACTAGTATTTTAAGTATAAGCTACACTGTTTTGGCTACTAACCTAAAACTTACCAGCACATGCAGTGGTTGTGCAGGCTATAAAAACTGTGTGGTATCCTATATCTTACACAGAAGACATTTTATTAATCACACTGCAATGGTCAGTTACCAATCTAAGTGCTCATGAAAAAGCTGAACTTTAAAACTTTTTGGTTAGTATAATTATATTTAATTTTTAAGAAGTATTTTTTATAAAAGACATTTACCAGGTCTTAAAGCAGAATTCAGACGAAATTCTCATAGAAAACAGTCTTTAGGTATATATAGTTTTGTAAATAGATGGTTATTCCTCTATGTTTCAAAGGAAAAGGAATTAAGAGGTTACAATCACATTTGTGGTTTGGCACATCACAGCCTCTCATAAATGGGGCCTAATTCCTGCCAGGGTCACTGTGAATGTGCTCTCCCACAACCCCAGGCACAGCAGGATCCCTGTGGAGGAGGGCTGGAAAGGAGAGGCAGGCAGCCCCTTCTGATCAGCTGCTTTCTCAAATCCAAGTCCCATTATGTCAGGGGGAGACCCACCTGGACCATGGCGCAACAGTCCATGCACCCAGGTCAGCTACATGAGGCCTGCGATGGTTCCTGAGAGCCTCTGGGTCAGGGTGATAAGTGTGGAACACCATGTCTGACTGGAAAAGAAAGGTCTCTCCAGGAGCTGGGAAACTCCTGGCTATCATTAGAACTGTGCAAATGTTCATACATTCCCTGACCCCTTGATCCTTTTCCCCAGTCTTATCCTGTCTTGTCCTCATTAACTTTGCTATGCAGTGTGAACCACATGGATAATTTCTTCAAGGTTCTTTATTTCCCTCACTTCTACTATCCCAGCTCCACAAACCCTATGATCGATCTTATAATCGCCCTTTCCTACTTCTGCAAGTCCTCACTGAGCAGTGACAGAGAAAACTGCTGGGCCGTGTGGAGGTGAGTTGCTAAGCTGTCTTAGTTCTTACCTCCATGAGGGTTGGCAGGCCTTTCACCTCTCTTTGTTAGCTCCTTCCCCACGCCCCTCAGAAGAGGTCCCAAAATGTTACTATTCTCCTCAGACCTCTTACCTGACTGCCTTCCCAATCTTTCTCAGCAGAAAACCTCAACTCTTCTTCACAGAGAAAACTGAGATCATCAGACTCAATCTGTTGCAAGCAACCTTCCAGCTCCTTCCTTTGGCCAATTTCTCCCAGGCCCACTCACTTTACATGTGTGCCCTCGTCTCCTGCCATCTCACAACGAGTGTCTTCCCTGTCCAAGGTCTGGCCATCTGGCCTTGTGACTCCACATACGTCTACAATGCCCTCTGGATACCATGAACTGGATGTCCCATGAATGTTTCAAACTCCACATGGAGAAGACAAAGTTCAGCATTTTCCTCCCTTCTTTACCTGTTCCACTGACTACATTTCCTACCTCTGTTAAGAGCAGCGCTCTGTCCCAAGTTAAATAAGCAAGGAAGCAAACGACCACCCCTCCCTCAAAACCACCAAAAATCAAAACACCACACCCATGTCTCCCCACACTCCTCACCCCTGTCCCCAGAACACAGCTGGGGATTTGCCTGTGATTCTTCACTCTCCTCTCTCTCCCTTCTACATCCAATCACTTCCCAAGCCTAGATCTGACATTCTAACGCTCTCAAATGAGTCTTTTCCTCTCCTCCTTCCACTATTCAAGTGTGGATATGTCTCTCTTCCTCTCTCAGATAAAAACCAGTGACAATTCTGAAGTAGAAATTATTCTAGATAAGACTTGTTTATTCTCCAGACTTCTGCATCTTCTTACTAATCTCCACTCAATGATAATCTGCAATTCCATTTATGTTAGGACACACTGGCTTTACCTTCCCAATAGCTAAGGAGCTGAATTTAGTAAATGGACTTTTGCATGTCCTGTGGATGAAGGAGGGCCTAGAGG
Organism: Homo sapiens; assembly: GCF_000001405.40. NCBI lineage: Eukaryota > Metazoa > Chordata > Mammalia > Primates > Hominidae > Homo > Homo sapiens. The sequence continues at coordinate 232,243,911 of NC_000002.12, read as the reverse complement.
GTTCCATGGGGCCAAAAGGTTTTTGGAAAAGCCTGCACCCTCAATGTTCAGTGGCTAAGGTCACAGGTGGCCAAGAGTTCCCCACAGGGAAGCGGGAGAAGGACCCTATCTCCGAGGGGACAGCAAAGATAACAGTGGGAAGCTAACTTCTCCATTTTCCCTGCCCTTTGCTTCTCCCTACTTCTTCTTGTGTGATATGCATTGCCAGAATTGGGAAGAAACTACAATTTGAAGTAACTGAAATGCTGCTTGTTCAGAATGTCCATTTGGCACTAGGCTGAAGACATCTATTGTCCTAGTTCTCCTGGGGTCCAGTTAGACATTACCACATTGGTAAACTCTCATAAGATTTTGTGAGCAAAGATCTCTGTGTTGGGGTAGTTATTCAGAGCCTCAAGAGGATATGACTGGGGGAAAGGGCCCAGGTACTGATGACAATTTTCCTGCCTCTGGCCTCACTATCCTTCAACCACACAGTTGCTAAGGTGATTTTCTATCTTGGTGGAAGGAGACCGTATCACTTCCCTACTTGCCCTCAAAATCTGAGCTCCTTCGCCTACCACTCCAGGCTTCTCTTTGTAACCTCATCCGTGGCTCTCTCTACAACTCACACCCCAAGAATTCCAAACTGCATACTGCTCCTTGAATGTTCTCTGCTTTTTCTAGCCTCTGCCTGGAATGCCCTCTCTGCCCATTTTTGTCTATCTAGAAATTTTCTACTCAAAATGTGAAACACTGTTCAAAACACGATTGCTTTGTGAAGCCTTCTTGGACCTTGCAGAAGCTCCTCTCCCACCACCAGCCCAGGCAGATACAACCCCTCTCTCTTCTCTAACACCTCCTCACCTTTGGGGCACTTCTGTACCTGAAGGTAGCCTGATGCATTGCAAGTGTTTGCTACCTGTCCACCTCCTCTGCTTCCCCAGGGCAAGACCAGAATCTGTCTCATCTTTACATCCCTCGAACATGACACACAGCTGGTACTCAATAAATACCAAGTGGAGGAAGACTGATAAGCACTTCAGGCAGCAGAAAAGGAAACGGGGCTTGAAGGATGCTAAGTCCTCTTAAGCATGCTTTGGGGCCAGGACCAAAGTTGAGTCAGGGCAGAGCTTAAGAGCTGGCCGTGGAGAAAAGGGATAGTGATGATAGGACACTGACTTTCTAAGCATTCTGGACCAGGTCTTGAGAGAGTAGAGAGAAATTTATCATTTGGGTAAATACACCACTGCCCAAGGCAGCTGGGTGGGGGTACCAACAAGACTATAAAACCTTATATTAGCCTCAGAGAGCAGAAACATCTGCTAAAGCCACAGTGGGCAGGCTGGCCAAGTTCAGCAGCAGGTTAGCCAGGACAGCCCTGTGACCAACACAAAGGGCCACAGAAGGGAAGAATCAATCATTCAGGCAAGGAGGAGCAGGAAGGACTAGCAGTGATGTGGGAGCCAGATGCCCACAAGCCAAGTCATAGGGGCTTCTCCACTACCTGGAGAGGTTGCAGGGCCTCTTCTGCCCCTTTCAGCCCAGGCCTTTGCTGGCTCCCCACCCACACTCCCTCAGGCCTTCAGTGCGATAACCCATTGGCCATCGCAGCCCATATCTGCAGTCTGAGAATTGGTGACTTTTCCCCCTTTTCTCCGAGGACTTCGAGGTTTTAACAACAAGGTACACTCAGCTAGCTCCCTACTTACACACTGAAATAACTTAAAGGAAATAGATTAATTCACTTGCCAGCCAACATCTCTGTTTAAAGAGTTTTCTTTTCCATATCAACACTTCCATGAATTCAGAATTTGATCAACTCTTTGCTACACAGTTTGACGTTAACAAAACATCAACACTCTGACAACCTGCTGGTGTCAGAAAGAAACATCTTAAAACTCTTTGGACTCTACATTAAGACAGGCTTCCAATCCCAATCTTTGATCTCTATTATAAAGCAGTACCAATAAAATATCGTAGAGATTTATGGGCGAACTTTCACTTGAGCTGTTTCGCACCTAAAATAACATGAATGCTTGGGCCAATAGGCAGAAAATTTAGGTTTAGGTTTCAACTGTTTAGGTTTTCTTTTACTTTTAAAGCTTAATTTGCTTATTTTCTAAAATTACTTTAAACTTTGCAATTACATTATATTTATCTCCCAGAGAAGACAGTTGAGAGGCATTAACTGAGCAAATGTTGTGTCCTTCTGAGAAAGACAGACCAAAATTCAGGTGGGCAGGTGTCCCCTATCTAACGGAATCATCTTTTGTCAAAAAGTTTTTTCCTGATATTTAAATGGACACTACCTAAATTTATATTTCCACCTGATTATACCCTATTGTTAACAAGAATAACCAAATACTTATTACTGTGAGCAAAATCTCAACAAAAAGAATTTCATTTAAAGTCAGTGAGGTGGTATTTGGACCCAAGACCTGTTACACTGTATACTGTCCTACTCCATGGGTTAATCCCCCAATTAGAGTTTAGATAAGGAGCTAAGATTGCAGTTCTGGCATCAGTCACTTACAGATCTGAATGAAATCAGTGCCACATTCCCTATAGATGGGAAATGAACTGGAACCCCAGCCCCCCTTCCCCTGTGTGATGAAGCTGGGAGAAATGATTGTGCCAAGTGAGAAAGCAGAGAATCTGGAGGGCGGAAACACAGCTCATCCAGCTTTTCAGAAGACCTTTATAGGCAAAGTAAAGTGAAAACAGCAGAAAAGTTCCTGGACACAGTCCTTTAAGAAACAAAACCGAGTAGGAAGAAAGGTCAGAGCAGCGGTTCAAAGGAATCAGAGCGCACAGCTGCTGCTGTCCAAGGTTGCGGGCCGGCGCCACTTGTGCCTGCCAAGCTGGAGGCAGTGCCGGGCAGCAGAGGCGTGCGGGCCCTTCCTCCACCCAGCTCCCCACTTTCACAACTCAGCAGCAGAGCCCCAACTCTGTAGTCCCACAGAGAAATTCTAGAACTGTGACAAACACAAAACCAAAGGAAACAGAAAAGGAAACATGCTTAATTACTTAACCCAATTTGATTTTTTCATTTTCTGATTTTGAAAAGTAATTCCTGGTTATAAAAGGAGAGCGCAGCAGCTAGTGCATGGCCGTGGCTTCATGGCCATGGGGGTCAGGGAGGAAGCCCCATGTACTCAAGAGAGATACTTGTGGGTCAGAAGTTTGCACTGCATTCTCTTAAGCTGCCTATACCTGCTCAGAGCTTGGACTCAGGTGTCATAGACATTGTGAGGGGTCGGGGGGCAAAGAGAAGTTCTTAAACATTGCATTTAGGCTTAGGCCAGCCACAGAGGTCAGGGAGGGACACAGTACGTTTGACACAAGCAAAGTCTGGTACGGAATTCCCCCTGCTCAGATGAGGACACAGCTAACTATTCTCACTAATTGGTCACTGAAGGTGCTGGGTCTTTCAGGCATCACTGTGCATTGAGATTACCTATTGCCCATGACACAGTTACCTGGAATGGGGTTTTGATGATCACACAGCTTCTGACTCAGAATTTCCTGGCTCTGATCAACTCTGTCTTCCTCTCTATTCACTATTCTCACTTCTGGGATGGCAGAAAACACGTACATGGTGGTTCTGATCACCTAATGTGAATGGTAGGCAAAGCTGTACTTCTGAAGAAATCGGCTGTACAAGTCTCCTGGAGCAGGTGGAGCTAGGGTTTTGCTCAAATATTCTAGGTTTCAGTGATCCAGAGAGTACTGTCCTGGGGCAGGGGAGAGGAGGTGCCAGGTCTTCCTAGGTAGGGCCTCCACATATTGAAGGCGGCTATGGCAGATAACAGCTCTGGCTTTCCTTTGGGACAAGAGAGCCCATCTAGGCTAGCTCCCTTTGTAGCAGGAGCAAAGGGTCTCAGACAAGGTGATTTCCACCATGGGGTGGAAGACATCACTGTCAACTGATAAGCTCAGCTACACTGGGGGAACTAAACTTGGGCCACAGGCAACAGGATCTTCAGCCCCTAGAGGATATGGCTGCACTCAAAGCCTAGACTGGTCTCTTCCCTTTTGAGAGGTTAGTTTTCAGGGTGGACAAGTTGAAAACATGAGAGGAACTCTCAGTAACACTTGGTAAATACCAGAAATCCTAGAAACTTTTGGGCTTTCCTGGATAGCTTTTGCTCCAGAAGTGCCAATACCTTTGTGAACATCAAGTAGGCACTTTGCTAGAAGTGGAGCCCAGAAATTCTAGAATGCACCTGTGGTGCTGCATTCTAGGGTGGATGGTGGGGATATTCCTCTGACCTTAGGGCAGTCAATGAGCAAATACCAGAATCATGTCCTAGGGCATGGGCTTGGGAGGCAGGAAGGCTCAAGCTAGTATAGGCAGAATCCCAAACTGGACTGCCAAATTTTAAAAAGCTAGAAAGGAAGTGGAAGTCCAGATATGGCCGAAGAAGGAAGATGAGCAAATGAGCAGAGGATCAGAGAAGGGAAAGAAGAGAAAGAAACCTGGCAGAATTCATGAACCACAGTGTGGAGGGCAGAACTTACTCATGCTTGGTCTCTTATTAACCCCTTTCTCTGAGGCCTACTGCAGTGACCATCAGATAATTGGTGCTCAATATATATGTGTTAAAGGAATGGATTCTCATGGTTACCTATTGAATGTGCCAGGTCCAAGTACACAGAATGGAAGGGATGTTTTGAGATGAATCTGTCCAGTCCCTTCATTTCACAGATGAGTCTAGGGAGGTCTGTAGACACTTAGTAACTAACCAAGAGTGGTGCAGTCAGGATGAGAGGGAAAAGCTCAGGCTCCTCCTTATCTCCCTTCGCTTTTCCATCTCGGAGACTCCCATAGCTATCTTGTAATGGGCAGGTCAGGACCAGATTGGCTCCCACCTTTTAGAACAGGGGTTGAAAACATTTCCTTAAAGGGCTTACAGTAATAGGAAATCGTCATGCCACTCTGCTGAAGTAGTGTGAAAGCAGCCACAATACATGAACAAATGCATGTGCCTGAGTTCCAATAAAACCTTACAAAAACTAGTCGCTAGTGTGGGCTGAGTTTGCCGAGCCCTGCTTTAGAACAATCGTTTGAAAGCAGGTATTTTGCCTCCTTTCTTTCTGAAGCTGAGTATCTGTCAGTTACTTATATAGCAGGGCCACTCTGGGATGAGGCCTCAGATGAACACCTGTGTCTTCCTTTGGCTTCTCTTTCCGGAGAACATGTAATAACAGAGAGCACACACTCTTCCAGGGAAACAAACAAATAAACAAAGCAAGAAAAAAGAAACTAGAGATGGATTTTTACCTTTTGAACCAAGTAGACGCTTGTAGCCCTCTCGGCAGCCACTTTATCCAGATCAGATCCCTCCGGAACAAAGTAACTCACGTCAGCAATGTGAACTCCCACTTTGAAGTTGCCTGTAAATGCACGAGAAGGACTATCAGGCTGGCGTGGAAGGCCACAGCATTCTCTCCCAGGAGTCCTTTCCTAGAATGTATGTCACTCCCAGAGGCCACAGGACCTGCAGTTAGGTGACACATCTAGTCTTGCTTGCTTCCTTCCTTGGCCACCTCCCTCTGTGACCCGCACTACTGTCACTTTCCTCATTGTATAGCAAAAGATGATGAAATTGTTCTTGTGAATAAACAAGATTAACCACTTTCCCAAGATGTTTCCCATTTCTAAAGGCTTCTTATCTTTGAGTAAACATAAGAAGATATGGCTCATTCTGGGTGATGAACAAATCCTTTTAGGTCACTAGAAGTGAATTAATCCCCAAATCCTACAGATGAAGCCTCTGAAAGCTCTGCCCTTCCTTCCCATTCCCTCTGGCCATTGCCCTATTTAGCCCACACCTGGCTGCCCTACCTCGCCTCTGTGCCCCCCTCACCTGGCCCTCCACACTTTGCTGTGATCTTTCTAAATGTGGGTCTGGGAAAGGTACTCTTAGCCTGTTATTCATGTCCTTACAGGGTCACACCCCAAGCAACCTCAGCCCCATCCTTCACATGCTCTGTATGTAGCTGTCATGGGAAACCTCTTTCCATTTCCTGAACAGATCTTCCCTCAAGCCATTTAGATGTTGGCTTGGCTCATACTTTTTCCTATGCTTGGGATAGTCTTAACAGGATCTGCCTATCAAAATCTTCCTTACTTTATTTGGGTCAACTGAAAGAGAATCCCCAAACAAGAAGAGGTTCCTCTACCCCCCTCCCACCATTTCCTCCACCTGTCTGTCTCCTCCAACTCCCCACCACCCCGCCCCCAACCATTTCCTCCATCTGCACTGTAAAGCACGTACTCCACACCTGTTGAGGCTTACCGTGGTCTTTCTTCAGAGCTCTCATCACTACCAGATATCACGGCATATCTCTATCGGCTTGTGTGTTTGTTATCTGTCTCTCTCCCTACCATGTAAGCTCCAGCAAATAAGGCCTTTTGTGTAATGTTCACTGTTACCCAAGGCCTGGAAGAGTACCTGGCACATAATAGGTCCTCAAGAAGTACTTGTTGAATGAATGAATCAACAGTCGGTCTGTCTTTTCCCTCTGGTAAAGGACCCACTTTCTTTTTCCTTTTAGAACTGCTCCTTCCCTTCCTGGTGGAGCTGTCTTTTAATAGGCCCTGCCCTCCCTACCAGGTTTACCAGAGAGTTGGTCAGGTGACCAAGGCTGTTAGAACTGTACCTTAAATGAGGGAGGGTAGTTAGGTTATAAACTTAAGATTTATTCTTGAACATACTGTAAATCACCTATCAAATATAGTGTATGTGAAAATAAAAATATACACATACATACAAGAGTATATACATACGTACATACATATACATGTATGTGTGTATGAAAATACAGAAAATGAACCAATTACAAAAAAAGAGTATACATGTAAAATAAGTATATAGGCTGGGCACGGTGGCTCATGCCTGTAATCCCAGCACTTTGGGAGGTCAAGGCTGGCGGATCACTTGAGGCCAGGAGTTTGAGACCAGCCTGGCCAACATGGCAAAACCCCATCTCTACTAAAAATAAAAATTAGCCAGGTGTGGTGGCACACACCTGTAGTCCCAGCTACTCAGGGGGCTGAGGCAGGAGAACTGCTTGAACCTTGGAGGCAGAGGTTGTAGTGAGCTGAGATTGTGCCACTGCACTTCAGCCTGGGCAACAGAGCAAGGCTTTGTCTCGAAAAAATAAAATAATAAAATAAAATAAGTATACAGTTTAAAGATATACAATGGGCAGAGAGAAGCACATGGAAGATACAAGCATAGTGCTGAATTTGCTTCAGTTGAACAATACAACTTGTTGTATTGATAAATGATATGAACTTCAGGAAAGAGGGTCTCTCTCCTGGGATCCTAGGCACTAAGGACCACATAAACCTGGAGCTGCCAGGAAACATCTATGCTACATAATCATGCCAATACAGAAAATAATAGTCTAAGAAAGAAAAGAAGAATTATGACCTCATTTGAACTTCAGGATCCAGCTGAGCCTGAAACTAGTCTACCTGTGGACTTGGCAGTTAATGAGTGGATCAATTCCCTTTCCATTATGACTCACTGACAGAGTCTTGACTCATACCCAAGTTGGCTTAGAAGAACTTATTAACACAGTACCATCTGCTCTTTTGGTAACCTGAATGATCAGTCCTAAGGTATCACACATTTTATCTGCAAACTGTGTAGCTACTTATTATCCTCCTACTCCTTCACTGGGGGATAATTCTTCCCTCAGTTTTTAAAATGGAAAAATGCTTAAACGTGGGATGCTTGAAAAAAGGGGTTCAGGCAAGGAAAAGAATTTAAGATTCCCTATTCTTCATCTGGTGTGACACTCAGAGACCACCTTCCTACAGGGCATTCTTCAGGTTTTTCCGCCCAATCCTGTAGCTGTAATACATAAAGGAATACTTAAGTCCACTTAAGAGATCCTGGCTGCTATGGGGTAACATAACAGATCTGTTTCCCACAGAGGAGAGGGCTGTCTGGAAAGCTGAGAGGAACCAGCATGACTCCAAGCTTAGCTGCCTCATTCTGACAGGCACGCAGCTGTGTCGCTGGGTCACTGGGAGCAGTGAAACCTGCCCTGCGATCGAGGAACTGAACTTTATGTGAATTCAGCCAAGAGTCTCAGATGGCTCAACTTCCAGTTTTGATATTTCAAGTATCTAAAACCAACACTTAGAGAAGGTAAAATAAAGTGTCTTCTTTTGAAGTCAGCATTATAATATATTGGCCTAACAGGTAAATATTGACTGAAGGACAAAAGAGAGGATTATTACATCATGATATAAACCATAATTTTAAATTCAGTCTCTGTGTTACTGCACATGAACTTTCTGTCCTTAGTCAAAATTGACAAACTGACAAAGAGTTCATTACAGGAGATAAAATATGAAGAAGGCCAATCAAAACATATTCAAGAGGCTTAAATTTCATTCAGAATTCCCAGCAGAGCCTCTGAAACCAGCAAAGAGAAGCTCTCTTATTCTCTGCTTTGGATCTTTTTTATGGAAACCCTAAGTAAATATTTTATTATATATGTTTACATAATGTGAACTTGCAGAACTCTTGAGGTGGTGGCACTGAACTTTTTATTCTATGAAAGAGAAACTATAAATCCAAAAGTCACATGGCATATGCTGCCAAAATGTTTAAGACAAATTTGATATTTTAAAAGATACTGGCTTTCATATGAAAGCATTCTTTTAAAATATTTTTAAATTTAAAACTTTCATCTGCCAGGGAGTAGGTGAGCCTGTGTGTTTAAAGAGCATTTAGAGCAGAGAGAGGAAGGATCCCCCGGGCAGCCGGGCCTGGCTCACTTTGCCTAGGGTCCACAAACTTAGATGAGTACAAACACTCCTTTGAATGAACCTGACGGGACATGAGAACTGCTTCATCCAATTAAAACATAGATTATAAAGCGGGATTCAGAAACCATCTCTTTGAAGCCAGCCTTCCAACCAGTGCAGCCACTTCCCCACAGTGTCCCTGCCAGGTGGCCCCTGCTATATCCTCAAGAGTGGGAAGCTGACATCTTCTTGAAGCCACCTGCTCTCTTTCTGAAGAGCTCTGGTAGGGGAAGTGCTTCCTCACATGGATCCTCTAGTTTATGCCCGCACTAGACATCTGTGAGTGGGGACCCATCCATTTAAGGAGCTCTCGGTCTAATGGGGCTCATACATACACCCGTGTGATAACTCAAGTATATGGCAGTAAGCTGAACTGCAATCAGTGAGGACATCTGAAAGTGTTTTGTGATCCATAACAACTACATAAATGTAACATAGACTATGATGATCATAAAAATAATAAAGACCTGTAATCCCAGCACTTTGGGAGGCTGAGGTTGGCGGATCACCTGAAGTCAGGAGTTCAAGACCAGCCTGGCCAACATGGGTGAAACCCCATCTCTACTAAAAAATACAAAAATTAGCCAAGTGTGGTGGCGCATGCCTGTAGTCCCAGCTACTTGGGAGGCTGAGGCAGGAGAATCACTCGAACCCGGGAGGTGGAGGTTGCAGTGAGCCAAGATCACACCACTGCACTCCACCCTGAGCAAGAGTGAGACTCCGTCTCAAGAAGAAGAAAAATAATAACAATAATAATACAGATAGCAGGAGTGAACATTTATTAAATGTCTCCTCTGTGCTAGGGGCTTCACACACAAGCTAACTTTGACTACAGCTATGCATATCGTTTTGCACAGATGAATTATCTGAGATGCAGAGAGTTTTTCAGTCACTTTTCCAGTTACTTGGCTAAAAAGTGAGAAATCCCAGATTCAAAACCAGGTTGGGTTCAGATCCTTTGCTCCTTTTATTACCCCTCGCCATAAACTGTCACTGCAACTCCAGAACAAGATGATACAACCCAATTTTTCATCTCAGTGGGCCACAGCTCAAAATCCCTCCCTATCTCTCATAACTCCAAGGAAGCCACATTCTCAGCTCTGGATTCAGAAGTCCTGGCAGAGACTCTTTCCAGCCATGTTCACTCCTGTCCCTGCAGGCTCTTTTGGTTCCCGTTGTCAGTCTCCTTAACCACTTGTAGCAGGGCCTGATTATAGAACAACCACTAAGCCATTAACTCCAGTTCTATTTAATTAGATGAACAAGCTCTTTAAAATCTAAACCACTCCTAAATTTCTAGCTTACAGTCATTTTTAGCTGGTAGTACAGAGACTGTCTGAACGACTCAAGAGGCCTGTGCCAGGAATGAGCACAACCAGGGTGGCCACCTACTATAGGTGGGGCCTTCCCTTACCAGCAGTGAGATAAGGCCTTCCAGACTTGGGTCACTTCATTCACTTTTACCCATTGCTGAGACTGGACAGTGGTCACAGTGGTGACAGAGGCTCTTCTTGACATCAGCAGGACACTCCTCACATAAAACAATATTATGTGTTGTGATAGATATTTGCTCCCCCCAGTCTCCCCACTCCCTGCCAATTCACAGGTTGAAATTCAATCCCCAATGTGATGGCATCAGGAGGCAGACCTCTGGGAGGTTATCAGGCCTCAGAGGTAGATCCCTCACAAATAGGATTAGTGCCTTATAAAAGGGACCCCAGACAGCTCTCTCATTCTTTCTACTATGTAAGGACGCAATGAGAAGGTGCTGTTCCATGAACCAGGAAGTGGGCCGTCACTAGACACTGGATCTGCCAGCATCTTGATCTTGGACTTCCCAGCCTCAAGGACTGTGAGGAATAAATCCGTTGTTTTAGTTCTTTATGCCACCTAGTCTACAGTATTCTGTTATAGCAGCCTGAATGGACTAAGGCACATGTGATGCCTGGAAAGCCTTTTAATATACTTCATCAGCAAAAAATAACTGCTTTGTCCAGGTCACTAATAACCTCTGTGCACTGAATCCAAACCTTTGTAGGCCTGACCTTATAGCAGCATCTGAAGCCTGGTGATTCTGTGCCCTCCCCACCCCAACACCTTGAGACACTCCTCCTTAGCTCTGGGCCCCACTCTGGGTGTCTAAGCTCCATGTCTGCTCCTCTTCAAGTTTCTCTGCCTCTCCGTGTCCCTTAAGTGTGGCGTGCCAAGCCTCCGTGCTCTGCCCCAGGCTGCCTTCTCTTCTAATTCTACCCCTTCTCTCTGGATTGTCTCATCTACTTCCAGGGATTCAAACCTCATTTCTGTGCTTTGGTCTTCTAATTGTATATCACCAGCCTAGACTTCTCTGAGCTTCAGATTGATGTATACAAAGTCTACTGAGAATTGTCACTCAGCTGTCCCACGGTCACATCACACTCATACCTCCATAAGCCCCTACTGGCAGCAAAACCATTTCTCTCCCTGTGTTTCCTGTCCCAGGAAGTGGGATCACCTCCACTAAACCAAAAGTGATACCCATGCTTGCCTAAACCAAAAAGAAACCTGGGACTTTCTCAGGCCTGTGTCGATCAATCATTCTGACTCTACCTTCCATACGTCTCTCACATCTGCCCATATGTCTTCCTTCCCACCACTGTCACCTTGGCCAAGACCACCATGGCTTCTTCTAAGAAATATCTAACAACCTCCTATTGCTCTCCCTGCCATTTCTCAAACTGATTTTCCATAGTGAAGACAGTGCCCTTTCCAAACACAAATCTGCCTGTCGCCTCACCATCTACACCCTCCAGAGGCCCTGCTGCCCTGAGCACGCAGCCCAGACCTGGCTTCTGTGGCCTGCCTGGCCTGGCTTTTGCCCACCCCTCCCATCCCATGGTCTTGTTTCTTCCACTCCTCCCCTGCACACCATCCTCTATCACCACTTCACAAGAAGCTGATACCAACCCAACTGCTCATCATGTGGGTCTGCTCTGTGCATGTTTTGACTTTCCTGGCCCTTATCCCTTAAATGACAGTTACACCCCCAAGACACTGTGATGGGGCTCCCATGCTCACACCCAGGGGTCTCCCCGCGGTTCTCTCTATTCCTCTTCCTGGCAACCCCCACTGGTCCTTCAAACTACCACCTAAAGTCACTTCCTCCGGCAGGCCTGCCCTGATGACCTAGACCAGGCTCAATCCCCTTCTGTGTCTTCCTACAGCTTCTCAACTCTTTCACCCCCATTTACTACATGCGGATCATGAACTACCTCCTGACTCTCTGTAATCAGCATGATGGGCAGGGAAAGGGCTGGGCCCGCAGTGATTGACATTTACTGAATGAAAAAGAAAGTAACAAAAAATACAGGGCAGGCGCCCTGCTGCTCTGGGCTGAAAGGATTGTAAACCCTGCCTAACTGCCCATGCAGGTGCTGAGCCCTCTCCATACCAGGTCTGCAAGAGAGCACCCAGCCTGTGCCTGCATATGCATACCTCAGGTGACTTAAAATTCACTGCTGTCTGGTGAAGCCCACTACGTCCTCAGGTAAAGTGGCAATTATTATTATTTTTTTCTCTCTTTTAAAGCCAAAATATGTCTCCCTAGAGTTTTCACTTATTGGCTCCAGTTCTGGCTCATAAGGGTGCCCAGAACAAGCCCATCTCCTTGGAGGACAGCAATCTGGCCAAGAGAAAGGAGTGAAGCAGGGCTAGGTGCTTTTAGGGTAGCACCAGCTTTAATTACTGAGACAGCCAGCATATGGCCCCTGGGACTTTTCTGCTTCAGGCTAAACAACCACATGGTTTAGCTTTCAATTACCTCATAATCTTCCTAATAACCATCTTCATTCATTCAATCAGCCACACAACAAATACTTACTAAGCTCCTACTATGTACCAGTCCTTTTCTAGGCACTGTAGACATACAAGAAAACTGACAAGGTCCCTTCTCATGTCAAGCTTCCAGTCTAGTGGGGAGAGAAAGGCAATGAGCAAACAAACAAATGACAAGATTACTTAGATAGTAAAAAGGACTTTGGAGAAAATAAAACAGCGAATGTCTGGAGCCTATTTTAGAGTTCATTAGTAATGAAAAGGTGTCTATGAGGAAACAGACTGAGACCTGTGGGTCTAAAAAAGACCATGTCACGTGATGACATGGGGGAGAGCATCCCAGGCAGGAGAGCCAGAGCGAAGGATGGGGGGTGGGCGCAAGCTTGCTGTGTCTAGGGACACAGCTGTGGCTGGAAAGCAGGGAAGAAGTGGAAGCAGGGAGGCTAGTGAGGTGGATGGGCCCTGAGAAGAGCTGCCCTGCTGGGTCAGGATGAGGCATTCTTTACTTCAAGTGCAATGGGAAGCCACCAGGGAGCGCTAAGTGGAAAGGTAACTTGAATGTACCATACTCACTTTCTCACTTTGCCACCTCACCCACTCTGCAGACCATGGCTCTATTAATGCCATCTGCAGTCATACTGAACAAAAACAAAGAGCCTCAAGACCACAATCAGAAGTACAACCTGCTGGACACCTTGACAGATAGAACAGATGTTGGACTTCCTGTCCCTCAGGTTGGTTTCCACCCAGTCTATGATGGGAACACAATGCTCTGGCTTGGGTCACCCCTCTTGACCCTGTGGCCAGTTTTCCCAACATAGGAGCCTCAACAGAGATAGAAAACAGTATTCTGGAAGCTCAGAAAGGGTAATCCAACCAAGGGGGCTGAGCGAAAGGGATGTTCCGCTGTTCAAACGGCACCAGCGATGAGGGGCCTTACTTAGGGCAGCTCATGCAGCCAGGATGCGGGCCCTGGCCTTAGCATGATCCTACTGAATTTTGGAGACAGACTCAATTGGGCTTGGATCACCTTGTGGCCACACAATAAACTCCACCTTTTACTTGGGATAAGCACATTCCCTCTGAGAAACACTGATTGGGTTGCTAGGTAAGAGGGACAACTCAAACGCTGGCATCTTCCAGTTCCATGTGGTATTCGTTATGTAATCTTACACAAAAGCTGACCACCAGTATAGCAAGCCATGGCAGCACTCCATGGCCATGACGTGGTGATGGTTTGAGGATATTTTACAAACTTAAGAGAAGCTGAAGTGAAAAAAAAATCTGGGGTAAGTAAATCTGAATGAAATGCAGGAACCCACCATGAGGAGGGGGTAGCATAGGATGACTTCTTAGGTCTCCCCAAAGGTCAGGATTTGAAGAGTCTGGATTTTCTTCTTCTTTTTTCCTCTTTGCCATCCAGCAAGAGGTTAATGAGGACCTTTAGTTGCAAACTCCTTAACTGGTGAGCTCATCTTCTGGAACAGAGCAGCTTCAAGAACCTTTTCCCTTCATTATTACTAAGGGCTCTATCAATCTGCAAGTACTCAACTAAACTGCCCACACAGCAATTTTTGTCATGTTCAATGTAATTCTCAGGCATCTAAGTTTAAATTTATATGAACAGCATGTATGAGGAACACCCAGGTAGTAAATTCCACTTTTTCTCTTCCAAATGACTTGAGCAATGGCCTTCTTCATTAACAGGAAAGAGAATGAGGAGCTGAACTTGCGAGGCTGGCGCACTCAACGTCTGGGAATTTCCAGGCTTTTCAGCAGTGAGTGGGGAAAGCCCAGGTCAGCCGGTCAAGCCTGGGACAGAGCACAGGCTCCAGAGAAGCTCTGAGAGCAGCAGGGCAGGCACTTGGTCCTTACTCAAAGCCAAAAGACAGTGAAGCCCTAGGGACTGCGAAGGACCCTAGAAGGTCATTACAAAGTGAGCAGGTCAAAGTAATAAGGGCTGGGGTACAGGTGGGTTGGGAATGGAGCAGGACTGGCTGTGGAATGAGGGATACAGGGGCTAGGTGATGGGAACAATGGGTTTCATTATACTCTTCCTTCTACTTTTGTGCATGTTCAAAATTCTTCATCCAAAAAAAAAGAGAAGAGGCAGGACTGAAGCCAAGAAAAGAAAAAAGTTTGAAAAGGACAAATCCAGTTAAGTAAAACTAGCTCAAAGTTTTAAAACAACAACGAGCCAATAGAGGCAGAAGTTGAAGGTTACTGCTAAGAAAGAGCAGAATAAAAATGTCCTCAGTGATGATCTTTAGAGGCAGCAGATACAGGGATTGTTCCTTCATCCGTTACACACTTTTGTAATGTTTTCAGTTTTCAAAGGCAGGAAAAGCAATAAGGATAAAAAGTATAAAATAAAAAATGCAAACCCTGCTTTAAAATATCTGGAGAAAAATATATGAAGAAGGTAACAATGGTTTTGAGTGATAGGATTTTGAATTTTTCTTTTTGCTTAGATGTAAACTTTAATTCTTGAATAATAAGTGTGTTACTTGGTAAAGAGTCTTGGATTTTTAGAATAAAACACACCAACAAAATGCTATGTCCACCCCAGCCACCTGTGTACCTCTTGACTTCCCAGCACACACCAAGAAACAGCACTACTGGCCAGCCTGAGCAGGAGGCAGTAAATTGATGCCAGCTTATTGGTCAATTCTCCTGGTGGATTATGGTGACTAAAGCACTTTGCAGGCAAGCTCTATAAAGGTGAACTTAGTAAATGAAGTAGCAGAGAACTGGGCATACTCCTTCTGAACAGGAAACAACTATTTTCATGCCAGAAATGTAACTACAGTAGGCAGCAGGTCATGGCATGTGTCGTCATCTCTTTTATGGGCTTCGGCACATACGGCCAGCATGGGGACCTAGTCTTTCTTATGTCTGAGGCTGTGCAGGGAATGCGTGTGTGGAATCCCAGCAGAATGGTTTCCCCCAGGTCTAGGTCTAAAAACAGAATTGTAGCATATTTTCATTCATTTGTGGACTTTTCTATTTTTTAAAAGTCCCAGCCGGGTGTGGTGGCTCACGCCTATAATCCCAGCAGTTTGGGAAGCTGAGGCGGGTGGATCACCTGAGGTCAGGAGTTGGAGACTAGCCTGACCAACATAGAGAAACCCCATCTCTACTAAAAACACAAAATTAGCCGGGCCTGGTGGTGCATGCCTGTAATCCCAGCTACTCAGGAGGCTGAGGCAGGAGAATCGCTTGAACCGGGAGGCGGAGGTTGCCGTAAGCCAAGATAGCACCATCGCACTCCAACCTGGGCAACAAGAGCAAAACTCCATCTCAAACAAACAAACAAAAATAGTCCCTCTATTAACAAGACATAATTACTAGTCTCTACCAGCCAAATATACAAGAGATATATAATTTTCAATGTTTTAAAGAAATATAAAACAACTATGTGTATTAAAATGCCTATAAACTAAACGTTAACTGTTAACTGCTTAATCCAATCCCAGCATTCCTTACATCAGAAATTGAAACAACTTTCATATTTACCTAGAATTCTGAAAGGCAAAAGCTCACTGCTTTATATTCCGGTGACAAAAACCCTTAGTGGCTTTTCTCTCACACTGGAGATACCTTTTGGGTTATTATTTTCTCACCATGCCCAATTAGCTCTTTTGGATCCAATCACTCAGTTTCACTTATTAATTTATTTGCATGAAAGGGAAACCATTTCTGACTCCCCAAGACGTCACAAAAGTTAACAAGAAATTATATACATAATTTATGTATGCCTGTGGTATGAGAATCCACCATACTGGTGGTCTCATAATAACGGCATATTGACTGCTTACTTTTTAAAGCACTTCATTATATTAATTCATTTAATCTTCCAATGCTATGAGACGCATCTCTTTCTACAGATAAAGACACTGAGACCCAGGGAGGTCAGACACCTTGTGTCAAGGTCTGACTCCAAAACTGGAGCTCCTAACCACTGCATTATGGAGACTCGCCCCTCAGCATCGGGTTCTTGACAAACTCATACTTGCTTCTTTTTCAACACCTGTAGACTACAAGCGCTCTCAATTTAATTTTAAAAGATTACACATTCATTCTGCAGAACAAACATTTTGACAAGTAGAACAAGTAAGTAGACATAGTATGATTTTCAACATGACTGAAAGTAATTCCTTTACAGAAACAATAAATATTTGTTGAAATGAAAACCTTGTCAAGTAGTCTTTTAACTACTGGTCACTTTCTATTTCTGAGCTGTCCATATATCAGTTAGTTATAACTCAATTTCCTGGGTTTTTTTTTGTTTTTGTTTTTGTTTATTTGTTTGTTTTTGAGACAGGGTCTTGCTCTGTCACCCAAGTTGGAGTGCAGTGGCACGATCATGGCCCACTGCAGCTTCCACCTCCTCAGGCTCAAGTGATCCTTCCACTTCAGCCTCCTGAGCAGCTGAGACTACAGGCAAGCACCATCATGCTCAGCTAATTTTTTAATTCTTTGTAGAGACGGGGTCTCACTATGCCCAGGCTGGGGTCGAACTCCTAGGCTCAAGCAATCCTCCCACCTCGGCCTCCCAAAATGTTGGGGTTACAGGCGTGAGCCACCCCACCTGGCCTTGAACATGACTTTTGTATTTTGTAATAGATATGGATGTGGTATAGTAGGGGAAAGATGTCCTGTCCTCATGACACACGCTCAAGTTCACTTGTAGCCTCTCTCACTAAAATGGAGTTAAGACTCTTCAGATGCCATAGCTCCTGGATGATAACAATAGTTTTATTCATTGTGGCTGGCATATAAATACACTCAACTATTTCTTGATTAAATGAATAATCTTCACAAAAGTTCTATGAGGTAGGTACTATTAATATTTACATTTTACAGATGAAGACATTCAGACTCAGAGAGGTTAAATGATTTGCCCAATGTCAGACAGTCAGTAAATGGCAAAGCCAGGATTAGAACATTGTCTGACTCCAGTAACAATGTGCTCACCTATCATACCAAAGGACCATATGGTGGTGCAGCCTTTTCCTAAGGCTGACTATGATTAACAATGTTTCAATCATTATTACAGTTACCAGTATCTCTTAACTTTTTGTTTCATGACAGCTTTATTGAGATTTCATTAACATACCACACAGTTCACTCAAAGTGTGCAACTGAATGGTTTTTAGTATAGGCACAAAGTTGTGCAACCACAACTACAATAAATTTTAGAACATTTTCATCACCCCAGAAAGAAAGCCCATATCTGTTTACAGTCACTCCCTACTTCCTCCCAACCTTCCCAGCCGCAGGCAACTACTAATCTATTTCTGGTCTCTATAGATGTACCTGTTCTGACATCTCATATTAATGGAATCATACAAAGTGCTCTTTTATGGTTGTCTTCTTTCACCTAGTTTATTTTCAAGGTTCACCCCTGTTGTATCGTGTACTTTGTTTCTTTTTATGAATGAATAATATTCTATTATATGGATATACCATATTAAATTATCCATTCATTGGCTGCAGACACATTTGGGTTGTTTCCATTTTTTTTGTACTCCTTCATTTTTTTAAAATAAAATTTTTTATTAAGGCATGAAATACATAAAGTATACAAGCATTAAGCATACAGTTCAATGAAGTTTTACAAAGTAAATATACTTAGGTAACCACCACCCAGTTCCACGAAATAGAATGTATGCAGAATTCCAGAAGCTTTTCTCATGCCTCCTCCCAGTCTTTACACTCACCAAAGATAATTACTTTTCTGACCTCTATATAATCACTGATCAGTTTCACCTTTCTTTGTATTTTACATAACTAGATTCATATGGTATATATCTATTTTTTGTCTGGCTTATTTTGCTCAACACAGCGTTTTTGATATTCATCATGTTGTGTTTTGAATTTGCTTCACTCTGTTGCTATATAATATTCCATTGTAAGAGTATACCCCAATTTATTAATTTTATTGTTATCAGGCACTTAGATTGTTTTTGGTTTTTTGCTATTATGAGTGATGGTGCTATGAACGTTCCTGTACATATATACACCTTTCTATGGGGTATATACTTAAGACTAAAACTGCTGGGCCATGAGTTATGAATCCACCCAGCTTTATTACATATTGTACAATGGTTTCCCAAAGTAGTTGTGGCAACTTAGACTCCTACTAGCAGTATATGAGAGTTGTAATTGCTCCACACCCTCCCTAACATTGTCAGCTTTAAAAACTTTTAGCTATTGTGGTGGGAACATAATAGTATCTTATTGTGGTTTTCATCTCCATTTTCCCCCTGGACTTAAGATATTTTCATGTGTTTGACCATTGGTTATCTTCTTTTATGAAGTGCCTCTTCAAGTCTTTATATAATATATTGGTAAGAGTCATATGCTGGATATATGTATTACAAATATCTTCTCCCACTCTGTGGCTTGCCTTTTCAACAATTTTTTTTCTTTTTTTTTTTTTTTTAAAGACAGAGTCTCACTCAGTTGCCCAGGCTGGAATGCAGTGGTGCAATCTCAACGCACTGCAACCTCCACCTCCCAGGTCAAATGATTCTCATGCCTCAGCCTCCCGAGTAGCTGGGATTACAGGCGTGTATGACCATGCCTGGCTAATTTTTGTATTTTTAGTAGAAAGAGGTTTTTACCATGTTGACCAGGCTGGTGTCGAACTCCTAACCTCAAGGGATCCACCTGCCTGCACCTTCCAAAGTGGTGGGATTATGGACATGAACCACTGCACCCTTTTCAACAATCTTAATGATGTCTTTTGATGAATGGATGTTCTTAATTTTAATAAAATCTAATTTATCAGTCTTTTCCTTTAAAGCTTATGCTTTTTGTGCTCCACTTAAAAAATCTTTGCCTACACCAAGGTCATAAGGTTATTTTTCTTATGTTATCTTTAGAAGTGCTAATGTGTTACTTTCATACTCAGATCTATGAGCCACATGGAATTCATTTTTATGTGTGGTATAAAGTAGGGGTCAAAACCAATTTTTCCCCCATATGGATATCCAACCAGTCTAGTACCATTTATTGATAAAACCATCTTTTCCTCACTACACAGCAGTAACATCTTTGCTAAAAACCATGTGGTTGTATATATATGTGGGTCTGTTTCTGTATTCTCTATTCTAGTCTTACCTTGACTTCTGAGCAGCAGCTGAACATTTATTATTTCAGCATAACCCTTACTACAATTCCATGGCAATTTTTTTGGTCTCACTCTGTCGCCCAGGCTGGAGGACAGTGTGGTGCGATCATGGCTCACCGCAGCCTTGACATCCTGGGCTCAAACGATCCTCCCACCTCTCAGCTTCTTGAGTAACTAGGACTATAGACGTGCACCACCACATCCAGCTAATTGTTGTAATTTTTGTAGAGATGGGGTTTCACCATGTTGCCAAGGCTGGTCTCAAATTCCTGGACTCAAGCAATCCTCCCATCTTGTCCTCCCAAAGTGTTGGATTACAGGCGTGAGCCACTGTGGCCCATGCAAATTTTAATCTTTCTAATTTTATATTAATAATAACTTTCACTAAACACTTACTTTTTGTCTAGCACCATTCTAAGTGCCAGGGATTATCTCATTTAGTCTTCCCCATAATTCTGAGTTAGATATTATTATCCCCCTTGATGTCAGGGAACATTGAGGTAAGAAGAGGTTAATTCTCTCCTCTGGAATACGGACTGTGTCCCTTCTCATTTTGTTGTTATACAAACTACTTTTGTGGAAAAGGATCAGAAGTATATGCAACTTGAGGTAGTTACTGTAAATATTTTTAAAGCTAAGTTGTGTTTACGCAACAATAGGCATAAATGAAGCTTAGCTCTTTTAGTTTTTCATATACTCAATAATTTGGAACTGGAAGACACTTGAGAAACTGTCTAGTTCAAACCACCATTTTATAGCTGAGGAAAGAGAATTTCAGAGAAATCACAGAAATGCCCAAATTTCCATGATGCAGTAGAGGCAAAGATGAGACAAGAACCCAGTTCTCCTGCTCCTATTGCAGTGCTCTTTCTGGTGTACCACAACTGTCTCTCATCAAGCAGTGAGTGTGTTGGATCACTGGGACTTCTTAACTGGCTTCCAGGTTTACCTTGGTGCCAGATACTTGAGGATGCCTGACTGGTGGGTGCCAGATTATCTTGGCTTTCATGAGCAAGGAAACTGGAACCAATCAGTAGAGCTGGAAGCTGATGAACACACAACAGTCCAAATTCGGTTTAACAAGGTGCACTGAGACATCCATGAAAAAGAGAATTTCCAAAGCCCAGACCCCACAGAAATCAAGCTAGCAAGATTTGAATGGAACATAGGAATAAGACTTAGAGGGTGGAGCTGCCTCTCCACTTAATCTTTCCACTTAGATTCTGTGTCCTCAAAAAGGAACTCATTGGCAAGCATCCCAGAAGCCCACTTCCATGCCAGAGCCCTCGCATGACTATTCAGTTATTTGGATTTTTTGAGTCAAGGTACAATTCAGTAAAAAATGATCATACAACAAGGACAGTTAAAATTGTTCACTCACCAGCTGGGTGCAGTGGCTCACGCCTGTAATCCCAGCACTTTGGGAGACCAAGGCGGGTGGATCACCTGAGGTCAGAAGTTCGAGACCAACCTGGCCAACATGGTGAAACCATGTTGTAAAAATACAAAAATTAGCTGGATGTGGTGGCAGGTGCCTGTAGTCCCAGCTACTAGGGAGGTTGAGGCAGCAGAATCACTTGAAGCTGGGAGGCGGAGGTTGCAGTAAGCCAAGACTGCGCCATCGCACTCCAGCCTGGGCGACAGAGCAAGACTCAGTCTTAAAAAAAAAAATTGTTCACTTGTCAGTGCCCCAGATGAATGAAGAAGACATGCATTTCCTTATGAGCTGACAGATCTACAGAATTTCCCATTTCTCTTCCCAGGTTCATTATCAAGGGCCCTACTACAAAAATAAGGTTTGACTGAGATCAAGTACTTGAGTTGCCTGGGATCTGCCTGAGACATAAAATACTGCAAGAGGAAAATATTCAGCATTTCAAAATGGGGATTAGAAATGACTTCACAAAGCTGGGCGTGGTGGCTCACGCCTGTAATCCCAGCACTTTGGGAAGCCGAGGTGGGTGGATAACCTGAGGTCAGGAGTTCCAGACCAACCTGACCAACATGGTGAAACCCTGTTTCTGCTAAAAATACAAAAATTAGCCAGGCACAGTGGCGTGTGCCTGTAATCCCAGATACTCAGGAGGCTGAGGCAGGAGAATTGCTTGAAACCAGGAAGCAGAGGTTGCAGTGAGCCGAGATCACACCACCACACTCCAGCCTGAGTGACAGAGCAAGACTCCATCTCAAAAAAAAAAGAAAAGAAATGAAATGACTTCGCATGGAAGAGGAACATAGGAGTAACAGCATTCGAAGCACTGGGCATCATGAAGATGTCAGAGACAAAACCCAGAAATGTATCCAAGCAGAAAATTGCCCTGAAGTGGAATTTTTCTTTTCTTTTTTTGAGACGGAGTTTCACTCTTGTCACCCCGGCTGGAGTACACTGGTGCGATCTCGGCTCACTGCAACCTCCACCTCCCAGGTTCAACTGATTCTCCCACCTCAGCCTCCTGAGTAGCTGGGATTACAGGTGCCCGCCATGCCCAGCTAATTTTTGTATTTTTAGTAGAGACAGGGTTTCACTATGTTGGCCAGGCTGGTCTCTAACTCCTGACCTCAGGTGATCCACCCGCCTTGGTCTCCCAAAGTGCTGGAATTACAGGTGTGAGCCACTGTGCCCAGCTGGAATTTTTCTTTTCCAAGATCTACTGATGAGTGATCAGGGTTCCCCTCTAAAATACAAAGCGCAGATTTTATCCTCTTCAGTGAGCTGAATCCTGAAATGCTGCATTTCAAAAGGATGCCCTTCCTGAAAATTGAAGACTGTACCATGGGAAGCACCTCACATTTAATTAGGAAAGTTTAATCTGTTAGCTGCTGGAAACATAAACATATGTAGCTTAAAAATAAGATCTACATGCACCATTTAATTTAACAAAAAACGATGCTTAAAATCTACATATAAAGTTGACTTTCATTTTTAAACTGTCACCTGATTTCTGAATTCCGGTCCCTTGGCATTATCTCCATATACCAATTTAACCTCCCAACTACATTCCCAAGAGATGAAAATTAAAAACAAACTTTTTTTTTTTTTTTTTTTTGAGATGAAGTCTTGTTCTGTCACCCAGGCTGGAGCACAGTGGCACGATCTTGGCTCACTGTAGCCTCCGCCTCCTGGATTCAAGCAATTCTCCTGCCTCAGCCTCCCGAGTAGCTGGGACTACAGGTATGTGCCAGCACACCGGCTAATTTTGTATTTTTTAGTAGAGACGGGGTTTCTCCATGTTGGCCAGGCTGGTCTCCAACTCCTGACATCAGGTGATCCACCCGCCTCAGCCTCCCAAAGTGCTGGGATTACAGGAATGAGCCACCATGCCCAGCCTAAAAATAAACTCTAATTTCCAATGTCTCACCAACATGGCATTAAGATCTATCTGCTACCAAAGGAATACTTAGATTTTTATACTATCAAATTTCTATTTCTTTTCTTTTGTTTTAGATGGAGTCTCGCTTTGTCACCCATGCTGGAGTGCAGTGGTGCGATCTTGGCTCACTGCAACCTATGCCTCCCGGGTTCAAGCGATTCTCTTGCCTCAGCCTTCCAAGTAGCTGGGATTACAGGCGCGTGCCACCACACCCAGCTAATTTTTATATTTTTAGTAGACATGGGGTTTCACTATGTTGGTCAGGCTGGTCTCGAATCTTGCCCTGGTGATCTGCCCGCCTCGGCCTCCCTAAAGTGTTGGGATTACAGGCATGATCCATCGCACCCCGCCCTCAAATTTCTATTTCTCCCAACTTATAGGTGAGCACTGCCACTGAAGAGATACTTGGTGTTTGTTTGTTTATTTATTTATTTATTATTTAACAACACCAAGAGATACTTGGTGTTGTTAGAGACAGCCTCACTGTATTGCCCAGCCTGGAGTGCAGTGGCGCCATCTTGGCTCACTGCAGGCTTGAACCCCCAGGCTCAAGTGGTCTTCCCACCTCAGCCTCCCACGTGGCTAGGACTACAGACGCACATCACTATGCCCAGCTTATTTATTTATTTATTTATTTATTTATTTATTTATTTATTTATTTATTTTTCTGTAGAGACTGGGTTTTGCTACGTTGCTCAGGCTGGTTTTGAACTCTTGGCGTTAAGTGAGCCTCCTATCTTGGTCTCCCAAAATGCTAGGATTATAGGTGTAAGCCACTGCAGCTAGCACTGTACTTGGTGTTTAAAGGCATTTCTTAACTAGTAAGACTATTTGCCAATATAACTAAAGGGAAAAAACATTTGGCTTTTAGATCACAAATTTTGTTTTACTACCATGTTAGGGTTCATTCAGGAAGTTAATTTTATCAGAAAATCAGCACTTATTGAATTTGAAAATAGCAAGGATACAGGCAGGAGGGAGGTGGAGGAAATGACAAGATAAAATGAAGACATGAGTTGCTGTGGAAGCCTGTAGGGATGAAAAGGGAAGAGCAGTGCAGACCACGCAAGACACCTGGCAAGGAAATAAGAGGAAGGAAGTGAGCCTCACGTGGGCCAATTCACAGAGCTGAAGTAACAGCAGCATGAACATAAGATAAACCCAGTGATCTTATAGGTACCACTGAGACATGACAGATGGAGTGAAACACTTGAATGGAATAAGGGAAAGGTATGCCCAATTCCAAAGAAACAGACTTATTTTAGGAGAGAAAGTGGATGAGACTTATATGTCAGGATATAAACCCACAGGCAACCCACAAAACAAGGACAGAAGTACATGGAAATAAAGGGGCAAGGCAAGAACCAGAAAAAGGAGTGAAACACTGAAGGTATGCAATAGGTTGCCTGGCTAGATCTGACTAGACCAAACAATTTTAAAATGCAGGGTAGCAACCAGGAAGTAGAGATATCCAAGGTACTCAGGAAGTAGAGATATCCAAGGAACACCCTGCTCTTAGGAAATAAGCAAAAAAGGGAATTAAATCCAGAAGTAATGATGGTTATTGCTATATCCAAGACATGAAGAATACTTGCTGGTAGGAGAAACAGAAACAATGCATTCTGCTAGGAGGAAAGGAAAGTTCTGCGGAGGTTTATGTTGTTCTTAGAAGGCGATTTCATCTGACAGAAGGAGGCAGGGAGGCAAGACCTTGTAAGCAGAGGGAAAGGAGCAGGCAGAGGCCTGGAGGCAGGAAAGGGCACAGGAGATCAGCAGAGCCTGCAGTGACCAGCCCCCACTGTGCGTGTGTTAAGGGAAGCAGCGCTGGGAAGTGGGGTGGCAGGAGAGGAGGCTGAGGACTCATCTTACAGGGCTTTGGTAACAAAGGTCTGCTAAAGAACTGCAGACCTAACCCATAGGTACAAGCAGGTTTTCAAACAGAAAAGCTACATGATCTGGTCCTTGTGCGTGCCACGTAGGAAAGATAACTAGACAGCAAGGTGGACGGGAGACAGTGAGGAGGGAGGGAAATTACTGAAAAGACCATGACAACAGTCTGGAGAGGAAAAGGAATCAAATGTGATTCCAAGATTACTTTGTAAAACCTTGGTTGATTAGACGCCAGCTGATGCCATCATAAAAGCAAGAGGCGGAGAAGAAACAGGCTCAGAGGGACCCTTGTCCTGCTGCCCCTCCAGCTCTCCCTCCCAGGAAACTCCCAAGTTTGGTCTTGAACTCCTGGCCTCAAATGATCCTCCCACCTCGGCCTCCCAAAGTGCTAAGATTACAGGTGTGAGCCACCACACCCGGCCTGAAACCTCCAAGAATGGATCACTGCAACCTCTGTTCCCACACCTCGGAGGCTGAGAATTACTGAAGAAAAATCTTATTATCCTCCAGACTTTGTAGGATTCAAACCCAGACATACCTGAGCAGTGTTTGCCAATGCTTTGTCTGATGGATTCCTGGTCAGTTCTCTATACTATCTGTGATGTGCACATGACATGGACATATATGTGTGTGTGAGCATGCGTGTTCATCCGCGGTTCCTCGCTTATGACTCCTACAGCCCTTATTACAGTCTTTTGTTAAAATGTTGGAGAGCTTTAGGCCACTGAATCTCTCTGACTTTCTCCTGCCCTCCTTTCACCCGCTTCTTTTTCTCCCCAAGGCAGGACTCTAATCTTCCCCTCTTCCCATTAAAATGTTCTCTGACCTACCTTGCCTGATTGTGGGTTGGAAGACTTCCATTTTAAAAGGGGTCCTGCCCTATATCCTGGAAGAGGGAATGCTGCACAGAGAGGCCAAGAAGCATCTGCACAGGCCTTGCTGGGTTTCTCCATTCAGTCTGTCACTGAGATCAAACGCTTTTTGCCCAATCACATTTCTACATGGGTGTCCATGCTTCAATCATGCCTATCGAATGAAGCCTCCATAAAAGGCCCAATAGGACAGGGTTCAGAGAGGTTCTGGAGAGCTGAACACATGCAGGTTCCTGGAGGGTGGCATGCCTGGGGAAGGCATGGAAGCTCCACATCCCTTCCCCCATACCTCGCCCTAGGCAACTGTTTATCTGGATCCTTTGCAATATCTTTTATAATAAACCACTAAACTTAAGCGTTTCCCTGAGTTTTCCGTGAGCCACTCTAGCAAATTTATGAAACTCAAGGAGGGGGTTGCAGGATCCCAAACTTATAGCTGGTCAGTCAGAATCACCAGTAAACCACCCTGGAGCCTGCAATTGGCATCAGAAGCGTGAGGCAGTCTTGTGGGACCAGGTGCTCAATCTTTGGAATCTGATGCTATCTCCAGGCGGAGAATATCAGAACTGAATTGGAGGACAACCTGCTGGCATATGCTGCAGAACTAATTGCTTGCTTGGTGTATGGCAAAAAAGCACCCAAGTATTTGGTCATAGCAGTCTTCTGTGTTGATTGTTGCAGGGTGGCAGCAGGGGAAAGGCAGTCTGTGTTGTTTTTTCCCACTCAGACTATCTCCTTCACCACTCCGTCAGCCCTCTCAGCAGCATTCGGCTTTCTACTTCACAGTGGAAGCAGGTATGGCCAGGTGTGATCCCTCATCAGCAGGGACCCATCAACTATGTCTTGCCTCTCTGTCTCATAGAAAGAGGTGTTGTGGCCAGGCGCGGTGGCTCACACCTTTAATCCCAGCACTTTGGGAGGCCAAGGCAGGCGGATCACAAAGTCAGGAGTTCAAGACCAGCCTGGCCAATATGGTGAAACCCCATCTCTACTAAAAATACAAAAATTAGCCGGGTGTGGTGGCAGGCGCCTGTAGTCCTGGCTACTCGGGAGGCTGAGGAAGGAGAATCACTTGAACCCAGGAGGGGGAGGTTGCAGTGTGCAGAGATTGCACCACTGCCCTCCAGCCTGGGCGACAGAGCAAGACTCCATCAAAAGAGGGGAGGGGAGGGGAGGGGAGGGGAGAGGAGAGGAGGTGTTCTTCCTTGGCCTTACCTTCCACTTATGCTCTGATTCATCTCCCACCTTCTTCTTCAAGACCCTGCAAAACGATCAACTCTTCTCATGCCTGTGTTTTCAACTTTTCCTTCTCTGTCATCTCCTAGTTCTCAACATAAACATATCAAATATCTTGCATCTTAAAAGCAAAGAAAAAAGCCACCTTTGACCTATGTTAGTTAGCAAGTGATGAGTGGTGAGAAAAAAAAAATGGAAAGGTGGCTAGGTGAGAGGGGTGGAATCAGAGGCAGAATGGCTAGGGAGGCTTCACGGAGAAGGTGACCAATCAAACCTGAAAGGGAGAGGTCAGCCATGTGGCTTTGCAGGGAAAGGGGAAACCAGGCACAGGGGACACCAAGTGCAAAGGTTGTAGAGCATGAGAGGGGCACTGATGCCTGAAGGGCTGGGCAGTGAAAGATGAGTTAAAAAGGCGACTGGAGAAGAAAAGCCCACATTTAGAGCCAAGAGCAGGCAGGGTCCTTTGAGTCCAAGGAAGAGTGAGTGAATTTCAAGGAGGAATAGCAGACTAAAGAGCCAAGTGCTGTAGAGATGCTTAGTGAACTGAGGCTGGGGCAACCTGTTGCAGCCAGCATTCTGAAGCCACACTGTAAAAGGGATAAGGAATACACGGGAAGTGAGAAAGCAACGGGAAGTGAGAAAGCAACAGCAAGTAAAGACAACTCTTCCAAGGTGTCCTGACAGACACAAGTGAAAGTTCTAGAGCTGGAGCAGAGTACAGGAAGGTTTTATAGGATGAGGGAGACTTCAGGTGGTACAGCAAGAGGAGGAAGCAGGGCAAAGGGAAATGTAAAGGGGCTGGGGTGAATGATTGCTGGGGAAGAGTCTTCCCAGAGGTGAGAAAAGAGCCCAGGAAGAGGGTCTGGCCTGGCTGCTAGAGACATGCACGAACCTTTTCACTCAGAAGCCCCAGGGCTCTCACATGTCCCGTTTCTTCCCAGTAGCAGGTCCAGTGACTTCATCTCAGCCCTTTGCTCTTTAAAACAACTACCACCCCATCCTATCCCTCAGGTTTTCTAGCCAAAGCCTGGCACACAGGGGGACACAAGAATTTCTGGCTCCTACTTCCTCACTGCCTCCAAAGGTGATCAGTCAATATAGGAAATTCTCAGCAGGTGACAAACACAGCCATTTGGGGAGCCAGAGAGTTTATTAGGAATTCTCTGAAATCCTTACAGGCACTGCTCCTAGACTCTCACTCTATTCCCTTATTGCTATGGGCTCCCAGGAACAAAGCTGTCTGCTCCATCCTCCCCAAAAAATGTCATGCAACCAGGCAGGCTGCAGAGACAATCCAGGCAGGAAGACTGGTGCTTCCTTGAGCACAGTAGGTAATGTCCACCCCAGAGGCCCCTTAGGCTGGATGCTGTTCTAACTTAACCAAATATTTTCTATGCAGATAGTGGGACAGACCCTTCTTTTTTTGAGTCAGAGGGCTGCACTCTGTGGGGATGGGAAATGTGAGCGGGCAGCAGAGCAGAGGGCTGTGCACCCGGGGCTGTAGTTTCATGGTTCAGAGAGGAAAGCAGCAAGGAGGAGAGATGGACACGAGGGATGTGACTATGATAGCCAGCTGGGCATTCCATAAAGACCTCTGCTAAACTGTGGTTAAGGTGTAAACTCCAATTTCCAGAAAGCCTCAAGGATAAGTGGATATGTTTATTTCTTCTCATTCATTTATTCATTCACTCCTTTTCCCCTAGTGGTTTTTGGTATGTCCACAAAGTTGTGCAACTATCAATTATCTAATTCCAGAACATTTTCGTCACCCAAAAAGAAACTGAAACCCATTAACCATCATTCCCCATTCCCATTCATTCATTTCTAAGGCCGGGCTAGGGTAACCCTGTAAGTTCAACAGCAGAGTACATGTTAGAGAATACAACTTTAGAGAAACAAGATGCTGGAGAAGTGAAGTTCAATTTCCTGCAGGATCTGCTGGGAGCCTGAATCAACGAAAAGCGAATAAAGGTCCTAGCTTGTCAGGCTGACAATTTTCCCTCAGAGACTAAGGCAAAGCCACAATGCTTGACTAATTGAACAGAATGGGTAGCTGTTACTCTGAACCCAGTCCTGCCCAATAAGGAGGAACTGGCAAGGAGAGAGTAGGCCCTGATAGCCAGGGAGGCGCAGTCTGGATACAGGTAGCCATGTACTTCAGACTTCATAAAAGCAGAAGTGACTCCATGACATGGGAGATGGGCTCACACCTCATAACCCACTGGACACCAAAGAATATTTAGGATGCTAAGTTGAGAATTTTTGACTCAGAAGACACATGATAACTGTTATCTAGTAACTGATAGGTTGTCAAATGAGACACTAGATTTGTTCTATAGGGGCCCGAGAGGCATAAATGGGACTAATGAGTGGAAAATTACAGGAAGAGAGCACTGTTTCAGATCATTACAGGGAAGGATTTCCTAATAGTCAAGCAATCTTAAGGCAGAATGAATTGCCTCTAAGGTAGAAAGTTCAAATGCAGTCTGGACATTCCATAAGTGGATGCAGTGGAGGTAATTCGAAAACCAGAGAGTGATCTGACAACTGTGGCATTCCCACACTTCAGCGTTGAGGTCAGCTGTGAGGTATGCTGCAAGTGATCTGTACAATAATAAAACACTGAGGCACACGATTTACTGTCTCCAGATTCTGGGTTATCACTATAACGCCACTCCTATTCACTTACATTACTAAATATTTTCTTGAACAAAGGTGAAAAACTCTACATTGCTGGGTAATGCTCATGGGAGTGTTCTCCTGAAGTGTGTTTTTAGGATAAGAAAAGTGGAGAATTACCAGGTTGGAAACCAGTAGAATCCCTTCCAAGCTGAGATTTCATGAAGATAGGTGGCACCCTCTCCTCCGCCTGCAACCTAATTATGATCTATTGGTAGACAGGTGGTCACTGTGATTTGCTGAATTGATCACTGGAGTGTCTCACCTGACAGACACTGGTAACAAGTCCTGGGAGTACATCTGAACTCTACCAAAAGGGAAAGTAAGGACTAGGTATGTTATATTTGTCTGCTTTTCACAGAATGGTCATTCAGATAATTTTAATGAAACCAAAGGAAAGTTAAACTTTACACTTAAAAAAAAAAAAAAAAAAAAAAAACTACAGATGATATAAATAGACCGAGAAAACACTATTTGTTTTTTGAAGCATTGAACATTTTTCCCCCTAAGCAAGAATTGACATGAACTGGTAACTACCTCAACCTGAACTTAGCCAACCTCACCCCAATCCAAACTGGAATTGACTTTCCCTTTTCAACTCCTTGGATAAATGGCCCTGGCAGAAACTGTTGTCACAAAGGCCAACTGTAGAAGTGCCACCATAAAACTGTTTGCCTGACCAACTCAGGCCGTTTCAGAGTCTTCCCTGACTCCTTTTCCATGTCCTTTTCCTGCTGCTCTGCCAAACTGCTCCTCAGGAATGCAAGAAAAACTAAGTGGATGGAAGGTATCTGATCACCTGGTGCAGTAGGCTACTGAGCGGCCTGTGATTTCTGGCACCTCATAATATTTTTGTATTACAAAATTTTTTCATTATACAACTATTATTGCCACATTATAAAAATTTGGGAACTAGAGAAAGGAAAAAAAATCACTTATGATCCCATCATTCGAATGAAATCACTGCATTTTGGTGCATTGCTTCCTCTCCTCCCGGGCTCTTTGTATATAGTTCCACGGACTGCA
This sequence comes from Homo sapiens, assembly GCF_000001405.40. Classification (NCBI taxonomy): domain Eukaryota; kingdom Metazoa; phylum Chordata; class Mammalia; order Primates; family Hominidae; genus Homo; species Homo sapiens. The sequence continues at coordinate 232,213,074 of NC_000002.12, read as the reverse complement.
TCTATTTAGCTTGTTTATACACACCTCAGCTCCCCTACAAAGAATTTGCAGCAACTAACATAAATAACATCAGACAGACAACTCCATGCCAACATACTCTCTCCCAAACCAGCTTGTACTCCTGATTCCCATTTCTAACTTATGGGTTCCATCTCCCAGTCATCCAGGTTGAAACCTTGGCACCATCTTGGACTCCTCTCCCTCAACCCCAACATTCATTTCCATAGATTCTTCTGTCATTATCCCTTTCTCACATCTGTCCTTCCCACTCCAACCCCCCCTATTGATTTTGCTACCATCTAGTCCAGGTCCACAACTATTGCAATATTTCTCTGACTCATTCCCCAGCCTCTAGTTTCTCTCCTTTTCCTTGCAATGCTAAATTATTTTCCTCTTTTTGAATGCTCTCTTGCTGAACAACATCTGCTTGCCTTTCCATTGTCCAACAAACAAAAAACACTATTTGGTCTGAAAATTTGTCCCGAGTTTGTCCCCAATCTATCTTTCCTATCATATCTTTGACCACTTCCTTTATGAAACCTCTGCTGACACACTTGGGCCCTAGACATAAAACCACAGTGTATGCAGTGAGTACGGCAGGACATGTGCCTGCTCCCTGGAGACCCTGCAAGGTGCAGGGTTCCAGGCCAGCTGAGACAGAGGAACAGGTAGTAGATGTATCCGTCTGCTATTATCAACTATGAAAATGGACAAAACAAATGAAGCAATTGTGTCTAAGCATTACACAAACAGTAGAGGTGTGAACCTAGAGGTAAGGCAAATATGAGGAATGAGGTCCACGGTCACCTGGCTTTCAGCCTAGGGGCACTTTCCACACTGTGGCTCAGGGAAGTGGTGTCTATATGCCGAGCAGGTATGCCTAAGCCTCTGCATGCAACAGAGATTGCTAAGAATGTAAGAAATCAAGCCAGTACTTGCTTTTTGAAGTAGGCTGCTTCAATTTTGGATTTTAAAAAGATATAATTTCTCTAAAATTTCCAGGGGACCTTTTCTCTTGTTTCTTTCAGTTTTCTTTAGTTGAAAATATTGAGGCTCAGCACAGTGGCTCGTGCTTGTAATCCCATAGTGGCTCGTGCTTTGGGAGGCCCAGGCAGGAAGACTGCTTGAGCTTGGGAGTTCAAGGCTGCAATGAGCCACTGCATTCCAGCCTGTGTGACAGAGTGATACTCTGTCTCTAAAAATCGATTAATTAATTAATTTTTAAAAAGAAAATATTGAGCAATCTTGCCCATAGTTTCAAGGAAGATAAAACCAGTCTTAGGCAATGTCTTCTATCTCTCAGCCTTCTATCTACTAAGCTTCCCCATCTATTATAGTAGAGAAGAGATTACATACTGAACCTACGGCGTTCTGTGTCAGTGGGAAATATGAACATCTTTGCAATGTTTTAAAACACTAGGCCACTAGGCCATCAACGCTTGGTGGCAGACTGAAACTGCAAGGGTGGATGTCCACATTGGGCAAATGTCAAAGGCCATGTTAGTGCCAAGGCCATCTCTGAGGATGACCAAAGCCAAAGCAGTCACCCAGAAGCCACCCTAGAGAGGGGCAAGAAGTAGGTAAAAACTAGAAGCAGCACATCTGGGGCATTAGAAAAGGGATTGGGGGTGCTGGGCATGGTGGTTGACGCCTGTGATGCCAGAACTTTGGGAAGCTGAGGTGGATGGATCACTTGAGCCCAGGAGTTCAAGACCAGCCTGGACAACATGGTGAAACCCCATCTCTACCACAAATACAAAATATTAGCCAGGCTTGGTGGCACACACCTGTAGTCTCAGCTACTTGAGAGGCTGAGGTGGGAAGATCACCTGAGCTTGGAAGATTGAGGCTGCAGTGAGCTATGATCATGCCACTACACTCCAGCCTGGGCAAAAGAGTGGGACTCTGTTGAGAAGAGGAGGGGAGGGGAAGGGAGGGGGAGAGGGGGAGGTGGAGGAGGAGGAGGGATTGGAAGGGTTCACTTTTCTCATATCCTACACATTTTTTCTTTGAGAGTCAATTGCTGCATTCCCTTCCTCCAACTATAATTTCCAAAGACAACTAGCCTCAATCCCACTTTTACCTGCTCAGTAACATCCCAAAAGAATGTTTAAAGAGCCCTTATCAGTTTGCCTTTCTCAACTTGCTGGATAGATGAAAACCTACTGGGAGTAGCCCAAGCTTCTCCAGCTCAGCCCTAGAGAGGCAGTTCTCAGGGAAGGTGTTCCTGCTACCCACCGAGAAGCATGCCTTTGAAGAGTACCCCTTCAATCACGTTATTTGGTGTTAAATTCAGGTAAAGAACCCTATGTCTCTCCCAAGCAGAGCCCTTACAAGCTTTCTTTCTGTGATACCTTACACCAACACTGGAACCATCTGAAGGGCCAAGGCTTGGAATTCATTCTTTAGCACTCACTGTTGCCCCTTCTGAAGCCCAAGAAGAGTCTAGTGGGAGGACATTTCTCATTCTCACCCTCACCAATGTCACCACAGGAACACAATCTTAAGGTCACATAGTTGTAAAGGCTCAGAGGCCTATGGCAAGTTCAGGCACGAAGCAAACCTAGCCTTGCACAGTATGCTGCCTAGGCAGCACAGGGCAGCCAGGCTAACCACACAGGCATGCAGACTGCCTGCTACCCAAGATGCTATAGAAATTTCCATCCTACCGTCAGCGAGTGGCTTGCAGGAGAGGGCATCATCGAGGTCTCGGGCGGTTGATGGGTCAATGGTGAAGATACAGTCTTTTCTAGGAAAGAGTGAAGAAACAATTAGCAATGCCACAAATAATAGCAACTTTACCCCACCATAGTACAGCTTTAAAGAACAGTGAATTTTGCATATGTGCTCTGTTAGGGAAAGTGAAAAATAACTTCTACGAGAATGAGATCTTTAGTTAAATGTGAGACTGAGAAGAGACAAATGGGTGAGTGACTTTCTCTTCCTCTGTGTGAACTGGCACCTACTTCTCCTTCACCCCAAGCCAGAAGAGATGTGAGTGGGTGAAAATCAGGCTGCTTCCATGAACGAGGCTTCTCAAGAAGAGTTGGCCAACAAGAGGGGCAAGTTACTTTGGTAAATTACTCTTCAATTTACACTTTGGTAAAATATCCTTCTCCAGTGACTTGTGATACAGGGGGATGGGACCCAACAATAAGCTTCGCAAAAAAACTTTGGGCCGTAGAGTTAACCATAATAGAAGTCTACCTGGAAACAGCACAAATCACAGTTTGTTTCCACAGAATAATTATATATTTCAACCAAGCTCATACCAAGTACACCATGTGCCCATTTATCTTTGCACAATATCCTTACGAACATCACACTCTTACCCTGTGAAACTCCCAGACATTCTCATTCTGTTTTACAGTTTCCCATATAGCATGCCTGACTCAATCCACCCATTCCCACCATGTAAACACCTAAAGATCTTGGCAGCAGCTGTCCTTGGCTCTCCATACCTCCAGCCTTTCCTGCCCGAGGACTGCCTGGAGATTGGGGTATTCTGCAGCAACTGCCCTTCTGCCCCCATGCCACACTCTAGTCGGTGCTCACTGCTTCCTAGGTTCTTCCTCCACTCCATCCAGTACTAGCAGTGCACTGCCACCATTTCTCTGTCTTTTCCTCATTCATCAACACTGATGATGTTGCCCATACTTGTACTAACCATGGTAAGACAGGCTTTGTTCTTAAAGACTTCTTCCCTGGTGTTGCTCCTCTGTTCAAAACCTCCTTGGCAGCAGTGAGCTATAATTGGGCCACTGCACTCCAGCCTGGACAATAGAGCGAGACCCTGTCTTCAGAGGCTGCCAAGCTGCTCTAATGCTGGCCTGCCACAAGCTCTTGGGACCTTTCTCTATCCGACTCTTAACTGTCCACTTACCCTACTCCTAGTAACTCCCAACAGCCCTCTCTAATCCTAACCACAATACTTCCATCCTAAGAGAGTATTAATTATAAGATGCGCCATCAATTCTGTAATAGCTTTTGGAGAAATAAAAACCCCACCACATTAAATATATACATTAATTTTAAGATACTTCAGAATTTCAGAAATGTCAAATGTTTAAAAAATAATAATAACCTTTTTTTTTGTATGGCTCACTGCAGCCTCAACCTCTTGAGCTCAAATAATCCTCCCACCTCAGACTCCCAAGCAGCTGACAGTATAGGTGCATGCCACCACACTGGAGTAGTTTTAAAACTTTTTGTAGAAACAGGATCTCACTCTGTTCCCCAGGCTGATCTCAAACTCCTGGCTTCAAGGGATCCTCTCAACTTGGCCTCCCAAAGTGCTGGGATTACAGGTGTGAGCTACGATGCCCAACCCAAAAAGTAATCTTAAATGGTAAATGGATAACCAGACTGTGGTATACCCCCAAAATGGAACAGTATTTAGCAACAAAAATTAACAAATTATTCATAAATGCAACAGCCTGGATGAATCTCAAAGGTATTGAACTAAGTGAAAAGAGCCACTCTCAAAAAGAAAACAAAGCACTTTGGGAGGCCAAGGTGGGCAGATCACCTGAGGTCGGGAGTTCAAAACCAGACTGGCCAACATGGTGAAACCCCGTTTCTACTAAAAATACAAAAATTAGCCGGGCATGGTGGCACACGCCTGTAGTCCCAGCTACTCAGGAGACTGAGACAGGAAAATTGTTTGAACCCGGGAGGTGGCGGTTGCAGCGAGCCAAGATTGTGCCACTGCATTCCAGCCTGGGCAACAGAGCAAGACTTGGTCTCAAACACAAAAACAAAAAAGGGTGGGGGGAGGAGAGGGGATAAGAAGAGGAGAGGAGAAGAAGAGGAGAGGAACGGAACGGAATGAAAACAGAGATAAGACAGAGAGCAGATCAGTGGTTGCCAGAACTGGGAAAGGTACGCTTGTGCGGGGGCAGCAGGGGGAGTGGAACTAAATCTATGCATGTCTTAAAATTCACAGAATTTTACATACAGCAAAAGAAGGTCAATTTTAATGTTTACTATTTTTTTAAAAAATTCATGTGACTTTCAAATCAAGAAGAGTAAAACATATATGTTAAATATTCATAGGGTTGATCGACGGGTGCTAGATTTATGGATTAATTTTTTTCCCTTTAATGTGTACTTTTTCATATTTTTAAAATTTTTCACTGCAATTGAATATTACTTTTGTAAATGGAAAAAATCAAAACTATAGAGAATCTTCCTTAATCAAAAAACAATTGATCAGATATGTATTATTGTTTGTTTGTAAATATATTGTTTGTACATATATTTAGCTATCTTGTAACATTTGTTACAAGATGCATTTGGCTTAATATAGTTAATGGCTTTAAGATTATGGATCTGGTAAAAACTGTGTCCCTACTGGACACTAAGAAAATAGGGCAGGGAAAGGTAGGTGCCATTCAGGTGGAGGGAACGAGAGCATTTAGAGTGCAGATCCCAGAAAGGGTGATTAATCAGGAGACCCACTCTCCCTCTAAATATTTCGAGGAGAGTCACACACAGTGTAGGCAACATGAAGGTTGAAGCCTCAAGATATACAGAAGTAATTTTGGTTCCACTATATAAAAGAGGTTGTAAGCAAGAGTGCCAGAGGAGAAGAGAAACACTGATCTCCTGGAATGCGTGCTCCGAGGGCTGTGTTCCCAGAGCCTTGAACAGAGGCTGCACCTCAGACATGTTTGTTGAATGAACAGATTGATGGTAATAGGAAGTGCCCAGGAGGTGAAATCAGACCTGGCACCACAGCAATGGGCTGTAATTGATGAGGATCTTGAACTTGGCTCACAAGGTAAAGAAGGAAGTGTCCACTTCTTTCTCCTTTTGATATCTCCCATAAAATCTAACCAAATGTTTTATATACACTGAGTACTCAATAAAAAATACTGGTATAACTGAAACTAAAAAGTCAGACATGGTAGTAGGAATGTTTGGGTCTTCTTCTTTTATCATAATGACATCATAAAAAGCCAAAAAAATGTTCCCCTAGTCAAAATCAAAAAGAACTCCATTAGCTTGGTTGGAGGTGGGAAGCCATCGTTTACTAGGTTACTTGGAGGGTTGACTAGGAAGTTTTAATTTCTTAAAATTAAACGTCTCTGGGTGCTTTGAGACTTTCATTTCTATGGATCCAGTGCATGAATGATAATTCCCATTTAGACATTTCCAGCCTGAAGTTGATCCCACCATATGTGACCGTGTAAGACTTTGTTAGTTTGTAAATGTCTTCTTTGGGAGCCCCCACAACTGCTTTCTAAGAAAAATCCTAGACTAGCCTGTAAGGACTCAAACCAACTCTCTATTACCTTTAACACTTTTTAAAAATCTGCTCTTAAACCAGAAACATAAAAGTCTAAATTAAAATGGAACCTGACAAACAGTACTCAGGAAGGCTTGCTTGCTGGAAAGATAAGCCATCCAAACATTATTCCTGATCAGGAATTGGCAAACCATACTACACTGGTCAAATCTGGCCTGCCACTTGTTTGTGAGTGACCTGCAAGATGAGAACAGTTTTTGCATGTTTAAATGACTAAAAAATAAAAAATCAAAAGAAGAATACTATTTTGTGACACAAAAATGATTGTGGAAATTCAAATTGCACTACGCACAAATAAAGCTTTATTGTACACAGCCACACTTTTTCTATACAATGGCAGTGTTGACCAGTTGTGACAGACAGCTGTTTTAATTGTGCCTGAAATATTTCCTATGTGACCCTTCACAGGAAGTTTGCTGACCCCTGTTTTAGATCAACGTTTCTGAATGTGCCAATTAAGTGTTTTAATTTTTTTAAAAAAGATCTTATGATTAAATCAGTTTGGGAAATACTGGGCTGATTTCTTAACTGTAGGACTTCGAGGAGCCTTTAATATGCCGGTATCAACAGTTCTTGACCAACTCATTTGCTCCTGGCACTTCTTTGTGGGACAGCATCTCCCAGAACCAAGATTCCTCAAGGGAGCACCTTTGGAGATGCGAAGAACTGCACTGAAATGCCCTGCACAGGCCTCCCATGGTGCCCTTGTCCTACTTGGGGCTTTGCCACCAAGCCTACCCCAAGGGACACTGCAAGAAGTCAACCAAATGACTATGCTATCACTGTAGGGAAGCAGGGAGAACAAGGGCCCATTTGACCATGTAGTATCCTTTTATAGAGTACACTTATGGGGGAAGTTGATGCAGTATAAGGAAACACTCTACTTGTGACAATCTGTATCTTACAGACACACAAATTTTATCCTTGATGGCTTCCCTTTTTATGCTATATGAACTGTCTGCTGTACAAAATAAAATAAATAAACTTTAAAAAGTTTTCCTTTTTGCTTTGGCTGCTAGGAAACTCAGAAAACCTTCCTAACTTGCCTCTAGGAGATTTTATTTATAGTTTGCACTTTGTGAACTAACCCTTATCCTGGCTGTGCCTAATTTTCCTACTCACGTGTTCCTTTTACCTCATTTCCTAATTTTTAAAAAAACACTTGCTGGGCACGGTGGCTCATGGCTGTAATTCCAGCACTTTGGGAGGCCGCGGTGGGCAGACTGCTTGAGTCCAGGAGTTCAAGACCAGCCTGGGCAACATGGTGAAACCCTGTTTCTACAACAAATACAAAAATTAGCCATTGTGGTGGCATGAGCATGTAGTCCCAGCTACTCAGGAGACTACTCCTGAGAAGTAGGAGTAGTCTACTATTACTTCCAGTTAGTAGTAGAAGTGGGAGAATCGCTTGAGTCTGGGAGGCAGAAGTTGCAATAAGCTGAGATCACGACACTGCACTCTAGCCTGGGTGATAGAGCAAGACCCTGTCTCAAAAAACAAACAACAACAAAAAATTCACTGCATTTTATATATATATATATATATATATATATGTAAACTGCCTTCAAATATTTTTGGATAAAAGCAAGGTATAACTAAATACATATGTATATTGAGAGATTACAACATTCCAGAATCATGTGTTGAGGGGATGCTGGAAGACAGAAAGATGCAGCCTAGACTACTAAGAGAACGAACCTCTTGACAGCAAAACTCAGAGGGCTCTCAGAAAGTATTTCTACTGTAGCAGCAGACTCCAAGCTTCCTCTCTCACTATGGAAAATTGGGAGAAGCAAAGGAACGGTGAGTGACCCTGACAAACCCCAGTCCTCAGTGCTGAGAGCCAGTGATTTAATCTGTTGTCATCACCGCAATTACGAGCCTGCCACGATGTGCTGCATGAGGGCTCCTTCTGCTTGCAAGCCGCAGTGGCTAGGAGCTGCTGGCCTCAGCACTTGGGAGCCCAGCCCCGTGCGGTGGGGTTGAGGGTGATGGAGGCGGTGCACTGTGCAGCTGTTACACTCAGTTAACATGCTTGGGATTTTACTGGCTCCTTTTCTGGAAGGCTTTGGTCTCACAACCTGCAGGGAGCAGCCTGGCCTGCCAGCTTTTAGAACCTGTGAGACCAAATATTTAAAGAGTTCCACAACAATGGTTAGAAAGAAGTTAACCCTGACCCGCAGAAAATACAGTGCCAGGTGGGGGAGGGAAAGAATGAGACTCCAGTTCATGAGGCTGCAGAATTCCAATTCAGAGCAATGTTATGTAACCAAAATTTCTGAAGGCACGTGACTGAAGGGCTTAGAAGAACTTTTTAAAGAGACAGAAAACTTCTAAGATTGTGTTTTACCCAAAGCCATTGGTCTGGGAATGAACACATGAAGAGTAAGTCTTCTATAATCCCTTAAAACCTCGCCAAGAACCCTAGGAAATAACAAAAGCTTAGAAATAATTTCTGTTCCTTTGTCACTTACACTCTTCCTCTGACCCTGCACCCTCAGCCTCCTCAAGGTATTAACATCTCTACCTCCTTTAAGCTGGAAGAAGCTGTCTAGTCGCCACAGCAACATTTACTCACCACTTTGTCATTATTCACCTCACTGGATTTTGGTCATGGCCCCTACCACATCACAGAAACTGTTCTCCCCAAGGTCGCAGATGCTGCCAGATTAAGCATCTTAAAGCATGCATTGGTCAAAAACCTTCATCAACTCCTTACCGAGAAAAATACAAAGTCAGCTTAGGATTTAAAGCCCTTCATGACCCAGCCCCAACCTGTACTTTTCCAGTTAGACTGCATGCTCCCGCTATGTCCCTCGTGTGCTAAATTCTTCTCTACACCCTCTGCTTTCTGAAATGTTGTTTGTGCTGTTCCTATAGTGGGCTACTTAACTCTACCAATCTCCAATGTCTAAGACCTACCTTGCAGTTAAAGGCCTGCCTGCAATGCCAGCTTTTTTCCAGTAAACCCTCACAGCCCCAAAGAATAGAAGCTATCTCTCCCCCATGCGCCCTACCCATGCCTGCAACCTGCCTCTCTCTGATGGCAACAGCCACTGTCTCTGGCATGTTGGTGGCCACTTATGGACATGTCTTATCGCTGTGACAGGCTGGGAGCCAGTATCAGGTCTGGTAATGAGATTGGACTGTCTTTATATCCCTTCCAGCACATTGAAGGCACATATGTAATGAATAGCTGATGGACAGATGAATGAAAAAACGACCAAAGGGCTCTTGTGGAGCACTTTTCCACTCAATTTTGCCACTGTGTCTTGGGAAATACATTTAGGATTAGAACTCATGACTTCCTGGCATTCAATCCTGTGGTCACACCACAGTGTTATTGTTTCCAAGGGTGTCCTTTTCTGTCTTCATCCCATCTTCTTTTCTCATAAAACAGTGTTTTACAAACTGTGGTTCAGGGACCACTTCCAGATTAGCAAAATTTATAGAGGCCCTCCTCTGTCCGTGACTCTGGGTCTGTCTCCGTGCTAGCAAGCAATTCTGGGGAGGAGGATCTGGGTCAATGATGAAGAATGGGTGAAAAGGAATGGAAAAAAAATTAAGAAATAACCTTAAGTGGATAAAGAATAAAACTTTCAGTCCAACACTTTCTTAGATTAGATGGCATCACAGTTTATAAAGAAATCAGCAAATTTTATGTAAACTGTAGAAGGAAAAACAACTGAAGAGCTGGATCATTCACCCACAGGGATGTGTTCCCAATTGTACCATTGCAGAGAGCCCAGCCAGATGGGTGCTGTGACATTCCAGTACAATCAGATGCTGAATTCATCTAAGCCTCCATTTCACAGAGCTGGGATCATCATTCAAACCTAGGTCTGTCCCCTTGCTCAGTGGGGCTGCGCCTTTTCTTTTTTTCGACGGTAGTTGCCAATATCATAATACTGTTTCACGCACTTCTACTCACACAAAAGATGCTAAGAAGCAGACACAAAACACAAATTTTTCACAACAGGAAAAGTCTATGGTCTATTTAGAGCAGAAAGTGACCTTGGTCCATTTGCCTCCACTTCCCCAGCCTCACCACACTCAGTGGTAAAGTGACACTTAATGAGGCCATATGGCCAGTAGAAAGAAATGATGCAGCACTGTGGGCAGGCCCTTTTCACTGGAGCAGGTGTTTCTAACCTCGGGTCCTCAGAAAGGTCAACTCAAGCGTTAGCAGAATTCTACACCAAGTGAATGTGTTTATTAAGTTCTGTTATTTTTTAAAGGATAGTGATGAAACTTAATCCAAACAAACTGAAATGTTCTGCCATGTTACATCCCTTTACTCATTGGTTCTACTCACCGGTTCAATGAACCTCTCATCGTTCTATGTTTTTTTTCTGTTTGTTTGTTTTTGAGATGGAGTCTTGCTCTGTCGCCAGGCTGGAGTGCAGTGGCGCAATCTCTGCTCACTGCAACCTCCGCCTCCCAGGTTCAAGCGGTTCTCCTGCCACAGCCTCCCAAGTAGCTGGGACTACAGGTGCGTGCCACCACACTCAGCTAATTTTTGCATTTTTAGTAGAGATGGGGTTTCACCATGTTGGCCAGGATGGTCTCAATCTCTTGACCTCGTGATCCACCCACCTCGGCCTCCCAAAGTGCTGGGATTACAGGCGTGAGCCATCACGCCTCTTTTTATACTTTAAAAAAACAACATCCTGAAGCAGAGGACAAAGGACAGGACGGGTCTGGGACTGTGGGAGCCAGAGATCAAGGGATGGGCCAGGAAAGCCATGGTTTAAACCCAGAAAATATGTTCAAATTCATTTTCTTCCCCTTAATTTTCATTTGAAGAATGTTAAACTTTCAGGAAAGTTGAAAGAATAGTAAAATGAACATCCATATACCCTTCATCAAGATTCATCAAATTTCAACATTTTTCCATATTGGCTTTATCTTTTTTCCTCCTTCCATCCCTCCCTTCCTGTGTCTAGCTGGTTGTTTTGTGTGTTTATTTTTGACATCTGAATTACCAAGAAGTATGTCACAGAGATGGTGATACTTTCCCTCTCCATACTTTAACATGCATTGTCCAAAACTAAGGGCATTCTTCCATAGAACCACAACACTAACACCACAGTCAAGATTAATACTTTCATATCACCCAATTCATAGACCACGTTTAAATGTCTTTGACTGTTCCTAAAAAGTCTCTTTTGCTTTTAGTTTTCCTCCTGATCCAGGATCTAATCAAAGTTTCCACAATGTATTTGGTAGTTATGTCTCTTTAGCCTGTTTCTTGCTCAACTATCTTTTGTTTTTCAAATATAACATTGCTTTTTTATTCTGAAGAGTCCAGGTCAGTTGTCTTGTAAAGCGTCTTATGTTCTGGATTTATTAGATTGTTTCCTCACAGAAGGAGGAAGAAAGGGATAGACAGAAATAAATCAAATGTGACAAAATTCATCTCCTCTGTATTTCCTATAAATGGAAAGTTGGGTAAAAAGGCTTGACTAGATTCATGGTGAACATTCTGGCCTCAAATTTTCACAGGTGATGATGTGCATACCTTCAGAAGGCACAAAATGTTAGGCTGCCAGGTTGGATTACTTGGTTAAGGTGCTAATAGCTAGAACTGTGTATGTTAAGGCTACCTTTTACCCTTTGTAAATAATAAGAAACCTACAGAATGAGACTTAGAGATCATGTGAATATCCTGCTCTCAAAAACCCTTTTGGGGCCAGGCACGGTGGCTCACGCCTGTAATCCCAGCACTTTGGGAGGCCGAGGCGGGCAGATCACCTGAGGTCAGAAGTTCGAGGCCAGCCTGGCCAACATGGTGAAACTCCGTCTCTTCTAAAAATAGCCAGGCGTGGTGGTCGGCACCTGTAATCCCAGCTACTCGGGAAGCTGAGCCAGGAGAATTGCTTGAACCCAGGAGGCGGAGTTTGCAGTGAGTTGAGATCGTGCCACTGCACTCCAGCCTGGTCAACAGACAAGACTCCATCTCAAAAAAAAAAAAAAAAAAAAAACCTTTTGGTCAATGGTTTCAGCATCTAGATGACTTGACTTTTGCCTGAATGAATCATAGCCTTGTAAATTATAAAATGTTTGCTAATCCTATAATATCTCCTACATTTGCTGGCTATCTTCTATTAAAAGAAGTTTTTTCCTGCCCCCAATTTTTTTTTTTAGTGTCATTACAAATTCATTGATTTTTTAAAAAAATTCACTGTGTTATAATCCATTACCACGACTACCACTACTATTCTTTTTGATACATAAATTTTCCCAAATTAGGCTGGTGGGAGCCCTTTCAAGTGAGCCTCTATATCCCTGTGGCAAGTCTCACAAGCTGTACAATCCCTGCCCCAGGTTTATAATTACCGACTTCCCTAAGGAGCCCAAATTCCTTCTGGTGGGAATGGCATTTAGAAACCAGGATGGGGCATAAGATATGCTCATTGCCTCCAGGCCCTTTCAGCTAGCAGAGTTAGAAAATGTTGGGTTGAATCACATGAAATTGTTAATATTTGACTATTTGTGGCCTAAAAACTGGCAATTTCATGTGGTTCAACCTAAATGCTGTTTAAAAATCATGAGTTCATATTGACATCCCCAACTGAAATCTAATACCATAAAGTTCTTATCTCCCCCATTCCATATTTATATCTTTCTTTTTCCAGTTCCCAATGGCCTTGATATTCAAAACTGTTTCAGAATTACAATGCCAACACCACTCACAACAACAAACCTATTAAGTTTGATTTCTTTGGTGGTTTATCCTTAGAATATACTCACTATGGGTATATAGTTCGAGTGCTTAAAAGTTACTTGAATTCTTTTTTCTGTAGGTGCTGATGCTATACATTTGAAAAACATTAGGCCCATTTGTTTTTGCTTGATTTCAATTTTAGAAATTTTGCTTTTACCACCTTTTAGATTATATTACTGAATATTTAAAACTTTAAATGGTTCAAAAGTTAGCATACTCAAAAGAAGTCTCATTCCCATCTCTATCATTCCCCCAGCTCTTACCTCTCCCCTATAAATAATTATTTTCATCATTTTCTGGTTTACCCTTTCTGTGTTTGTTTTCCTTTTTCATACATATATAGATAGATACATTTTTCTCATTTTCTCTTCTTTCTTACACAAATAATCAAATACTATTACTTCTCTTTTCATTTTGCTTTTTGCACTTAATAATAAATCCTGGAAATCACTCTGTATCAGTTCAGGGACCAGAATCACAGAATAATCAAATTGGAAGGTTACCCTACTCCAAATCTTATCCTCTGAATGTCCCCAAACAAAAACCAAGCACACAGATAAACCCACATCTTGAAAGCTGGGATGGGGAGGTGAGAGGAAGAGTTCACTGCATCATTAGGCAATAATTAGATAGCTCTACCTGTTAGGAATCACCTTTACACACTGAACTGAAATCTGACTCCGAGAAACTTCAAAATTCAGGCCCTTCATGGCCACAAAGAATTAGCTGACTCCCTCTGATACCATACAGCTCTTCAAACATGACTTTTTTCAAGAAATATGCCCATTCCTTTCTTTTCTAAACTGTTTATAACTGTGAATAATTGTAGCCTTTTTCATAAAATTTCACTTACTTAGTGTCAAGAACAAGTCCAAGTTGTAGGAACCAGTAGAACATCAATGTGAAGAAGATATCAGAGGTCAAGAGAAAGACAAGAAATGCTACACCCAACAAATATTTAGTGGCTATCTACTGCTTTCGGGGTTTGGGACACATTTGAGAACAGACAAAGATTTCCACGGGGAGGAGACAGAAAATAAACAGTGCTGAAATTCATTGCTATGGAGGAAAAAAAAGAAACATTAGAATACAGTAAGGGGCACTGAAAGTACTGATTACAATTATGAATAGGATATACAGGGTAGGCTTCACTGAGAAGATAGCATGTGAACACGACTCAAAGGAGGTGTAGAAGTAACGCGTGGGCTATCTGGGGAAGAAGAACTTGGGCAAAGGCCCAGAATCCACGAAGTTAGTTTACCTGAAAGCACTGAACTACTGGGCACAACTCAACCAAGAGAGTTTGTATGCAGGGCAGAGATGGCTTGGTCTCTGACTCTTTTATTTCCTGTCCAAGAAGATTTATAGCTAGGCTTGCTGGTGTTCAGAATGCAGCTTTCCATGCCTAAGGGTGCAATGAGGGCAGCCGAGTCCCACCAGGCCAGAAAGTCTCTCTATCCGAAGCTCTCTCTGAACATCTCTTTCTTCTTTTATCTCTGGTAGTAGTTTACCTATAATCCAGATTTAAAATATCAGATTGCAGTTACTTTAAAACAGCCTATGAGAATACTAATTAATACAAATTAAGTTTTAAAATCAAACAAAACAAAGGGGCTGTAAGCTTCCAGGAAATAATACCACAGAAGGATCAAATACCTAAGCCCCTAAATATAAAGTGTTAAGAGTTAAAGTATAAAAAGTTCTATACAATCTATAAAATCTTCTCAGATTTTATAAACATAGGAGAGGTCTTCAACATACGAGAAATCTTATTCTCATTAAAAACACTTTTTTTTCTCTATTTCCTAGAGATGGCCCTTAAGGGGATAGAATTATAACAATGGTGGGTGTTATTTTTACTCTCACTTTGTGGGTGGGGAAACTGAGGCCCAGACGGATTAAGTAACTTGCTCAAGGTCAAAGAAGCCCAAGGTCACAGAACTGCAGAGCTATGACTCAAAGGGACAGGAATTCACCAAACAAGTCAATTAGACCAAGTTCTATTTCAATGAGAGTTGAAATCTCCCCTACTTCTACCCTTAATTCCAGACTTTTCTTTTTTTTTTTTTTAATGAGATGGAGTCTCACTCTGTCGCCCAGGCTGGAGTGCAGTGGTGCGGTCTCCGCTCACTGCAACCTCCGCCTCCCCTCCCGGGTTCAAGTGATTCTCCTGCCTCAGCCTGCCAAGTAGCTAGGAGCACGTGCCACCACACCTAGCTAATTTTTATATTTTTGTAGAGACGGGGTTTCACCATGTTGGCCAGGATGGTCTCAATCTCATGACCTCATAATCTGCCTGCCTCAGCCTCCCAAAGTGCTGGAATTACAGGCTTGAGCCACCGCGCCCAGCCAGAATTCCAGACTTTATCTTAAGATTTAAAAACTCTGGATGTATTTTGGCAAAAGTAATAACTTATCCCAAATCTCTACAAGAAAAAGTTTCTCTGTGGTTGACTAGGTTGACAATGACTTCATTTTAGGTACCCCATCCAAACCTGAAAACTTCCCATCCTCAACCTGAAAATCTCCATCCAGAGTTCTGATATAGTTTCTTCACAGTAGATACTCCTTAGTATGACTGAGAAAGTCAAGTACCAAGTACTTTCCTTAGGAAAGGATATATAAAAATAGGAAAACGATAGTGAAAGAAAGAATATATGTGAATATATTTTCACTTAAATATACTACGCTTAAAATTTGCTTCTTGATTTCCAGAAGTGACATAGTTAATATGTAAAAATAAAACAGAAATTGTAACCAAATTTTAATATGACTTTATCTGAGACTAAGCACAGTGGGGTAAATGACAGCATTTAATGGATTTAAATTCTAGTGGACAGAATTAAGAAGAGTCACAAAGTCAAGGAATTTACTATGTCTAGACATCTCTCCTAGATTTCTATTTGAGGAACAATGTATTTCTTTTCTCATCCTTTGAATTCCCAAGTTAGGAATTCAGAACCTGCTGTTGAAAGGATCATCATCCTTAATTCTCAATCCATTTATCAGGCTAAAATGCAAATGCAAGTGGTGAATGCATTTCAACAGCCCTGGAGCTCCAAAGAGACTTCTCAGGGAACATGCTGAGCTAACTGGGGAAGGGTTAAGCCACCCCTATTTTTCAGATCTGAAAACAGTTGTTCTGATATGAGAAGAAGCATTACAATGGTGCCAGCTCCCTTCTATAAAAGCTATACACATTTTTTGCACAACTGTATGATTGTTATGGCAACCATAAAAATGGAACTATCATTCTTCACATTACACACTACCCATACTAGATTACCTACCTACATTTGTTCTTCTACATTACCCAGAATTTCTTTTCAGAAAATGCTATGTCTGTCCTATAGATGTTTAGGAGCAAGATAAAGTGGTCTCTTTCAAAGGGAGAGTCCACAACAATGAATCTTTCAAAAGCCTTGCTCTTCAAGAATTCTAGGGCTTTCCTGTCAAGTCTTTTAATCCTATGGTCACTGGGAGGCCTCAAAATATTCCCCCTGGAGGCAAAGGAACTGCCTGGAAAATGTATTCTCAAAATGAATGTTTTTTATTAAGATGATGATGTGGAAAGATACTATTGTTGAAGCATCATAAATGATGCATAATAGGCCTTAACAGGCCTGGCACCGTTTTATAAAATATTGAGATTATTTACTAGAGTCTCAGTTTAGAGAGATAAGTGACTTGTGTACAAGATCCATACAAACAATTAAATAAATTTGCTGCTGAAAATAAAGAATAATAACATGAATATATGTTTAAAATACCAGGCCAGGCACATTGGTTCACGCCTGTAATCCCAGTGCTTGGAGGCCAAGGAGGGAGGATCACTTGAGCCCAGGAGTTCAAGGTTGTAGTGAGCTATGACTGCACCACTGCACTCCAACCTGGGTGACAGAGCAAGACCCTGTATAATAGTATAAAATTTATAATTATAAAAATTCTAATAGTGAGAAAAGTTTGACAATAAAAGAATCTGACCTAACAGATTCCATCTTGCCTTTAACCTCCAAGCTGCCCTTGTTCATTCCTGGGCATAGGCTGAACTAACTTTAGGAGGAATTTAATTCATACTTTAACTTTAAAACAAAGATGATAAAAGCCTCTCCCCAAAACAAACTCCCCCCTTGCCTGGGGACTAGACTGCCTTCATAAAACTAATAAATTAGCAAGATTTAAAATAATGGTTTAAGAGATATGCAGCCAGGAGCCACAAGATTCCCCACCTCTCAATTGCTCCTATGGATAACATTATTATTATCAAACCTAAGGCTCATGCTCAAGGCAGGGAGTGGGGGTTCATCCCTGTAATCCTAGCACTTTGGGAGGCTGATGCAGGAGAACAGCTTGAGCCCAGGAATTCCAGACCAGCCTAGGCAACACAGCAAGACACCATCTCTATTTAAAATAAAAAGAACTGTAAACTGGCTCACCTGGTCTTGTGGCACCCCCACCCACCACCCCTACCCCACCCCACCCCACCGCACCCCACCCCAGGAACTGACTCAAGACAAGAGGACAGCTTCAACTCCCTATGATTTCATCCCCAACCCAACCAACCAGCATTCCCCATTCCCTAGCCCCTGCCCACCAAACTATCTTTTAAAAACCCTAGCCTCTGAATTTTCAGGGAGGCTGATTTGAGAAATAATAAAACTCTACCTGTTTTAGCCAGCTCCACATGTATTAAACTCTTTCTCTATTGTAATTCCCCTGTCTTGACTAATTGGCTCTATCTGGGCAATGGGCAAGAAGAACCCATTGGGCTGTTACAGTGTCTCAAAAACAAAACAAAACAAATTTCAGCTGTATTTCAGGATAATCGGGGATTCTATTATTAAATTGAGTATGACTTTGTAATTTTTAACAGAAGAAAGTATGAATGTCCTTCTTTTCATTAATGGAGAAAGCCAAGCTTAGAATTATATGTCTTTTAAGTACTCATTTTGGGCCAAAACTCTGTTGTATCATTCAGAGCTTGTTCTATAGTTTTTTGTTTTGTTTTTAAATAGCAGGCTGAAAATGACTTCCTGGCTGATTTTAATATTAAATACTTAGATTCTAGGTCAAAAATATGCTCATAATAACTGTTTGTTTCAGAGAGTTTCCAAATCAAGAATTGGAACATAGTGAAGAATGGAGTGCTACTTCTCTACTCCCACCAACTTCAGGAGAGGAGTCCCAAGTGACCCCTCATGCAACCTACACCTCCTCCTGTGCTTCCAGGTTGCGGGTCACCCAGCACACACTCTCTACCTCAGCCCAACTCCCACAGCCCAGTCCTTACCAAGCCCTGGACTGGCGCTAAATTCATAAAGCCCACTTTCCATTCCTACTAAAGCAGCTCTCTTCAAATGGACTCCAGTCTCCTCTCTTTCTTTCCTGCCTTTCAAGTCCTTTACCACTTGGCTATTAGGACAAAGTCAATTCTTAGAACGTACAATTACATTATACTCTCCTTCTCAAAAACCTTCACTGGCTTCTAGCTATCTTTGAACTATAATCCTCAGCTTGGCATCCAGTATCCTCCATGATTTGGCTTCAAACTATTTCTCCATTCTTACTTAATGTGACTTAGCTTCATTAACATGGGACCTTGGTAAACCAGTTCTGCCAAAACACCCTGAATTCATGATTTTTGTAGATTCACAGTATTTTCTTCTAGACTTTACTCTTTTTAAAGGAAAGGACTGTTTCTCTTAATTATTTATGTAAATATATATTATACATATTTTTAATTCCAACAATATCTATTTCAGTATCTTGCAAATATTAGCATGTATATACACACACATAGAAGCAGCATATATATCTATATACATTAATATTTGCAAGATACATTCCTATTAATATATACTAAGATATATATAGTAGAGATAACAAATATTTACTAAATTGAATCTTTTTTCTTTTTCTTTTTCTTTTGAGACAGAGTCTTACTCTGTCACCCAGGCTGGAGTTCAGTGGTACGATCCCGGCTCACTGCAACCTCTGCTTCCCAGGTTCAAGCAATTCTCATGCCTCAGCCTCCCAAGTAGCTGGGACTACAGGCGAGCACCACCACGCCCAGCTAATTTTTGTATTTTTAAATAGAGACAGGGTTTTGCCGTGTTGGCCAGGCTGGTCTTCAACTCCTGGTCTCAAGTGATCCGCCTGCCTTGGCCTCCCAAACTGCTGGGCCTCGCCGTGAATTGAATCTTTAATTGGGGTCTTCCAACTCCAATCACTGGAAAAAAAGGCTAGTAGAGCCATGAATGTTTTTCACCTAATAGTCTATGTACCAACATTATTTGTGAAACTACTTTGGGTGATACCTTGGGACCTCCAACTATTTCCTAGAGAATTTTGGGGTTTCTTAGAACCAAAGTCCTTTGGATTATGAATATATTAATACCCAATGATAGATGAAATGGGGACATAAAAGAGGCAAGAGGAAGCAGAAATTTGAACCAAAAGGCAGTTTAAAATTTTTACTCCTCATATGACTTAAACATCTTTTTGTTAAGGCAATGTGCCTTAATAATCATCAGAAATAAAGGGGCAATATTTTATCAAGCATAATGTATGCTAGACCCTGTGCTAAGCACTATACCTGTTATTACATTAAACTCTGCCACAACCTCATGAGAAAGACATTATCTGTATATCCCTTTTATTAAAGAAAGTAGGGCTCACAGGAGCTAAAACTTGCCCAAGATTATATACCTAGTAAGTGGCAGAATTTGCCTCTAAAACCTGTGTTCTTGTATTTCACTCCTGTGATAGCAGCATTTAAAACTCCCAAAGGTAGAAGTGAATGCAACTGTGCTAGTCACATTAGGTTGTCTGTCCTTACATTCACTCACCCAAACTAGCATGTAAAGTCAAAACGGAATAATCTGATCCTTGCCTAGAATTTGGAAATTGGGACAAAGGATGGGAAACAAGGAAGGAGTGTGCAGGGAGGAAAGAGAAATCAGTCTCCCTTTGGTTGGATGGGCCCGGAGAGCACCGTGGTAGCTGTAGATAGCAGCCATCCCACTAAGGAGGAGGAAGCAAAGGAGCTAGTCTGAGTAAAGGGGAGGAAGGAAGCCAGTGTGTGAAGTAGGAGAGGCAGAGAGGAAGAAAGAAGTCTTTCTGGGTTTCTTGCCTCACTGCAGTCCCTGGTTCCCTGCCCTTGGATTCTGGGAGACACCACAGCATCCTTAAAACAAATTCCCCTTTCTGCTTAAGTGAGTTCCAGTGGTTTCTGTTACTTGGGACCAAAAAAGTCTTAATTAATGCAACAGCTGTGGAAAGTTTCCTAGAATGGCTAACTCGTCCTGGCTTTCTCTAACACTTTATCATTATCGAAAGCTACGACAGGACATTACAGTCACCACTTCCACACTGTCCCCTGGGGGAGCTCAGAGAGCTCCAGGTGTGGGGAGGCAGAGGGAGGGTGCCGCGACTTTCTAGAAGTTTAAAAACTATTGCTTTGGTAATTAGAATGACATAAAGTACAATGCTATCAAGTCTTTTAGCCAGTAGGAGCTTAAAGAAGACAGGCTCTAACTTCTATTTTCTCAGTATGAGGAAGGGGGAAGTATGAAGTGCTTCTGATTTATTTTTTTAATCAACTTTTTTTTAAAATTAAGGGCATAGGTTTAAGAAGGTGGAGACATATGAGGACCGTGAGTTAGAGATTCCAAAACTGCAGACCTGAAATCAAGTCCCAGTTCTTCCCCCTCAGTCATGTGACCTCAGGCAAGAGATTACTACTCAGAGCCACAGTTTCTTTATCTGAAAAATAAGGACAAGTTTCACAAGGTTATTTCAATGATTAAAGGAGATGATAAGTATGTATATAAAGGTATAACATAAGCCTTCAAAAATATCTTTTGGTATATAAATATATACCCCATTAACAAAAAGATAAGTAAAAACATCAAACTTCTGTACACATTTGTTTTCTTTATGCTGGATATTTTTGGCCAAACACCATGGAAGATGATCTACTAGCTATGAACTGATTTTTCTCTTAGTGTGACCCCTGGTATATAACAAACACTAGGGTAGAGAAGACAGGAGAGGGATGTTCGGTGAGTGCCTACTATGTGCCCAGCTCTGTCTCAGGTCTGACAGACATTCAAGATTAGAGTAGCGACTTAATATTTTCAAAATAACTCTATTTCAAAAAGAAACGATGAAATATGACTATAGAAAGGGATAACTGAACACACATTTAAAGTACTGTTATGCTTGTGGGAACACTCCTATCCTAGGAATTCTAATTACATCTGTAAGACCACAGAACTGTTTAAACAATCACAATTTGAAACTCTTGATTCTCCCATATATAAACTTATAACTCCACTAAGTCACCTCTCAGGCAAAAAGACTACATGGCAACTTTACATTTGAGCACTAGGAGTAAACACAATGTAACTAGGCCAATTTCTTCATATATAATAGAACTTCCACACAAATGAGTGTCCTCAAAGTTACAAATCCATACACCTACTATTCAGAGAATGCTACAACTGCTCAAATGGTTCTTGTGATTTTTTAAGGATTACTTTCTAAGCCAATTCATGAGCTTCACAAGAAAATCAGTGTTACTACTTTATAATTATAATTTTTTTTGAAGTTGTGTTATCCAGCTTGATCACCCACCTGATTTACCACCCTTGGCTCTGAATTAACTTGGCTGCTTCCAAAAATTAAATCCACCCTCGAAAGATGAAGATTTCCCATTGTTGAAAATGTGCCTCAGGCTCTGAAGGCAATTTCCAAAAAGGAGTCCAAAAATGTGTATGTCGCCCACTGGCTCCTCACCCACCACTTGCCAGCAAGCTCAAATCTCTCCAATTTGCACAAATATCTTCAGGACCCTGCTTCTTTCAAGCTCCCTCTCACTTCCTCTGCAAAGCAAACCTCCTTAAAAGAGATGTTTACGTTTAGGATCCCCACTTTTTCACCTCCTCAGTTGACTATAATCTGGCTTTCGCTCCACTCACTGCACTGACATGACTCTTGAGATATCCAAAGGACAAAGAAAAGAGCTTCATGGCTAAACACAGTGACTTCTGTTCTAGCTTTGTCCCAGCTGACCTCACTGCAGCAGAGCACAGGGTAACTCACCCTTGTTTGGAACTTGTCACCAACTTTGCCTTTGTCTTTTCTTTAACTCTTCTAATATCTGCCTTTCTGTGCCCCCAACACCACCTTTTCCTAAGAAATTTCCTTCCACCCTTTACATTCTGGAGCTCTTCACAGTCTATCCTTGGTCCTCTTCCCTCATCAGATTATATGCTCACCCTATGTATACTCATTCACTTTGGTGCCTGTAACTACTACCTTCAGGCACCTAAACAGGTATCTGTAATCTAGACTTCTTCCCTGAATGCCAGGCCTGCCTTCTTTCTTTCTCTCTTTCTTTCTCTTTCTTTCTTCCTTTCTTCCTTCCTTCCTTCCTCTCTTCCTCTCTCTCTCTTCTTTCTCTCTCTCTCATCTCATCTCCTTTTGAGAACCTAAGCACAAAATATCCAAATTTTACTCATCTTTCCCAATCCAAAAATTGTGTCGTTCATGTTCTTTAAAGCAAAATCTCAGTCTTCTGAATTTCACCTTGGTCTATAGTTACTGACGCAATTCAAGGACCACGTAGGCATATCCCCCAACTGAGAGGTTTTCTCGGAGCATGAGGTAACCATGTTAACTGCTTTCTCTTTTCCTATTTTGAGACAGGGTCTCACTCTGTTGCCCAGGCTGGAATGCAGTGGCATGATCAAAGCTCACTGCAGCCTTGACCTTCTGGGCTCAGGTGATCCTCCCATCTCAGCCTCCTGAGTAGCTGGGAACCACAGGCATGCACCACCACATCTGGCTAATTTTATTTTTAATTTTTTGTAAAGATGAGGGTCTCATCATGTTGCCCAGGCTGGTCTCGAACTCCTGCATTCAAGCAATCTTCCTGTCTCAGTCTCCCAAAGTTTTGAGATTACAGGCGTTGAGCCACCGTGCTCAGCCCCTTTTTAAAAATTAAGACAAAAGCATACTAAAATCCTATTCCTCCTTCAAAGCCGAGTTCAAACTTCACCTGCTCCAAAGTTTCCAAGTGCCTCACATTATATTACTTTCCCATCTTTATTAATCTGGTTCCTTTTAAATTTTTTAGAATCTTTTATGTTGCGATAATTGTAGATTAAAATGCAAGTATAAGAAATAATAAAGATGTTGTGTGCCCTTTACCCAGTTACCAATGGTAAAATCATACAAAACTGTAGTACAATATCAAAACCAGGATATTGACACTGATACCATGCACCAATCTTATTTAGATTTCTCACTTACTCATACTCATTTGGGTGTATAAGTTCTATACAATTTTATTACATATGTAGGTTCATGTAAATACCACTCAATCAAGATAATGAACACTACTATTGTCTCAAGGATCCCTCAATTGCACCCAATTTCTTCCTGTCCTGCCTCCCTCAATCTTGGCAACTACGAATCTGTTCTATGGTTCTAAAATTTGCCTTTTCTGAATCTTAAACTCAGCTGACTTTTTAAAATTGTACTTTCAAAAAGATTAAATAGAATCATACAGTACATATGTAACCCTTGAGACTGAAGATCCATCCAAGCTGTTGCGCATATCAACAGTTCACTCTTTTGTTGCCAAGTACCATTCAGTAATATGGATGTACCACAATTTGCTTAACCATTCATCTGCTGAAGGACATCTGGGCTGTTTCTAGTATTTGGGCTATTCTATGTAAAACTGCTATAGAAATTCATGTACAGGTTTTTTTGAGAATGTAGGTTTTCATTTTTCTGGGATAAATGCCCAGGAGTGCAATTACCGGGTTGTGTTTAGTTTTTTAAGAAACTGCCAAAGTGTTTCCAGAGTGGTTGTGCCATTTTACATTTCCACCGGCAACGTTTGAGTGATCCACTTTCTCTGCACCCTCGCCAGCACTTGGTATTGCTTAGAACTTCTTGCCAATTTGGCCTTTTCATTATTTTACTTTAGATGTTCTGATTGATGTGTATTGATATTGTGAATTTAATTTGCATTCTCGAATGGGTCGTGATGTTAAACATTTTTTAATTTGCTTGTTTTCCATTTGTATATCCTCTTCAGTGTATGTCTTCTGTCCATTTTCTAATTGGATTGCTTTGGTTTTAAAGGTTCTTTACGTACTCTAGATACTAGTCTCTTGTTGGATATGTGGTTTACAAATATTTTCTCCCAGCTGCAGAAAGAATTTTCTGCAGCTCATCTTTTTCTTTTCTTAACAGCATCTTTCATAGACAGAAAGTTTTTAATTCTGATGAGATCCAATTTACCAACCTCTTCTTCTGTGGACTGTACTATGTCAAAGTCTAAGAACTCTTTCTCTAGTCCTACATCCTGTAAGTACTCTTCTATGCTCATTTCTATTAAGTTTTATACTTTTACATTTTATACTTAAGCCCATGACCCATTTTGAGTTAACTTTTGCATAAGGCATGAGGTTTAGATCGAAGTTCATTTATTTGCCTATGTATGGCAAATTCCTCTAATGCCATTTTATGAAAGGCTATCCTTCCTACATTGAACTGCGTTTGCTCCTCTGTTAAAAATCAGTCAGGCATATTTGTGTGGATCTAATTCTGGATTCTCTATTCTGTTCTGTTATTGAGAAAAAAGTTACATAAAATTTATCATTTTATAGCATACAATTCACAAGTTTTTAGAATATGTACAGAGTTGTATAATCATTATCCCTACCTAATTTTAGAATATTTTCATTACCCAAGAAAAGAAACTCCATACCCATGGCAATCATTCCATGTTTTCCCTTCTCTGCACAGAGGGGAAACACTTTGTTTATACATTCAACAGTTGATTGGGTTGTTTCCCTCCCTCCCCCTCCACTTTTTTTTGAGACAGAGTCTTGCTCTGTCGCCCAGGCCGGAGGGCTATGGCGCGATCTCAGCTCATTGCAACCTCCGCCTCCCAGGTTCAAGTGATTCTCCCACCTCAGCTTCCACAGTAGCTGGGATTACAGGCGCACACCACCAGACCCAGGTAATTGTTTTTGTATTTTTGGTAGAGACGGAGTTTCACCATGTTGGCCAGGCTGGTCTCCAACTCCTGACCTGAAGTGATCCGCCTGCCTCAGCCTTCCAAAGTGCTGGGCCTTTTTAAAAATAAAGAAAGGATCTTATTATGTTGCCCAGGCTGGTCTCGATCTCCTGGCCTCAAGCAATCCTCCTCCCTCTGCCTCACTTTAGCCACTAAGCCTGGCCTGTTTCCATTTTTTAAATAATGCTGATATAAACATTCAGGCACAGTGGCTCACGCCTGTAATCCTAGCACTTTGGGAGGCCGAGGTGGGCAGATCACGAGGTCAAGAGATCGAGACCATCCTGGCCAACATGGTGAAACCCTGTCTCTACTAAAAATACAAAAAATAGCTGGGCATGGTGGCGCGCACCTGTAGTCCCAGCTACTTGGGAGGCTGAGGCAGGAGAATCGCTTGAACCTGGGAGGCGGAGGTTGCAGTGAGCCGAGATCGCACCACTGCACTCCAGCCTGATGACAGAGCAAGACTCCACCTTAAAAAATAATAATAATAATTCATGTACAAGTTTTTGTGTGGCTATGTTTTCAATTCTCCAGGAGTAAAATTGCTAGGTCATATGGTAACTCTATGTTTAACCCTTTGAGGAGCTGCCAAACTATTTTCCAAAATGGCTGCACCATTTTACATTCTCACCAGCAGTATAAGAGGGTTCCAATTTCACTACATCCTCACCAACACTTGTTATCTGTATTTTTTTAAATTACAGCCATCCTAGTGAATGTACAGTGGTATCTCATTGTGGTTTTGATTTGCATTTTTGTAATGATCAATGATGCTGAGCTTTTTTTTATATGCTTAGTGACCATTTGTGTGTCTTAAAATTCTTGCCCATTTTAAAATTGTCTTTTTTATTGTTAAGTTGTAGGAGTTCTTTATGTATTCTAGATATATTAACCTACATAATTTGCAAAACAATTTTTCCCATGAGGGTTATGCTTTCACTTTCTTGATGGTGTCCTTCAAAGCACAAAATTTTTAATTTTGATGAAGTCCAATTTGTCTATTTTTTTATTTTGTCACTTCTTCCTTGGCCAATCCAAGGTCACTAAGGTTTACTCTTTTGTTTTCTCCTAAGAGATTTCTAGTTTTAGCCCTTACATTCAGGTCTACGATCCACTTTAAATTAATTTGTACACATGATACATTAATTGGTTTTGAATGTTGAACCAGTCTTGAATGCCTGGAATAAATCATACTAGGTCATAGTTTAGAACACTTTTTTTTAGACACTTCTGTAATAGCAATAGAATTCTTTTTATACATTGCTGGATTTGATTAGCTAAAATTTTGCTGAATACTTCTGCATCTGAGCTCAGGAGGGATATTGGTCCACAGTTTTCTTTGTGATATGATCTCTGTCTGGTTTGGGTATCAGGCTTCATAAAATCAGATGGGAAATGTTCTCTCCTATTGTATTTTCAAGCAAAGATTGTGTAAAAATTGCTGTTAATTCTTCTTTAAATGTTTTCTAGAATTCTCCAGTGAAACCATCTGGGCTTGAAGATTTCCTTTCTGTGAGCTTTTAAATTATGAATTCAATATTTTTAATAGTTTTGTGACTATTCAGATTGTCTATGTGACATGGTTGAATGATGAAAGTTCGTAGTCTTTGACTCATCTCTTCTAAGATGTTGAATTATTAACTTCTTGAAAAACCATTTGTATGTTCCTTATTATCCTTTAAATGGCTGCAGTATCTGTAGTGATGTCCCATATCACTTCTAATGTGATGTGTGTCTTCCGTTTATCCATCAATCTCGCTAAAGGCTTATCAGTTTTATTAATTTTTTTCAAGAACAAGCTTTTGGCTGGGAATGGTGGCTCACGCCTATAATCCCAGCACTTTGGGAGGCTGAGGCAGGTGGACTGCTTGAGTCCAGGAGTTCAAGAACAGCCTGGGCAACATAGTGAGATCCTGTCTCTTTTAAAAATTAAGTCAAAGTTTTAAAAAAAAAGAACCAGCTTTTTGTTTCACCAATTTTCTCTACCGTTTTCCAATTTCCAATTTTATTGACTTAAGTGCTTATCTTTATATTTTCTTCCTTCCTGCTTACTTTGGGCATATCGTGCTTTTTTTTTTTTTTTTTGAGACGAAGTCTCACTCTGTTGCCCAGACTGGAGTGCAGTGGCACAATCTTGGCTCACTGCAACCTCTACCTCCCAGGTTCAAGCAATTCTCCTGCTTTACCCTCCTGAGTAGCTGGGACTACTGGCACAAGCCACCACACTCAGCTAATTTTGGGGTTTTTTGTTTTTATTTTTTTAGTAGAGACGAGGTTTCACCATGTTGGTCAGGCAGGTCTCTAACTCCTGGCCTCAAGTGATCCACCCGCCTAGGCCTTCCAAAGTGCTGGGATTACAGGCATAAGCCACCATGCCCAGCCTTGCTCTTCTTTATCTAAATTCCTAAGGTAAAAACATAGCTCACTGCTGAGATCTTTTTTCTTTTTAATGTAAGCACTTGGAGCTATAAATTTTCCTCGGTACTGCTTTAGCGACATCTCACATATTTTAATATGTTGTGCTTTCATTTTCATTCAGTTCTACATATTTTTTAAAAATTTCCTTTAAGATTTCCTCTTTAACCAGTGAATTATTTATAAGTGTGTTGTTTAATTTCCAAGTGTCTAGATATTTTACTATTGTCCTGTTATGGATTTCTAGTTTGTAGTTCCATATGGTCAGAAAACATACCCTATATGACTTCATTTTCACATGAGCTGAAGTTTGTTTGATGACTCAAGATATGGTCTATCTTGGTGAATATTCCATGATCACTTTATTTGGGTCTGGATGCCATGTACTGAGTTAGCACCTAGAAACAGAAAAGTAACACCCAGTCCTTGCTCTTGATGAGAACTTTGCTACCCATCAGAGAGACAGAGTCATATTTAAGTAAATTAGGTACATTATGGCAAGTGAGCAGACTGCCTCGGGAGAACAGAGAAGGGCAAGGCTAATTCTTCTAGAGTGAGAAGACAAAAAATTCACAGCATTCAAGACGGGCCCTGGAAAATGGATGAAGTACAATGCAAGGCATAGGTAAGACAGAGAACTATGACAGAGCAAGACTGAGGAAAGATGAAGGGCTGAAAGCAGAACAGGATATTGTATAAGAAGCTAAGAAATTTATTTTCCTCTTTTCCTATTATCAACAGAGTTGACCATTTCATTTTTGACCTGCCCTAATACGAATGTCAGGCTACCCAACACTACTAATCTTAGGAATAATTTGCCCACACAATTACTGACTACTATATGCTTCTTTTCTTTTTCTTTCTTTTTTTGAGATAGTGTCTTGTTCTGTTTCCCAGGCTGGAGTGCAGTGGCGCGATCACAGCTCACTGCACCCTCAACCTCCTGGGCTCAAGTGATTATCTCACCTCAGCCTCCCTAGTAGTGGGACTACAGGCACATGCCACCACGCCCAGCTAATTTTTGTAATTTTTGTACAGATGGGGTTTTGCTGTGTTGCCCAGGCTAGTCTGGAACTCCTGGACTCAATCAATCCACCCAAAGTACTGGACCTCCCAAAGTACTGGGATTACAGGTATGAGCCACGCACCCGACCTTATTTTCAAATTCTATCTTCCTTTCACTCTTTCTGTTATTTTCCCAGGAAAGCTTGTAGCTTTTCTGCAGGACACTGTCTTCTTTTATCTCCAACTCAAGCAATAAAAGTGAAAAGACTTGAGAGTCACATCAGTGGGACTCGCAAAGTAGAGGCCTCCTCTGAAAAGCTACTACTTCATATAAGTAACAACAACACTGGACAAAACTGTCAAAATCAAATTTAGTGTAACTCTGGAAATTAACCACAGGCTTTTAACAATCTGAGATGCAATTACTCAAGAAAAATGGCTAAATATCAACAAGGACACTGAACTTTGTAAAGTTTTACTTACAAAGTTTACTTTCCATATTCCCACATCCCCCTTTCCAGCTCTATCTCTCTCTCCAGCCTTAAAATCAACAGCATTGTAATCGTGGTGAAAACCAGTGGCCTAGCAGTCACTGGAGTGGCAAGAACAGGTTTACAGCACCCTAAAAACAGCATCACAGGAGAAATGTCATTATTTGACCTATCCAGCAGTTCCCTGAAAACCCCCATTTACCGGGTTTGCTTAATTTGACCTTCATCAAACCTTGTTCACTGCAAACAGCCTTATAGCCCCAGGGGTGTTCATCAAAAACATTCAGCAGTATTTATTTAACATGGCAGCTATCTGAGATGGTGATAACAGTGAGCTAAAGTACTGGTCAACAAGAACTGACCAAAAACATTAAAAGGAAAAGCTGGAGAATGAGGCATCTATAAAGGGCTGTGAAAAGGTCTGACACATTCCTGGGGATAAAGATGGTCACACTCATGCATAGGGCTGTGCACATGCCCAAGAAAGACTTAAGAAGGGTCTTACACTCTTACTTCTGGCTGACCCTGAAGCTCTGCAACAGCAGGAAGTGAAGGCTATGGCAGAGTTGTAAAGTGCATGCCTAAGCATTAAAGGTATTAGTCGACACAGAGCCTCTTAACAAACGCTAAGAGACTTACTGTTTTCAAATATTTAAGGAAATCTCTGTTTATTCATTAGGTGACCACTAAGCTAGCCAAGCAGAGATTTCAGTAGCTTCAAATAACAAAGAATACAAACTGTCTCTGTTTGTTTGAGTTGCTATAACAAAATACTATAAATTGGGTAGCTTATAACGTTTATTTCTCACAGTTTTGGAGAGTGGAAAGTCCAAGATCAAGAAACTAGCAGAATCAATATCTGATGAAGGCCCACTTCCTCATGAATGGCACCTTTTTACTATGTTCTCACATGGTGAAAGGGGTGAGGTTTCTTTCTCATGCTTCTTTTTATAAGGGCACTAATCCCGTTCATGAGGGCTCTACCCTTGACTTAACTGCCTTCCTAAACTATAATTTGGGGGTTAGAGTTTCAACCTACGAACTTAGAGGGAACACAGACATTCAGATCACAGCATAGACTCAAAAGACTTAGTTCAAAAAAGTCAGAAAATGAACAGCAGAAAGAACAAACAGCAATAACAGCAAACCTTGGAAATGAAGGGAGGCAAGATGATTTCCAGAGCTGCCACATTATATTACTATTTAATAGTATTTAATTGTATGTGTGTGTGTGCCTGTGTGTGTATGCATGTGCAGGTGTCATGCAAACAGTAACAAAAGAGAGCTGGAGTAGCCAAACTAATAGCAGACAAAATAGAATTCAAGGCAAAAAGTGTTACTAAAGACAAAGGATAATATTTTATAACAATGATAGGCTCAATCCATCTAGAAAATGAAACAATTATAAACACACATGCATCTAACAACAAAGCCACAAAATACACAAAGCAAAAAATGGCAGAACTTAAGGGAGAAATGTAGAATTCAACTGTAATATATATCAATACACAACATCCAGTAACAGAGATAAAAAATAAACAAAAGATAAACAAGAAAATAGAAAGCTTAAACAAAACTATAAATCAATTAGATCTAACAGATATCTACAGAACACTCACTCCATCCAACAACAGCAGAAAACATATTCTTCTAAAGTGGATATGGAACATTCTCCACACCATATAACAAGTTTCAATAAATATACAAGGACTAAAATCATGCAAAGTATGTTCTCTGACCAAAATAGAATGGAATTAGAAATTAATAGCATAAAGAAATTAGAGAAATTCACAAGTATGTAGAAATTAAACAACCTACTCCTAAATAAAAAATACGTCAAAGAAGAAATCTCAAAGGAAATTTTAAAATATTTAGATATAAATGAAAACAAAATACAACCTATGAAAATTTATGGGATGTAGCTAAAGCAATCAGGGAAGTAGGGAGGGAGTAGCTGTAAATGCCTTTATAAAAAGTACAGTGGCTAATGCCTGTAATCCAGGAGCTCGAGACCACCCTAGGTGACATGATGAAACCTCACTTCTACAAATAAATACAAAAATTAGCCAGGCGCCCGGGCACGGTGGCTCACGCCTGTAATCCCAGCACTTTGGGAGGCTGAGGTGGGCAGATCACCTGAGGTCAGGCGCTCGAGACCAACCTGGCCAACATGGTGAAACCCCATCATTACTAAAAAACAAACAAACAAACAAACAAAAATTAGCTGGGTGTGATGATGCACGCCTGTATCCCAGCTATCTGGAGGTTGACACAGGAGAATCACTTGAACCCAGGAGGTGGAGGTTGCAGTGAGCTGAGATCGCACCACTGCACTCCAGCATGAGTGACAGAGTGAGACATTGTCTCAAAAAATTAAAAAATTAAAAAATTAAAAAAAATAGCCGGGCATGGTGGCCGATGCGATCAACTGGAAGAAAGGCTATCAGCGATGGAAGATGAAGTGAATGAAATGAAGCGAGAAGGGAAGTTTAGAGAAAAAAGAATAAAAAGAAACAAGCAAAGCCTCCAAGAAATATGGGACTATGTGAAAGGACCAAATCTACGTCTCATTGGTGTCACTCTGAAAGTGATGGGGAGAATGGAACCAAGTTGGAAAACACTCTGCAGGATATCATCCAGGAGAACTTCCCCAATCTAGCAAGGCAGCCCAACATTCAGATTCAGGAAATACAGAGAACGCCACAAAGATACTCCTCGAGAAGAGCAACTCCAAGACACATAATTGTCAGATTCGCCAAAGTAGAAATGAAGGAAAAAATGTTAAGGGCAGCCAGAGAGAAAGGTCAGGTTACCCACAAAGGGAAGCCCATCAGACTAACAGCGGATCTCTCGGCAGAAACCCTACAAGCCAGAAGAGAGTGGGGGCCAATATTCAACATTCTTAAAGAAAAGAATTTTCAACCCAGAATTTCATATCCAGCCAAACTAAGCTTCATAAGTGAAGGAGAAATAAAATACTTTATAGACAAGCAAATGCTGAGAGATTTTGTCACCACCAGGCCTGCCCTAAAAGAGCTCCTGAAGGAAGCGCTAAACATGGAAAGGAACAACCGGTACCAGCCGCTGCAAAATCATGCCAAAATGTAAAGACCATCGAGACTAGGAAGAAACTGCATCAACTAACGAGCAAAATCACCAGCTAACATCATAATGACAGGATCAAATTCACACATAACAATATTAACTTTAAATGTAAATGGACTAAATTCTCCAATTAAAAGACACAGACTGGCAAGTTGGATAAAGAGTCAAGACCCATCAGTGTGCTGTATTCAGGAAACCCATCTCACGTGCAGAGACACACATAGGCTCAAAATAAAAGGATGGAGGAAGATCTACCAAGCCAATGGAAAACAAAAAAAGGCAGGGGTTGCAATCCTAGTCTCTGATAAAACAGACTTTAAACCAACAAAGATCAGAAGAGACAAAGAAGGCCATTACATAATGGTAAAGGGATCAATTCAACAAGAGGAGCTAACTATCCTAAATATATATGCACCCAATACAGGAGCACCCAGATTCATAAAGCAAGTCCTGAGTGACCTACAAAGAGACTTAGACTCCCACACATTAATAATGGGAGACTTTAACACCCCATTGTCAACATTAGACAGATCAACGAGACAGAAAGTCAACAAGGATACCCAGGAATTGAACTCAGCTCTGCACCAAGTGGACCTAATAGACATCTACAGAACTCTCCACCCCAAATCAACAGAATATACATTTTTTTCAGCACCACACCACACCTATTCCAAAATTGACCACATACTTGGAAGTAAAGCTCTCCTCAGCAAATGTAAAAGAACAGAAATTATAACAAACTATCTCTCAGACCACAGTGCAATCAAACTAGAACTCAGGATTAAGAATCTCACTCAAAGCCGCTCAACTACATGGAAACTGAACAACCTGCTCCTGAATGACTACTGGGTACATAACGAAATGAAGGCAGAAATAAAGATGTTCTTTGAAACCAACGAGAACAAAGACACAACATACCAGAATCTCTGGGACGCATTCAAAGCAGTGTGTACAGGGAAATTTATAGCACTAAATGCCCATAAGAGAAAGCAGGAAAGATCCAAAATTGACACCCTAACATCACAATTAAAAGAACTAGAAAAGCAAGAGCAAACACATTCAAAAGCTAGCAGAAGGCAAGAAATAACTAAAATCAGAGCAGAACTGAAGGAAATAGAGACACAAAAAACCCTTCAAAAAATCAATGACTCCAGGAGCTGGTTTTTTGAAAGGATCAACAAAATTGATAGACCGCTAGCAAGACTAATAAAGAAAAAAAGAGAGAAGAATCAAATAGACACAATAAAAAATGATAAAGGGGATATCACCACCGATCCCACAGAAATACAGACTACCATCAGAGAATACTACAAACACCTCTACGCAAATAAACTAGAAAATCTAGAAGAAATGGATACATTCCTCGACACATACACTCTCCCAAGACTAAACCAGGAAGAAGTTGAATCTCTGAATAGACCAATAACAGGAGCTGAAATTGTGGCAATAATCAATAGTTTACCAACCAAAAAGAGTCCAGGACCAGATGGATTCACAGCCGAATTCTACCAGAGGTACAAGGAGGAACTGGTACCATTCCTTCTGAAACTATTCCAATCAATAGAAAAAGAGGGAATCCTCCCTAACTCATTTTATGAGGCCAGCATCATTCTGATACCAAAGCCGGGCAGAGACACAACCAAAAAAGAGAATTTTAGACCAATATCCTTGATGAACATTGATGCAAAAATCCTCAATAAAATACTGGCAAACCGAATCCAGCAGCACATCAAAAAGCTTATCCACCATGATCAAGTGGGCTTCATTCCTGGGATGCAAGGCTGGTTCAATATACGCAAATCAATAAATGTAATCCAGCATATAAACAGAGCCAAAGACAAAAACCACATGATTAACTCAATAGATGCAGAAAAAGCCTTTGACAAAATTCAACAACCCTTCATGCTAAAAACTCTCAATAAATTAGGTATTGATGGGACGTATCTCAAAATAATAAGAGCTATCTATGACAAACCCACAGCCAATATCATACTGAATGGGCAAAAACTGGAAGCATTCCCTTTGAAAACTGGCACAAGACAGGGATGCCCTCTCTCACCGCTCCTATTCAACATAGTGTTGGAAGTTCTGGCCAGGGCAGTCAGGCAGGAGAAGGAAATAAAGGGTATTCAATTAGGAAAAGAGGAAGTCAAATTGTCCCTGTTTGCAGACGACATGATTGTTTATCTAGAAAACCCCATCGTCTCAGCCCAAAATCTCCTTAAGCTGATAAGCAACTTCAGCAAAGTCTCAGGATACAAAATCAATGTACAAAAATCACAAGCATTCCTATACACCAACAACAGACAAACAGAGAGCCAAATCATGAGTGAACTCCCATTCACAATTGCTTCAAAGAGAATAAAATACCTAGGAATCCAACTTACAAGGGATGTGAAGGACCTCTTCAAGGAGAACTACAAACCACTGCTCAAGGAAATAAAAGAGGATACAAACAAATGGAAGAACATTCCATGCTCATGGGTAGGAAGAATCAATATCGTGAAAATGGCCATACTGCCCAAGGTAATTTACAGATTCAATGCCATCCCCATCAAGCTACCAATGACTTTCTTCACAGAATTGGAAAAAACTACTTTAAAGTTCATATGGAACCAAAAAAGAGCCCGCATCGCCAAGTCAATCCTAAGCCAAAAGAACAAAGCTGGAGGCATCACACTACCTGACTTCAAACTATACTACAAGGCTACAGTAACCAAAACAGCACGCTACTGGTACCAAAACAGAGATATAGATCAATGGAACAGAACAGAGCCCTCAGAAATAACGCCGCTTACCTACAACTATCTGATCTTTGACAAACCTGAGAAAAACAAGCAATGGGGAAAGGATTCCCTATTTAATAAATGGTGCTGGGAAAACTGGCTAGCCACATGTAGAAAGCTGAAACTGGATCCCTTCCTTACACCTTATACAAAAATCAATTCAAGATGGATTAAAGATTTAAACGTTAGACCTAAAACCATAAAAACCCTAGAAGAAAACCTAGGCATTACCATTCAGGACATAGGCGTGGGCAAGGACTTCATGTCCAAAACACCAAAAGCAATGGCAACAAAAGCCAAAATTGACAAATGGGATCTAATTAAACTAAAGAGCTTCTGCACAGCAAAAGAAACTACCATCAGAGTGAACAGGCAACCTACAACATGGGAGAAAATTTTTGCAACCTACTCATCTGACAAAGGGCTAATATCCAGAATCTACAATTAACTCAAACAAATTTACAAGAAAAAAACAAACAACCCCATCAAAAAGTGGGCGAAGGACATGAACAGACACTTCTCAAAAGAAGACATTTATGCAGCCAAAAAACACATGAAAAAATGCTCATCATCACTGGCCATCAGAGAAATGCAAATCAAAACCACTATGAGATATCATCTCACACCAGTTAGAATGGCAATCATTAAAAAGTCAGGAAACAACAGGTGCTGGAGAGGATGTGGAGAAATAGGAACACTTTTACACTGTTGGTGGGACTGTAAACTAGTTCAACCATTGTGGAAGTCAGTGTGGCGATTCCTCAGGGATCTAGAACTAGAAATACCATTTGACCCAGCCATCCCATTACTGGGTATATATACCCAAATGACTATAAATCATGCTGCTATAAAGACACATGCACACGTATGTTTATTGCGGCATTATTCACAATAGCAAAGACTTGGAACCAACCCAAATGTCCAACAATGATAGACTGGATTAAGAAAATGTGGCACATATACACCATGGAATACTATGCAGCCATAAAAAATGATGAGTTTATGTCCTTTGTAGGGACATGGATGAAATTGGAAACCATCATTCTCAGTAAACTATCGCAAGAACAAAAAACCAAACACCGCATATTCTCACTCATAGGTGGGAATTGAACAATGAGATCACATGGACACAGGAAGGGGAATATCACACTCTGGTGACTGTGGTGGGGAGGTGGGAGGGGGGAGGGATAGCATTGGGAGATATACCTAATGCTAGATGACGAGTTAGTGGGTGCAGCGCACCAGCATGGCACATGTATACATATGTAACTAACCTGCACAATGTGCACATGTACCCTAAAACTTAAAGTATAATTTAAAAAATAATAATAATAATAAATTAATTAATTAATTAATTAATTAAAAAATTAAAAAAAAATAGCCGGGCATGGTGGCACATGCCTGTGGTCCCAGGTACTTGGTAGGCTGAGGTAAGAGGATTACTTGAGCCTGGAAGGCGGAGGTTGTAGTGAGCCAAGATTGCACAACTGCACTCCAGCCTGGGCGACAGAGTGAGACTCCCATCTCAAGAAAAAAACAAAAACAAAACATAGAAAGATCTGAACTCAATAACATAAACTTCCACCTTAAGAAACCAAAGAAGAACAAACTAAACCTAAGCAAGCAGAAAAAAGAAAATAACAAAGATTAGAGTAGAAATAAATGAAAAAGAGAATTTAAAAAAAAAGAGAAGGAAATAAAAAGAATAAGAAGAAAATAAAAGTTGGCTATGTGAAAAGATCAACAAAATTGACAAACCCTGAGCTAAGCTGACCAAAACAGAGAGAGAGGGGGAGAGATTCAAATTACTAAACTAACAAATGAAAGAGCAAATATTACTAACAATCTTACAGAAACAATAAGGATTATAAGGGAATACTAATAACAATGGTATGCCAAGAAATTAGATAACCAAGATGCAAAAGACAAAGTTCTAGGAAGAAGCCGGGTGCGGTGGCTCACGCCTGTAATCCCAGCACTTTGGGAGGCCAAGGTGGGTGGATCAGTTGAGGTCAGGAGTTCAAGACTAGCCTGGCCAACATGGTGAAACCCTGTCTCTATGAAGAATATAAAAAACTAGCCAGATGTGGTGGTGGGCACCTGTAATTCCAGCTACTTGGGAGGCTGAAGCAGGAGAATCACTTGAACCCAGGAAGTGGAGGTTGCAGTAAGTTGAAATCGCACCACTGCACTCCAGTTTGGACAACAAGAGTGAAACTCCGTCTAAAAATAAAAAATAAAAAATTCTAGGAAGATAAACTGCAGAGGACTTAAAAATGGAAAAGTTCAATAGATCTATAAGAAAAAAGATACCGAATTAATAAACAAACCACCCCCCCACCCATCGCCGACACACACACAAAAGCACAGGGCCAGATGGCTTTACTGATGAGTTCTAGAGTGGGAGAATAAGGATCAAAAAACTACCTCTTATTGGGTACTATGCTCACTACCTGGGTGACAAAATCATTTGTACACCAAACTATAGAGACATGCAATTTACTCATATAATAAACCCGTACATACATGTACCCCCGAACCTAAAATAAAAGCTAGAAGAAAAAAAGAAAAAAAACTATACCCCAAATTCTTCACAAACTCTTCCAAAACTCATTCTATGAGGCCAGTGTTATCCTCACATAAAACCAAAGTTATCACAAGAAAACTAAAGACTGAAATCTCTTAAAAATACGAAGCAAAGATCCTAAAAAGGAATCCAGTAAACCAAATCTAGCAATGTAAAAATCATTATACACCATGACAAGGGTGAAATTTATCCCAGGAATGTGATGGCTCAACATATGATAGTCAATCAATGAAACAGATTAATAAAGAACAAAAATCACAGGATTATCTCAACAGACAGAAAAACCATTTGACAAAATCCAACACTCTTCCATGAGAAAACCACTCAATAAATCAGGACTAGAAGGAAAAGCTTTCAGCTGATAGAGAGCATCTACAAAACCCCCAAAGCTTACATTACAATTAATATTGAAAGACTGGGCTGAGTGCTTAGCTCATATCTGTAATCCCAGCACTTTGGGAGGCCGGGGCGGGCAGATCACTTGAGCCTAAGAGTTCAAGAGCAGCCCGGGCAACACAGCAAAACCCTATCTCCACAAAAAATACAAAAATTAGCTGGGTTTGGTGGCACGCCCTGTTGTCCCAGCTACGTAAGAGGCTGAGCTGGGAGGATCACTTGAGCCTGGAATTGTGAGTTGTGACTGTACCACTGCACTCCAGCCTGGCAACAGAGCAAGACGCTGTCTCAAAACAAAAAAACAAAAAAAAAACTGAATGACTGAATGCTTTCCTTCCTCAAGATCAGGACAAGAGAGGCACACTTCCATTAATTCTATTCAACACTGTACAGAAGGTCCTAGCTTGAGTAACTGGATAACAAAAGGAAATAAAAGGCATCTAAATTAGAAAGGAAGAGGTAAAACTTCCCTATTTGCAGATGACATGAACTTCTAAATACAGGAAATTCCATGGTATCCACGAAAAACAGAGCTAACAATTTTTTTTTTTTTTTTTTTTTTTTGAGGTGGAGTCTCACTCTGTTACCCTGGCTGGAGTGCAGTGGCGTGATCTCTGCTCACTGCTGCCTCCACCTCCCAGGTTCAAGCGATTCTCCTGCCTCAGCCTCCTGAGTAGCTGGGATTACAGGCACCTGCCACCAAGCCTGGCTAATTTTTGTATTTTTAATAGAGACGGGGTTTCACTATGTTACCCAGGCTGGTCTCAAACTCCTGATCTCAAGTGATCCACCAGCCTTGGCCTCCCAAAGTGCTGAGATTACAGGCATGAGCCACCATGCCCGGCCAACAAATGATTTTTGTAAGGTTGCAGGATACCAGATATATATATAAATATAAAATGTATTTCTAAACATTAGCAATAAATAATTTGGAAATGAAATTAAGAAAACAATTTCATTTACAACAGCATCAAAAAGAATAAATATGTAGGATTAAATTTAACAAAGAAGCCTTGTATACTGAAAACTACAAAACATCATTGAAAGAAATTAAAGACCTAATTAATGGACAGACATCCCATGTTCATAGGTTGGAAGACTTAACAGTGTTAAGATGGAAATGCTCCCCAAACTGATCTACAGACTCAGAGCAATTCTTATGAAAATCCTGAGTGCCTCCTGAAATTGACAAGCTGATCCTAAAATATATATGGCAATGCAAAGAACCCAGAATAGTAGAAAAATCTGAAAGAAAAAAAAGCAAAGTTGGAAGAATCACACTTCTCAATTTCAAAACTTACTACAAAGTTACAATAATTTAGACAGTGTGGTACTGGCATAAAGACAAATATACAGATCAATGGAACAGAATTGAGAGTCCAGAAATAAACCAATACATTTATGGTCAAATAATTTTTGACAAGAAATGCCAAGACAATTTCATGAAGAAAGAATCATCTTGTCAACAAGTTTTTCTTATGGTGCTGAAACAACTGGTTATCCACAAGCAAAAAAATGAAGTTTGACCCATACCTCACACCATTTACAAAGATTAACTAAAAATGGATCATAAATATAACAACTAACAGTATAAAGTTCATAGAAGAAAACTTATGTTGGCCAGGCACGGTGGCTCATGCCTATGATCCCAGCACTTTGGGAGGCTGAGGCTGGTGGATCACTTGAGGTCAGGAGTTGGAGACCAGCCTGCCCAGCATAGCAAAACCCCATCTCTATAAAAACACAAAAAAATTGGCAGGGTGTGGTGATGGGTGCCTGCACTCCCAGCTACTTGGGAGGCTGAGGCAGGAGAATCGCTTGAACCAGGGAGGCAGAGGTTGCAGCTGAGCTCGCACTACTGCACTCCAGCCTGGATAACAGAGACGCCATCTCAAAACAAACAAACAAAAAGAAAACATATGTCTAACTCTTTGTGATCTTCGCCAATGGTTTTTATAGATATGACACCAAAAACACAAGCAACCAAAGAAAAAACAGACTAAACGGGTCTTCATCAAATTTTGAAACTTTGTGCTTCTAAGAACACCATCAAGAAAGTGCAAGATAGCCAGCCCACAAGTAGGAGAAAATATCTGCAAATCATATATCTGATAAATGACCAGTGTTTGGAATACAGAAACTACACTTATAGCTCAACAATAGAAAGGCAATCCATTTTAAAAATGGCAAAGGATCTGAATAGATACTATCTGAGTAGATTTTTCTTCAAAGAAAATATACAAATGACCAATAAGCACATCAAAATACATTCAGTCTCATTAGTCATGACAGAAATGCAAATCAAAACCACAATGAGATACTACCCCACACCTACAATGATGGCTATAATCACAAATACAGATAACAAGTGTTAGGATATGGAGCAACTGAGACCCTCATACATTGCCACAGGGAGTGCAAATGGTACAGCTACTTTGAAAAACAGTTTCACAATTACTCTAAAAGTAGACTGACCATATGACCTAGCAATTTCACTCCTAGGTGTATACCCAAAATAACTGAATGTCCACACCAAAACCTGTACACAAATATTCATAGCAGCATTATTCATAATAGTCAAGCTGGGGAATCAACCCAAATGTCCATCAACTAATGAATAAACAAAATGTGAAATATCCATACAACAGAATATTATTCAGCTATAAAATGGAATTACGTTCTGATATATTTAACAACATGGATGAACCTTGAAAACATTATGTCAAGTAAACCACGTCAGCTACCAAAGGCAACTTGCTGTATGACTCCATTTATATGAAATGTTCAGAACAGGGAAATCCACAGAGACTGAAAACTGATGAGTAGTTGTGAGAAGCTGGGGGGAGAGGGAATGAGGAGTGACTGCTAATGGAATTGATTTTTGGGGTGACAAAAATGTTCTGGAATTAGATAGTGGTGATGGTTCAACAAATCTACCAATATACGAGAAACCACTGAATTTAAAATGATTAATTTTGTGGTATTTGAATATCTCAATATAAAAAACAGACTTTGCCACCCTGACATTTAGTTATCTCTATACTCCAGTTTATTCCAAATCTTAGACCATCTATACCACAAAATGAAATTTTTAAATATCATTATAGTATAATTTCCAAACAGATTTTATTTAGAAGATGTAGAAATTATCTTTCCCATGCACTCATATTTCTACAGTGCTATAAAAATATTTCTAGGGAATAAATTCAAATATTGTCTTTTGCCAGTAGGCATTTTTCCTCCTGGTTCAGACAAAAATCTATTGATCTTTGAGTATTTGTCTTTTCTGAGAGTGGTGCTATTTATCAACATGAATTTTATGGGCTGATGAAGTACTAAATACTTACAATTAAGAAGGTCCAGTTGTGTATCTACTTTAGGGCCCATTCATCCTGGTTACTATCTATGCATTTCTTGTAATTTCACAGTGAGTTGGGATTTACATGAAAGGAATACTACTGCCAGGAGTTTCAAATGACAATGACAGCTTCCCCATTTGATGCCAAACAATTTAATCTTGCTTCCCTCCAGCTAAGGGAAGAAGGGGTTCCCTTGGCCATCGAAGAACTGAGATTTAAAGCACAACCCTTGAATTTCCTGCGTAATTATCTTTCCTGGGTGGTCCATGGTGGGGCACAGTTGATAGTTATTTGTCAGATAAATGCGGCAGACAATCACTGATGGGATACCATTTTCTTTCAAATCCAAGAATGAGACAGCTCTAAATAACTCAGAAAAGACATTTCAAATACAGAGTCATGCTCTGTTAGAGCTAGAGGGGTTTGAAATACCTAGTTCAGAAAGTTGCAAAATGTATTCTAAGGAATACTAGTTCCACAAGATAATCCATGAGAAGAAACTCTAAGAAATCTATTAACACACTGTTTTCCAAAAATACTTGCCCACAGATCCTTTTTCTGCATGACACCTATTCATGACCTAGTAACATGTTTTGAAAAATCCTAATCTGGTCAAAAATCCATTTCACAAAAGATAAAATTGCTCACGGCTCTCCACTTCCCCAGATTTAACTGGTTTGCCTAAAATCACCTAGCTAGGCCCTGGGGAGAACTAGGACTAACTTCCAGCGCTCCTTCAATGCTACCACACTGTCTTACCAGGGGAACCTTCTTCTAAAGGCAATTTAATCATATTGGACTTCCTGATGAACAGCAAGATCATTAGTCATTTAATGTTAGTTATGTTTGAAAGCTTTCCCACAAAAGGGTTGACCTGAAAGAGGTTAGTATTATATGACTCTCCTTTCAAGTTGCTATTTCAAGGTTGGTTTTACCTGGAGTGACAGGAAATTTCTGTCTCTTTGGAACAGCTCCATCTTGAAGATTTTTCAATATTTCTTACCACAACCCCCTTTCTGTGCTTAGTATTTTTAGCTCATTGTTTTCTATTTTGGCAGCCGAGAAGCTGCAGTTTGTAATTTTACCTCCAGCTTCATATTTCTTCTTAAAAGTGAATACAATGTCCTGTTTATAATAATAAAATCACTAGTTGGCAGGACGACATTAAATGGGAAAAAAAGAGAGAAAGCAATTGGAAAATTTAGAGCAAGCAATTTTAAGTGCCAAGTTTCACATTTGTAATGGTCTGGTGGAGGTCACTGGGCTTCCTTTTTATTGAGGGAATAGTAAGGAAATAGATACCCACAAGTTCTCTTGTAAAAAGCTATAGAAACCACCTCCACTTCAATGAAACTCATAGTTTTACTGAAAAGTGACATGATTCAAACTTCCATAATAATACTAACTATAGGAGAAACATAAAGATCGGTTTAGTGTGGTATTTTCCCCCTCCAATATTTAGGTTTTCATTTTCCACTTTAATTGAGCTTTTAGGCTTTGGTTTCCTGTTCCAGTTTAGCAACAAAGGAAACAAAACAATATGAATGAAATTTGAAATAACTGGAGCCAGTCTCAGAAATAACTTCTGGGTTTCTTGAGCTTCTGGTGCAACCCCCCTTTAAGCAGTTTCCTTGGACATATTATCTTCCTGATCCTCAAATTTCTGCAGTACTTATGTTGCTTTTCTTTTTTAAAGCCTCAGATGCCCTGCTAAAGACAGCTACAGGTCTAGGCCATGCAAGCAGGGACTCTCCAGAGACTAGAGCTGAAGGTCCAGAAAAATGGTGACCCCAATCAGGAGGGCTATATCGCCCCTAGGAGTTCATGCAAGCCTAACTTCTTGAAAATTGCTAACCGACCATTTTTCTTTTCAAAATAAACACTATTTCTCTCAACTTCAGTTTGCAAAATATTACCCCAATTCCATTGGACCAAAAAACTGGAATTTTACTGACATAATTGGATTATGAGGTTTAAAGATTGATGGAACTTTTCTGTTCCAAATATAATTGTTCAAATACCAAACCTAAACGGGTATGTAGAAGTTCTTATGTAGCTAGAGCCAGAGTAACACTGCAGGCTCTGAGGCAGGATGACCCAGGACAGGGGATTAAGTGACCAAACCATAGGACTTGCAAGCCCTGTTAGAGAAGGATCTTAGAGTCTGAAGGGAACATACTGCCTTTCTGCAGACATGGACTATCACTAAAATGAAGACAACTTTAGTCACTCTATTTCCCTCTATACCTGCTCATTTCTCAGATCTCACCTCATGCACCAATGACCCTGGCAGTCTGTTCATACCTATATTACAGCACTTGCCATTGTCTGCTGTAATTTATCTGAGTACGAATCTGTCTACCTGAAGAACAGGGGCTGGCCCTTGGTTGTCTTTGCATTTTCAGTGGCTAACTCAGTACTTGGCATATATGTATATATATATATATGACATATACGGCATATATGACATATACTATATATAAACAATATGTGCAAATAAATGTTTGAAAAAGGTTTGATTTTATTAGTTTACAAAATGTATATTAATTTATTCAATATAGCACATATTTTTCAGCATGTGCTGGGACTCAATCTTACTTCTTTTGAC
This sequence comes from Homo sapiens, assembly GCF_000001405.40. Classification (NCBI taxonomy): domain Eukaryota; kingdom Metazoa; phylum Chordata; class Mammalia; order Primates; family Hominidae; genus Homo; species Homo sapiens. The sequence goes on along the minus strand of NC_000002.12, from coordinate 232,169,182 downwards.
ATTCCTAGGAAAATCAATACTGTTTTTAAAAACTCTTTGAAAGCAGTGGACCTCAGAGCAGAAGAAATCACATGATCACAAACACTTGCACCAAGCACCCCCTCCTTCATTACAATTCCACATTTGACTACTGCTTAATAGTTTCATTCATGTTCTTCTGCCACCAAACTGAGAGTTCCACAAGGGCAGTGAATACATCTATTTTTGTTCACTGTTGTATCCTCAGTGCCCATGGTTGGTGTTCCATAAATATTTTTGGTATAAAAACTGAATGACTCCATCATAAAACCAGTCAAAGAAAAGGAAAAGGTTATCAGATCCAAATACCTCCACATGCTTACCTACTGCTGTACAGTACTGCATGCTAACCAACTACATCACTGGAGCTCATTCCACACACTTATGGCTTCTCTTTATGTGTGTTAAAAATAAGGAATTAACTGACACTACATAACTACATGAATTAACCCTGGCACCCTCACTATGTGTGGGTCAGGTGGTAGGTGAGGTGTACAGATGAAAAAGTTGGCGTTCTGCAACACAAAGGCAATGACAGTGGCACTCTTGGTTCCTATGCTTTTGCCAAGTGCAAATAATGGGTCTTTACTCATGCCCAGATACATGGATTTATGGATATTGTCTAGTTTTAGCTAAACTAATCCTTGCAAAAAAAAAGGCAACTGGCTAAAAAAAGATTACTGCAAAGTCCATATATTGAAGATAATACTAAACCACTAATACTCCTAGTAGTATCATTAACACTAGAAAAATGGCAACACTGACATTTCTTCTGTGTCTAATATGAATTCATCTCCAGCCACATTATAATTTCAAAACAATGGCTATCAGTCATATGTTACCTATCAGATACTTTAGGAAAATTAAACATGCTTAATCTGTCCCTTCAAGGTAAAGGTGATATTTTAACAATAAGAAAAAAAATTATTGCATTTTGAAAACAAAATAACATACTCGAATTTTAAAGATAACATTTTTTTAAATGGATGTTTTGAAATACTTCCATTGTTATATTATTTGGGGACTAAAATGATGTAAGTGTATAAACTACAAAAACATTCATATCCATAGACTTAAACTTCCTAATAGAATTATTTTTATTTATTTTTATTTTTTTGAGACAGAGTCTTGCTCTGTCACCCAGGCTGGAGTTCAGTGGCACAATCTCGGCTCACTGTAACCTCTGCCTCCGGGTTCAAGCAATTCTCCTGCCTCAGCCTCCCGAGCAGCTGGGATTACAGGTGGCTGCCACCACACCCGGCTAATTTTTGTATTTTTAGTGAGACAGGGTTTCACCATGTTGGCCAGGCTGGTCTCGAACTCCTGACCTCAGGTGATCTGTCCACCTTGGCCTCCCAAAGTGCTGGGATTACAGGTGTGAGCCAATGTGCCTGGCTGAATTTTTTAACTAGTTTTTAAAGATAACAACTAAAGAGTAACTGGAGATTATAAATCTATTTTTTTAATCTAAAAACGCAGCACCTTTCAATGAATCCACAAGAACTGACATCAGAAAAGATGGAAATTTACTAGCTGAATTTCAAAATGAATTGGAATATAATTGGCGAATAGGACTGAGAAATGAGTATTAGGATTTTGTAAGCACAGCTCACATCTTCTAAACATATATCCTTTTCAATTATGATAATCATCAAAACCAAGTACCAAAACATACAGAACTTAGAATCAGATCTCTGAATTTCCATATTATTAGTTGTTAAAGTAAAATTTTAATAAATAAAGAATATTATTCAACCATACTGCTTTCACCAAAAGTAAAATTACTATATAAACAGTTTTCTATACTTTTCGTAAGTAAAATGAAAATATTTAAAAATTTATTTCTCATTACATTTTTATTTTTCTATTTTCACTTACATTTATAATGTACGTAATAGACTATCAATGTAGTAAATTCATGTATAGTTTTAAAATAAAGACAAGCATTAGTGGTAATTTACTATATTACTTCTTGATGCCTAAAGTAGTAATTTCTAAACTTCAGACATTACTACTTTAGGCATTAAGAAACATTAGAAAAAATTTAAATGCAAAGGAGTAAAATAAATCAGATTTGAATTTTAGAAACATAATCCTGAGGATAATGGGCAAGGATAACCTATTTTAAGGTTAAAGTAATTTTTTTTTTTTTTTGACTGAGACGCACTCTATCGTCCAGGCAGTGGCATGATCTCAGCTTGCTGCAACCTCTGCCTCCTGGGTTCAAGCAATTCCCCTGCCTTGGCCTCCCAAGTAGCTGGGATTATAGGCACCTGCCACCATGCACAGCCAATTTTTGTATTTTTAGTAGAGATGAGGTTTCACCATGTTGGCCACGCTGGTCTCCAACTCCTGACCTCGAGTGATCCACCCACCTTGGCCTCCCCAAATGCTGGGATTATAGGTGTGAGCCACCGTGCCCAGCCCAAAGTAATTTTTTGTTGTTGTTGTTGATGGAGTCTCGTTCTGTCGCCACGCTGGATTGCAGTGGTGCGATCTTGGCTCACTGCAACCTCCGCCTCCCGGGTTCAAGCGATTCTCCTGCCTCAGCCTCCTAAGTAGCTGGGACTACAGGCGCGTACTACTATGCCCAGCTAATTTTTGTATTTTTAGTAGAGATGAGGTTTCACCATGTTGGCCAGGATGGTCTCGATCTCATGATCTGCCAGCCTCCGCCTTCCAAAGTGCTAGGATTACAGGCGTTGAGCCACGGCGCCCGGCCCAAAAGTAATTTTTTAAAAAATCCTTGTTACTTCATGAATAGCAGAGAGCACCCTACAAACTCCTTCTGTCTTTGGATCCTTTCACAGGGCGCGCGCGCACGCGTGTGTGTGTGTGGTGTGTGTATTTAAGATATATTTTAACAAAGGCTTTCTGCAGAGCAAGGTTTCTTTTCTTTTTTCCCTTAGACAGAGTCTTGCTCCGTTGTCCAGGCTGGAGTGTAGCGGCATGATTATAGCTCACTGCAGCCTCAAACTCCCAGGCTCAAACAATCCTCCCGCCCCAGCTTCCCAAGTAGGCACACACCACTGTGCCTGGCTAATATTTTATTTATTTATTTATTTATTTATTTATTTATTTATTTATTTATTGTAGAGACAGGGTCTCACTAAGGACCTCTTATTCTATGGTCTAAACCAGAAGGCAATAAAGGTCAAAGAAATGGCAAGATAGAGCCATGAGAGGGGAATTTACTGCAATATTGGGCCCCATAACTACTAACATGCTTATTATTTACCAGTAGGCTAAAAGGCTAGAAAAAATGGAATACTTCTATTTTGTGACTTTCACATTTATAATTTTTTAAAGTTATACAAGTTACTTTAAAAAAGATTTGGACCAGGTGTGGTGGCTCACGCCTGTAATCCCAACACTTTGGGAGGCCAAGGCAGGAAGATCTCTTGAGGCCAGGAGTTCAAAACCAGCCTGCTCAACATAGCAAGACCCCATCTCTACAAAAGTAAAATAAAAGAATTAGCCGGGTGTGGTCGCACATGCTTATAATCCCAGCATTTTGGGAGGCTAAGGCAGAAGATCACTTGAGCCCAAGAATTCAAGGCTGCAGTGAGCGATGACTGCACCACTGCACTCCCGCCTGGGCAACAGAGTGAGATGCTGTCTTAAAAATAATAATAATAATTTGAATAGTATGGCAGTATGCAAAATGAAAAGTCAAAGTTCACTTCCCTGTTGCCTTACCACTCCACTGAATCCACTCTCCATGGTAGTCACTGTTAACAGTTTATTTCCTTCCAGGCCTTTTTCTATGCATATATACTTTGATGTGTATACGTATACACACATATATGTATATGTGTATATTTATGTAGTTTTTGTATTACTTTACAAAATATAGGCTCATATTCATATTGTTTTGAAACTTGCTTGACTTAATAATATATTATAGCTATTCTTTTAGGAAAGTCAACATGGATATAGCTCCTTTTTGCAGAGCTGCAAGGAATGCTATCATATTGACATAACACAGGTTACTAAACCATTCCTTTATTAATGGACATTAGCAGTGTCTTTAATGTTTAACTTTTATGACAAGACAGCAATGAACATTCTTGTACATATATTTTTGTACACTTCGAGTAGAGTTTGGGGTGCAGGAGTAGGTACATTTAAAATGTTGATAGATACTGCAGCATGGCTACACTAAATTCTACTAAACAATAATGTTCAACCATTTATTCTAGCATTCTTTTCCCATTAAATCATTAGATAGATTCCTAGATTCAGGAAATGACCTCAGAAAACAAACCCCTCAATTTGTATATGAGAAAACAAAGGTTCAGAGAGGTTAATGTTATGGGCCCAAGACCTCGGAGCCCCTGAAGAGATAACACACCCATGTGCTAGCAGGGGTTCAGTGATAGAGGGGTTATTATGAAAATCCAGCAATGCAATATGGGTTAACTGACTTCAAATGTAATATGTGTTCTATGAGAGATACTAACAAGTAGGAAAGGGGACTAATGATCATCTCCTTTTCCTTGCCTAACCTCAATAAGAAAAGAAAAAGGCAGTAAATTACTAAAAGATACAATAGTAAGAAGGTACAGAGAGGGAGTATTCACAAACTAGGTGGGTAACAGGCACCCAGAGCTGAAGGTGTCATAAGTTCAGCTGCATGAAGCGAGCAAGTGTGGTGGAAAAGACTTTGACATGGGATGACCTTAGCAAAAACCTTCCACAGCCTCAGTGGGTTGTATGAAAAGTTTCTTGGTTCTAAATATCTCCATGTGGCATCCAAAATGAGTGCCAGTACTGAAACCAAATTCTGAAGAGAAATATCAGAAAAGAACTAACATCCCACAATGAAGAAACATCTTCAAAGAAGATGTTGTTATAAAAATACCACGAAAGTACTTTCCAACAAATTCCAGACCTAAAAGTAAGGCTTTAAAATGAGGCTCCAAGTACAGAAGTCTTGAATCCTTTGCTCTGTGCCTGAAGAGGCCCATTTAAAGGAAGGCACTTCTCACTAGATAACAGTCTGTACTTGACCAGATCTATGGCAATGAGAAGATAGGCACTGTAGCTTTTGAAGTTAGAATGGTCTAGAACAGGGATCAGTAAACTTTTTCTGTAAAAGGCTGACAGTAACTACTTTTGGCTTTGCAGGCCATATGGTCTTGGTTGCAACTAATCAACTGGGCTGTTGTAGGGCAAAAAACAGCCATAAGCAACATAGATAATGAATAAGCATGGCCATGTTCCAATGCAACTTTATGGTCGCAGAAATCTGAATTTCATATAATTTTCATAAAACATTATTCTTGTTTTAATTTTTTCCAACCATTTAAAAATGTAAAAACCATTCTTAGCTCATGGGTTGTACATAAACAGGTAGTAGGCTAGATTTAGCCTGTGGGCCATAATTTGCCAACTGTGGTACAGAAGCACCTATTCCCAACTGAACTGAACTTGAATGTTCGTGGAAAGATGAAAACATCTAAGCCTAGCCCCTAGGAAAGTTAAGGCAGAAAGGGAGATATACGTTCTTAAAGGGTTTCAGGTGCTTACCTTAAATCCCTTCTCTTGCTGAACTCCTCTGGTGGAATTGTCCATGGCAGGCCTTGAGGAAGACATTCTAGAACTTCTGAAGAGAAATCAGAGAAATCCACGCCATACTCTGTTAGTATTCCTTCTGTTTCAGGCTCAATTTCACCAGCCTGCCCAAGACTCTTAGCCAGCTGCCTATGGATAGAACAGAAACGGAATAACTGGGTTAGCAAACAAATGGAACATAGGTACCTGTCTCCTCTCTAAAAGTAAAGTAGTGGGAAAGTTTAAAATCTCCTGCCCTTCCACCAGTAGAAACATGATCATCCGTAAATCACTGGCAATGGGAAAGCAGAAGACACAGTAATGCTCTTCTCCTGTTAAATCGGTAACTACAGTGTAATTTCACCTTTTTTTATTTGACATTCTGACTTGAGAAACAGAGCCAGAAGGCTTTCCTTAGGACCCCTCCAATTGTTCTTCACAGAGAAGTCAAAATTGATATTATGATCAATCCAGTGTGCTATTAAATCATTAGTTTCAGAGTGCCTGTACGTTAAGTCATGCTTACTAGATTAATTCTGATGTTCCTATTTCACAACTCTACCAGTTTTTAATCTTTAAAATTTTAAAATATTTTATCTAAACACAAAAGTAATATACGTTCATTGCAAAGAAGTTAGAAAACACAAAATCCACTGAGAAGAAAATTAAAATTATCCATAAACCAGTCACCCATGCACATTTTAGGGCACTGGCCCATTAAAAATAAAATTGCATTTAACAGGACAATGCTAACATTATGAACAGGGTTCCACCTTTCAGAAGGCAGATCTCACTCCTTACCAAATTGACAGCTCTCTATTCTCATAAGCATTGTCATGCCACATACAGATCACAAGTCTAAATTTGTGCGTTGAATACAGGCAGCCAACAGGAAATGTGTTATGGGCCTTGGCTGCCTTTGTAGAGGGTATTGCGGAGACCAAAAATGGCCATCTCCTCTGTTGTACAAGTCTACTTATCTACCAGGGTGCTCCAAGAGTCCGCCCTCAGCACTTTCTGCAAGAAATTTAGCTATGGCATCAGGACATTCTCTCAGGCTATTCGATTTCTATGAAAAAGGTTCTGTTTCCTAAATAAGGGTAGATGCTTGGCTGCTGGAGTTCTTATGTGCACAGTGGTAAAGAGGAATAGGGGAGGTGGTTGCCTCATAAGCAGACTTTTAACAAATTCCAATCTTCAGCCTTGCCACTGGAATGCAGCAGTGATGGCAGCAGGGCTGGCCCCATTTCTCACACTAGTCAAGAGAGACCAGCCCAGTCTACTTGTGCACCCGCCCACCAGCCTATGATCTCGGCAGCCTGCAGACTGACCTGTGGGCTCCTCCCATATGATGTGGACTCAGAAGAGTACTTTCTCCACAAATGGGTGGTCTCTCCCATAAAACACATCAAAAAGCCAGACAGCAAAAATATGAGAGAAAAATTAACAGAAAGCAATCTGGAAAATCCCCAAATATGTGGAAATCCAACAACCCATAGGTTAAAGAAGAAATAAAAAAAGAATTAGAAAATATTTTGGACCAGGTGCAGTGGCTCACGCCTGTAATCCTAGCACTTTGGGAGGCTGAGGCAGGCGGATCACAAGGTCAGGAGATCGAGACCATCCTGGCCAACATGGTGAAACCCCGTCTCTATCAAAAATACAAAAATTAGCTGGGCGTGGTGATGCGTGCCTATAATCCCAGCTACTCAGGAGACTGAAGCAGGAGAATCCCTTGAACCAGAGAGTCAGAGGTTGCGGTGAGCCGAGATCATGCCAGTGCACTCCAACCTGGTGACAGAGTGAGACTGTCTCCAAAAAAAAAAAAATTGAACTGGGGTCAGGCACGGTGGCTCACATCTGTAATCCCATCACTTTGGGAGGCCAAGGCGGGTGGATCACTTGAGGCTAGGAGTTTGAGACCAGCCTGGCCAACGTGGTGAAACCCCGTTTCTACTAAAAATACAAAACTTAGCTGGGTGTGGTGGTACACACCTGTAATTCCAGCTATTCGGGTGGCTGAGGCAAAGGAATCACTTAAATCCAGGAAATGGAGGTTGCAGCGAGCCAAGATGGCATTACTGCACTGCAGGCTGGGCGACAGAGCGAGATGCTATCTCAAAAAAGAAAGGAAAGGAAGTAATGGAGAGAGGGAGGAAGGGAATTTTGAATTGAATGAAAACATAACATGTCAACATTTGTGAGAAGTAGCTAAAATAGTGGTTGGAGGGTAATTTACAGCATTAAATGCTCACATCGGAAAGGAAGAAAAGTGTCAAATCAGTGATCTAAGCTTCTACGTTAAAAAACTGAAGAACAAATTAGATTCCAGGTAAGGAGAAGGACAGAAATAATGAAGAAACAAGAATCAATGAATAGAAAATGAACAAATAGGCTGGGCGCGGTGGCTCACGCCTGTAATCCCAGCACTTTGGGAGGCCAAGGCAGGAGGATCATGAGGTCAAGAGATTGAGACCATCCTGGTCAACATGGTGAAACCCCGTCTCCACTAAAAATACAAAAATTAGCTGGGCGTGATGGTGCATGCCCGCAGTCCCAGCTACTCTGGAGGCTTAGACAGGAGAAACGCTTGAACCCGGGAGGCGGAGGTTGCGGTGAGCCGAGATCACGCCACTGTACTCCAGCCTGGGCAACAGAGTGAGAGTCTGTCTCAAAAAAACAAACAAACAAACAAACAAAAATGAATGAATAATGAAAACAAATCAATAAAACAAAAAACTAATTCTATTTTTTAGACAGGGTCTCACTCTGTCACCCAGGCAGAAGTGCAGTGGCACAATCATGGCCCACTGCAGCCTCGACTTCCCAGGCTCAAGCAATACTCCCACCTCAGCCTCCTGAGTAGCTGAGGCCCATCTAATTTTTGTATTTTTTGTAGAGATGGGGTTTTGCCACGTCGCCCAGGCTGGGACTCGAACTCCTGAGCTCAAGCAATCTGCCCACCTCGGCCTCCCAAAGTGCTGGGATTACAGCTTTGAGCCACCACACCTGGCTCAAAAGCTAATTCTTTGAAAAGAGAAAAACAGATAAATTTCTAGCCTGACTGATCAAGAAAAACAAGGAGGGAAAAACACAAATTACCAATATCAAGAATGAGAGAGGAGACACCATTTTACATCCCACAAGCATTAAAAGGATAAGGGAATAATGAATGACTTTAAGACAATAAATTCAACATCTTGGATGAAATGGGCAAATTCCTTGAAAGATGCAAACTGCCTAGGATAATTAAAATAAATTGATACTTGAATATTCCTATTTAATCTACCTATTATCTATTTTATCTAATGTATCTATTAAAGAAACTGAATTCACAGTTTGAAACCTTCCCACATAGAAAACTCCAGACCCAGATGGCTTCACTGGTGAATTCTACCAAGTATTTAAGAAAGAATTATTGCCAATTCTACATAAACTCTTCTAGAATAAAGAGGTAGATGGCATACTTTCCAACTAGTTTAATGAAGACAGCAGTACCTTGATATCAAAACCAAAGGATTAATGAGATCAATACCTCTCATAGACTTAAAATTCTTACAAAGGTATATCAGTTATTGAAAAAGAAAATTTAAAACTTCTTACAAGGTCATTAGCAAATAGAATTCAGTAATATATAAAAAAGGTGATACATCATGACCAAATAATGCAAGATTTGTCCAACAATGAAACATCAATCAATACAACATATTAACAAACAAAAAACAAACACATATAATCATCTCAGTAAATGAAGAAAAAGCATTTGACAAAATTTCAACATTCACTTAAGATAAAAGCCCTCAGCACATGAGTAACAGGAATTTCTTCAACTTGGTTAAAGGCCTCTATGAGAATCCTAGCACTAATGTAAAACTTAGTGGTGAAAAGTGAAATGCTTTCCCTTGGAGCAGAAAGAAGACAAAGTGTTCATTTTCACCAATACTATTTAACATTGTACTGGAGGTACTAGTGAATGCCATAAAGTAAGAAAAAGAAGGGGCATACAAACTGGAAAGGAAGAATTGCACGTTGCCTATAAGCAGGACAAAGGACTACAATTCCCGTCATGGAAGTGACCAGCTTCCTACTACATAATGCCTGGCCTCTCTTTATACAAGCCTCCTCTCACTCTGTGAGAACCAAAATCCAGTACACTGTGTGTGACTTAAACTCTGCCTCAACTCAAGACTTTGAATGTGTAGACAGAAACACAAAGACAAAAGGCTGCTTAGGATTCACTCATGACAGCTAGAATGGCTTCTCGTGATAGCAGCGGTGGCAGCAGCATCCAGTGAAAATGGTGTCCTGCAAGAGTGGTGGTAAGAGAATAACTGGCATTACAGCCAAACTAATCCTGATAAAAGATGATGGTTGGGCTTCTTGTTCTTGGCTTTCCAGAGCTGCCTTAGTTCACATCCCTTTTCAGGTCATTCAAGTCTTTTGCTCAGTGAGCTCTTCAGTATCCTCCCAATAAATTCCTTTCCCAACCAGAGTTGGTTTTTCTTGCTTGTAACCAGGAACCCAGACAATTAAAGACTCAGGTCCCATTAATTTTCAAAATGACTAAATTATTACCTGTGTTCACTAGAGTGAAGTTCCAACTGAAGATATGGGGGACCTATTATCCCAACCTTTGAAATTTGAAGGACACAGGAATTCAACACTGTGAGTACAAGACGAATACTTATAACAATGTTGTTTAGGTTAAAGACAACTTTATTCTGGTGATGACAGGTAATAATTAGTAATTTTAAAAATTATTTTGTATTCTGAAAATTAATGGAATCTGAGTTACTTCCAACCCATCTAACTCATTTATTATTCTCACAGGTCCCTGAGGTTCTGTTTCCTACATTCGTCTCCTAATATCAATGTCTTTAACTGTCTGTCTGGGTTCTTGTTTGTAAGCACAAAAGACCAGTGCTGTTTGGAAAAGAAAAAAAGAAATTTCTTGAAAGGATATCAAAGGGCTCACAGAAACAGTGAGAAGCTTCGAGAGCCAGAAAAAGGGGGAGAAACAAAGAATTACATGCTTCATCTCTAAATTCTTCATTCTAAATTCCTCATTTCTAAGACTGAAAGTTAGGGACTTAGTATGTCCAACAAAAAAGTATCTTGAATCTCTTGTAGCTGCCAGGCTAAGACAGAAAAAACAAATTGAAAGGGTGATGAATCATTACACCATTGAATTTAAGGTCTCATTAAGTCACTTAGGTGAAAAGTAGGACACTCATCAGACAGAGTAAGATTCAGAGAACCCGAACACACACATGCACACACACACACACACACACACACACACGATATAAAGGAGGATGCAGAAAGGTTTGAGTACCTTGAATGCCTAGTTCCAACTGACCCTCCATTGTCATGAGTCATAAATGGACACGATAGCATTAAATCCATTGTAAGGGATGGTCTCTGAAAAGACAATATAGCAGAAACTTTCTCCCAGTGGGCAGAACTTCAAGCCCTATGTCCGTGGTCCACTTTAGCTGAGGAAGGACAACCTGATAGGCTGATAGGCAGTGACTACAAGTTTAACCAGATGGATAGGGACCTGAAAGAAGAAAGATTGGAGTACTGGTGACAAGGGCATCTAGGGAAAAGACATGTGGATGAAATGGGCCCACTGAAATGAGTCCAGACAGGGTATAACTATTTGTGCTCCATGAGAGTGCACAGTGAAAGGCTCCCACTGTGGAGGCAGGATGGCCTGCGCCCGTGTATGTCCCCATCGCTGCAGTGCTTGCTCAAGGGACATAGGAACAAAGCACAAGGCAGCAGGAAATGCACTCCACAACATTCACTTCTCACTAATGCTGACCTGAATACCATTCTTGCAGGATGCTAGCTTGCCAGCAGCAGCAACCAACTCTGAGCACCTGATACACAGCCATGCCAGGAGGACCCCCAACTACTTCACATCAGATCGCATCCAGTGAGCTCTTTTAGGATGGGAAAGGCAGTAATTCCTCCACTAAAAGAGACACTTACTCTAGGTTTGCTATCTGCATTTCTTCTACCTATATTGCTTATGTAAACACCACAATCCTCAGATTTACGAAATATCTTTTAAGCTATTATCGCACTCAACATTGTTTGTAATTAAGGACTTCACCTTTTGGAAGAAGCAAAGCCCATACATTTCACTGACTGGCATGATGTAATGATCTGACTTACTAAGCTGTTGGACTAACCAGGAGGCATCAGTTGTGAGGGGGGAGTGCCATCCTCCAGGATGCATTGGTGCTCTGATTTAGCATCCTACAGGCAGTGTACATGGTTTGGGAAGAAAGAATGCAAGGGAGGAGTCAGGCCTTTCAATATCACACTTAAGACCCACACATAAAATATTTAGTTTTGCCTACATAATGCTCATCTCTACAGTTGAAAGGTTTTAGTACCTCTGGGGACATAATTATGATTCCTCTGAATTGGAATCTGAGACTACAAGAACCCTGACTGATATTAAAAGGCAGAAAATATGCTATGTACTTTCCTTCCCAAAAAAAACTTATGTGCAACTCAAGCCAACTGAGAGGTTACTCAGAAGTAATAATTCAAGAATGGCAACAACAATATAAAGAAGTTAATAATATATTATTTTGAGGCACAGAAAATTGCCAATATGACCATTTATTAACATATAAAACACAGTTTCTTCTGATTCTACCTAATAGTATTAAAAGTTACATAAAATAACTAACCATCCATTAATTAGATAGCATACATAGCTTCTGGGAGAAGTATAAAAATGAGATATACCACATAGAGTTTATTAGAGAACTACACTAATACGAAAAGAAACAAATTCTTCTATGTGGTGGGAGTCTCAGTGTTTGTGAGGCTGACCTAGAACACAGTGACCATACTATTCTCACCTTGAAGTTAAGAGTGAGTGAAGTTGGAATGCTATCCTCCAGGATACAATACGGACCTAAATGATTGTCTTATGCCTAAAATAGAAAAGGGGCTAAAAACTTAGACAAAAAGCATTTTATAATGTCCAGTTTTTTAAATATAATACTAAAGTCCAGGAAGAACTCACTATTTAAAGATTCCAGGGAGGGAGAGTAGAAGGAACCATCCAAACATTCTATTAAAAAAAAAACCCACATTTAAAAGGAAAAAAAGGAGCAAGAAAAAGAAATGGCAGAAGGACAAAACAATCTCTATAAGCATATAACCACAGAAATGACCAAAGATACTCTCAAGAACTCCCAAAAATATAAGCTTTATAAAACAAGAGCTTGAAGCAAAGATGCAAGTGCATAAGGAATAAGTAAGTCATGAAAGGAAACAAAAACTAGGTTTTTAGACCTCAGGAAATAAGTAGAAAAGAACGATAAAACTATCACAGAAAGTGAAAGTCATACTGGAAATACCTAATGAAGAACTGACACTATTTGAAAGCCATAAGGATCATAGAGTAAAATCTTGAGAAAAGTGAGGAAAATGAAACTGGGCAAGTAGAGTTTAAAAAGATAACAAAGAAAACAGACAGATGTGAAAGGCAGACCAAGGAGTTCCAGGCATCCTTGAAATACAGAGCTAGAGATGAGGAATAGAAAACATTTTCTAAGATTCTTTGGAATAGAAAACTTTTTTTTTTTTTTTAGATGGAGTCTCACTCTGTCGCCCAGGCTGGAGTGCAGGGGCGCGATCTCAGCTCACTGCAAGCTCCGCCTCCCGGGTTCACACCATTCTCCTGCCTCGGCCTCCCGAGTAGCTGGGACTACAGGCACCCGCCACAACACCTGGCTAATTTTTTGTATTTTTAGTAGAGACGGGGTTTCACCATGTTAGCCAGGATAGTCTCAATCTCCTGACCTCGTGATCTGCCCGCCTCGGCCTCCCAAAGTGCTGGGATTACAGGCGTGAGCCACCACGCCTGGCCAGAAAACATTTTCTATTCCTCATCTCTAGATCCTTCCTTCGGCATAACTGAAGGAAGGAGCTAGAGATGAAGAAAAGAAAACATTTTCCAAGATCATTAAGAAAACTTTTCTGAAATAAAGAAAATTTAGGTTTACAGAAAGGTAAGTCTCAGAAAAGAAAATTACAGAAAATCACCAATGAAATATATTCTAGTGGAGTTACTGGATTTCAAAGATAAAGATTTCTAAATACAAGAACTCAGGGAATATAGTTCTCATAAGCCCTTTCTGAAAAACTGCAAAGTGATGAACTGAGGTGTACCAAGAGATGGAGAAATTCCTCCACAAAGACTGGCGCTGAGCACTAGATCCATGAATGGAGTGGTGGGAGGGTGAGGAGGAGGGAGGACAAAAGGAAGCAAGTGAAGTGATGGACCTGATATTAGTTGTTAAAACAGTCCTGTCATACCAGTTATTGGACCTTTAGAAAATTAAGGAGGGGGGAGGAGCCAAGATGGCTGAATAGGAACAGCTCCGGTCTACAGCTCCCAGCGTGAGCGACGCAGAAGACGGGTGATTTCTGCATTTCCATCTGAGGTACCGGGTTCATCTCACTAGGGAGTGCCAGACAGTGGGCGCAGGCCAGTGTGTGTGCTCACCGTGCGCGAGCCGAAGCAGGGCGAGGCATTGCCTCACCTGGGAAGCGCAAGGGGTCAGGGAGTTCCCTTTCCGAGTCAAAGAAAGGGGTGACGGACGCACCTGGAAAATCGGGTCACTCCCACCCGAATATTGCGCTTTTCAGACCGGCTTAAGAAACGGCGCACCACGAGACTATATCCCACACCGGGCTCAGAGGGTCCTACGCCCACGGAATCTCGCTGATTGCTAGCACAGCAGTCTGAGATCAAACTGCAAGGCGGCAACGAGGCTGGGGGAGGGGCGCCCGCCATTGCCCAGGCTTGCTTAGGTAAACAAAGCAGCTGGGAAGCTCCAACTGGGTGCAGCCCACCACAGCTCAAGGAGGCCTGCCTGCCTCTGTAGGCTCCACCTCTGGGGGCAGGGCACAGACAAACAAAAAGACAGCAGTAACCTCTGCAGACTTAAGTGTCCCTGTCTGACAGCTTTGAAGAGAGCAGTGGTTCTCCCAGCACGCAGCTGGAGATCTGAGAACGGGCAGACTGCCTCCTCAAGTGGGTCCCTGACCCCTGACCCCCGAGCAGCCTAACTGGGAGGCACCCCCCAGCAGGGGCACACTGACACCTCACACGGCAGGGTATTCCAACAGACCTGCAGCTGAGGGTCCTGTCTGTTAGAAGGAAAACTAACAACCAGAAAGGACATCTACACCGAAAACCCATCTGTACATCACCATCATCAAAGACCAAAAGTAGATAAAACCACAAAGATGGGGAAAAAACAGAACAGAAAAACTGGAAACTCTAAAACGCAGAGCGCCTCTCCTCCTCCAAAGGAACGCAGTTCCTCACCAGCAACAGAACAAAGCTGGATGGAGAATGATTTTGACGAGCTGAGAGAAGAAGGCTTCAGACGATCAAATTACTCTGAGCTACGGGAGGACATTCAAACCAAAGGCAAAGAAGTTGAAAACTTTGAAAAAAATTTAGAAGAATGTATAACTAGAATAACCAATACAGAGAAGTGCTTAAAGGAGCTGATGGAGCTGAAAACCAAGGCTCGAGAACTACGTGAAGAAAGCAGAAGCCTCAGGAGCCGATGCGATCAACTGGAAGAAAGGGTATCAGCAATGGAAGATGAAATGAATGAAATGAAGCGAGAAGGGAAGTTTAGAGAAAAAAGAATAAAAAGAAACAAGCAAAGCCTCCAAGAAATATGGGACTATGTGAAAAGACCAAATCTACGTCTCATTGGTGTCACTCTGAAAGTGATGGGGAGAATGGAACCAAGTTGGAAAACACTCTGCAGGATATTATCCAGGAGAACTTCCCCAATCTAGCAAGGCAAGCCAACGTTCAGATTCAGGAAATACAGAGAACGCCACAAAGATACTCCTCGAGAAGAGCAACTCCAAGACACATAATTGTCAGATTCACCAAAGTTGAAATGAAGGAAAAAATGTTAAGGGCAGCCAGAGAGAAAGGTCGGGTTACCCTCAAAGGAAAGCCCATCAGACTAACAGCGGATCTCTCGGCAGAAACCCTACAAGCCAGAAGAGAGTGGGGGCCAATATTCAACATTCTTAAAGAAAAGAATTTTCAACCCAGAATTTCATATCCAGCCAAACTAAGCTTCATAAGTGAAGGAGAAATAAAATACTTTATAGACAAGCAAATGCTGAGAGATTTTGTCACCACCAGGCCTGCCCTAAAAGAGCTCCTGAAGGAAGCGCTAAACATGGAAAGGAACAACCGGTACCAGCCGCTGCAAAATCATGCCAAAATGTAAAGACCATCGAGACTAGGAAGAAACTGCATCAACTAATGAGCAAAATCACCAGCTAACATCATAATGACAGGATCAAATTCACACATAACAATATTAACTTTAAATATAAATGGACTAAATTCTGCAATTAAAAGACACAGACTGGCAAGTTGGATAAAGAGTCAAGACCCATCAGTGTGCTGTATTCAGGAAACCCATCTCACGTGCAGAAACACACATAGGCTCAAAATAAAAGGATGGAGGAAGATCTACCAAGCCAATGGAAAACAAAAAAAGGCAGGGGTTGCAATCCTAGTCTCTGATAAAACAGACTTTAAACCAACAAAGATCAAAAGACACAAAGAAGGCCATTACATAATGGTAAAGGGATCAATTCAACAAGAGGAGCTAACTATCCTAAATATTTATGCACCCAATACAGGAGCACCCAGATTCATAAAGCAAGTCCTGAGTGACCTACAAAGAGACTTAGACTCCCACACATTAATAATGGGAGACTTTAACACCCCACTGTCAACATTAGACAGATCAACGAGACAGAAAGTCAACAAGGATACCCAGGAATTGAACTCAGCTCTGCACCAAGCAGACCTAATAGACATCTACAGAACTCTCCACCCCAAATCAACAGAATATACATTTTTTTCAGCACCACACCACACCTATTCCAAAATTGACCACATACTTGGAAGTAAAGCTCTCCTCAGCAAATGTAAAAGAACAGAAATTATAACAAACTATCTCTCAGACCACAGTGCAATCAAACTAGAACTCAGGATTAAGAATCTCACTCAAAGCCGCTCAACTACATGGAAACTGAACAACCTGCTCCTGAATGACTACTGGGTACATAACGAAATGAAGGCAGAAATAAAGATGTTCTTTGAAACCAACGAGAACAAAGACACAACATACCAGAATCTCTGGGACGCATTCAAAGCAGTGTGTACAGGGAAATTTATAGCACTAAATGCCTACAAGAGAAAGCAGGAAAGATCCAAAATTGACACCCTAACATCACAATTAAAAGAACTAGAAAAGCAAGAGCAAACACATTCAAAAGCTAGCAGAAGGCAAGAAATAACTAAAATCAGAGCAGAACTGAAGGAAATAGAGACACAAAAAACCCTTCAAAAAATCAATGAATCCAGGAGCTGGTTTTTTGAAAGGATCAACAAAATTGATAGACCGCTAGCAAGACTAATAAAGAAAAAAAGAGAGAAGAATCAAATAGACACAATAAAAAATGATAAAGGGGATATCACCACCGATCCCACAGAAATACAGACTACCATCAGAGAATACTACAAACACCTCTACGCAAATAAACTAGAAAATCTAGAAGAAATGGATACATTCCTCGACACATACACTCTCCCAAGACTAAACCAGGAAGAAGTTGAATCTCTGAATAGACCAATAACAGGAGCTGAAATTGTGGCAATAATCAATAGTTTACCAACCAAAAAGAGTCCAGGACCAGATGGATTCACAGCCGAATTCTACCAGAGGTACAAGGAGGAACTGGTACCATTCCTTCTGAAACTATTCCAATCAATAGAAAAAGAGGGAATCCTCCCTAACTCATTTTATGAGGCCAGCATCATTCTGATACCAAAGCCGGGCAGAGACACAACCAAAAAAGAGAATTTTAGACCAATATCCTTGATGAACATTGATGCAAAAATCCTCAATAAAATACTGGCAAACCGAATCCAGCAGCACATCAAAAAGCTTATCCACCATGATCAAGTGGGCTTCATTCCTGGGATGCAAGGCTGGTTCAATATACGCAAATCAATAAATGTAATCCAGCATATAAACAGAGCCAAAGACAAAAACCACATGATTATCTCAATAGATGCAGAAAAAGCCTTTGACAAAATTCAACAACCCTTCATGCTAAAAACTCTCAATAAATTAGGTATTGATGGGACGTATCTCAAAATAATAAGAGCTATCTATGACAAACCCACAGCCAATATCATACTGAATGGGCAAAAACTGGAAGCATTCCCTTTGAAAACTGGCACAAGACAGGGATGCCCTCTCTCACCGCTCCTATTCAACATAGTGTTGGAAGTTCTGGCCAGGGCAGTCAGGCAGGAGAAGGAAATAAAGGGTATTCAATTAGGAAAAGAGGAAGTCAAATTGTCCCTGTTTGCAGACGACATGATTGTTTATCTAGAAAACCCCATCGTCTCAGCCCAAAATCTCCTTAAGCTGATAAGCAACTTCAGCAAAGTCTCAGGATACAAAATCAATGTACAAAAATCACAAGCATTCCTATACACCAACAACAGACAAACAGAGAGCCAAATCATGAGTGAACTCCCATTCACAATTGCTTCAAAGAGAATAAAATACCTAGGAATCCAACTTACAAGGGATGTGAAGGACCTCTTCAAGGAGAACTACAAACCACTGCTCAAGGAAATAAAAGAGGATACAAACAAATGGAAGAACATTCCATGCTCATGGGTAGGAAGAATCAATATCGTGAAAATGGCCATACTGCCCAAGGTAATTTACAGATTCAATGCCATCCCCATCAAGCTACCAATGACTTTCTTCACAGAATTGGAAAAAACTACTTTAAAGTTCATATGGAACCAAAAAAGAGCCCGCATCGCCAAGTCAATCCTAAGCCAAAAGAACAAAGCTGGAGGCATCACACTACCTGACTTCAAACTATACTACAAGGCTACAGTAACCAAAACAGCACGCTACTGGTACCAAAACAGAGATATAGATCAATGGAACAGAACAGAGCCCTCAGAAATAACGCCGCTTACCTACAACTATCTGATCTTTGACAAACCTGAGAAAAACAAGCAATGGGGAAAGGATTCCCTATTTAATAAATGGTGCTGGGAAAACTGGCTAGCCACATGTAGAAAGCTGAAACTGGATCCCTTCCTTACACCTTATACAAAAATCAATTCAAGATGGATTAAAGATTTAAACGTTAGACCTAAAACCATAAAAACCCTAGAAGAAAACCTAGGCATTACCATTCAGGACATAGGCGTGGGCAAGGACTTCATGTCCAAAACACCAAAAGCAATGGCAACAAAAGCCAAAATTGACAAATGGGATCTAATTAAACTAAAGAGCTTCTGCACAGCAAAAGAAACTACCATCAGAGTGAACAGGCAACCTACAACATGGGAGAAAATTTTTGCAACCTACTCATCTGACAAAGGGCTAATATCCAGAATCTACAATTAACTCAAACAAATTTACAAGAAAAAAACAAACAACCCCATCAAAAAGTGGGCGAAGGACATGAACAGACACTTCTCAAAAGAAGACATTTATGCAGCCAAAAAACACATGAAAAAATGCTCATCATCACTGGCCATCAGAGAAATGCAAATCAAAACCACTATGAGATATCATCTCACACCAGTTAGAATGGCAATCATTAAAAAGTCAGGAAACAACAGGTGCTGGAGAGGATGTGGAGAAATAGGAACACTTTTACACTGTTGGTGGGACTGTAAACTAGTTCAACCATTGTGGAAGTCAGTGTGGCGATTCCTCAGGGATCTAGAACTAGAAATACCATTTGACCCAGCCATCCCATTACTGGGTATATACCCAAAGGACTATAAATCATGCTGCTATAGAGACACATGCACACGTATGTTTATTGCGGCACTATTCACAATAGCAAAGACTTGGAACCAACCCAAATGTCCAACAATGATAGACTGGATTAAGAAAATGTGGCACAAATACACCATGGAATACTATGCAGCCATAAAAATGATGAGTTCATATCCTTTGTAGGGACATGGATGAAATTGGAAACCATCATTCTCAGTAAACTATCGCAAGAACAAAAAACCAAACACCGCATATTCTCACTCATAGGTGGGAATTGAACAATGAGATCACATGGACACAGGAAGGGGAATATCACACTCTGGGGACTGTGGTGGGGTCGGGGGAGGGGGGAGGGATAGCATTGGGAGATATACCTAATGCTAGATGACACATTAGTGGGTGCAGCACACCAGCATGGCACATGTATACATATGTAACTAACCTGCACAATGTGCACATGTACCCTAAAACTTAGAATATAATAAAAAAAAAAAAAAAACTTTTAAGCGCTGGAATGAAAGATTTGCTTACATTCTGAAGCTGGTGCAGGGTATCTTTTTTAAGCCTTCTTTGGCATCTCATTTTCACGCACCATCTGAGATGACTTGGAAAACACCAGAAAATAACAACACTACTTCCACAAAACAACTGCCTGGACAGTGCCTATTTCTACAGCCATCATTTATAGAACTCTTTTTCTGGGGAGAAGTTTTATTTTAAGTGTCAATACTAAAAGATGGTATATTTGGAGTTGGCTGCTTCAATCAGTAAATGTAGTCAGCACTGACTCAGAAACAGCTTATTTTTAATAATTGGAAGAAGAAATATTTCTAGCTGTTAGTTTTAAATGGCTACAAAGGAAAGAAATTATTTTTTTGGAATTATTAGCTTGCCATATGTGTAGATTAAGAAGGCTGTGTAAAAAAAAAAAAAAAAAAAAAAAAGAAAGAAAATTAAGGAGAAAAAAAATTTTTCATCTTTTTTGGAGCTTTGTAAAGTTCTGACACAATGTTTTACCAGGTTATACTCTGAGTCCAAAGAGTCTCAATTTGTTTACTCAAATTACAACATGGCTCATAAAGACAAAATTATATTTTAGTTATGGTTTCCAAATGTGATCAATGACTCCAAGTTCCTATTAGTAGTAATTAACATTTATTTTACGAGTTCCAGAGAACATTTCTCAAGTTCCTTATTTAAATAAATTTATTACGGACTTTCATTGGAGATCTATTTTACAGCAGCATAGACTGGACAGCTTATGGCAGATAAAAATCTAACAGATCAGCATGCTGAAAGAGCTCATGCTTTGGGGGCCTTAGATGCCCTAGAAAGAATCCTATCTTGGCCGGGTGCGGTGGCTCACACAGGTAATCCCAGCACTTTGGGAGGCCAAGGCGGGTGGATCACGAAGTCAAGAGATCGAGACTATCCTGGCCAACATGGTGAAACCCCATCTCTACTAAAAATATAAAAATTGCTGGGCATGATGGTGCGCACCTGTAATCTCAGTTACTTGGGAGGTTGAGGCAGGAGAATCGCTTGAACCCAGGAAGCAGAGGTTGCAGTGAGCCGAGATTGAACCACTGTACTCCAGCCTGGCGACACAGTGAGACTCCGTCAAAAGAAAAGAGGGGAGGGGAGGGGAGGGGAGGGGACAGGAGAAGAGAGGAGAGGAGAGGAGAGGAGAGGAGAAAAGAGGGGAGCGGAGGGGAGGGGAGGGGAGGGGAGGAAAGGGAGGGGAGGGAAGGGAAGGGAAGAGAAGAGAAAAGAGAATCCTATCCTGTCTACTTAGTCATGAACTCTTCTGTCACCTTGAAAACCAGAATTCTTTGGTAGGTAAACAAAGCCAAATTCTACTAGGGAACTGACTTTTACATTGTGTATTTGTCTTGCAGAAGGGTTTATTTTTATATTTTAAATTTAATTTCATTGTAAATTCTATTTAAAATGAATCATGAAAGTAACTTTCCCTTTTATGTAATGTAGTTCAAATGTTACAACTTTCTAAGTAGTTTCTGTCTTCTGCTTACTGTCTGAAAAGATAACAGCTGCTTTAGGACAACTATGATTCAATGTTATGTCAAAATATCTGGTGATTCTCTTAAAAACCACATTTCATCCTATTCTGCATTAAAATATGTCCTTCAAAAATAACTTAGAAGCTCTCATAGTCAAGAGGAATCTAAAGAGACAAGACAACTAAATGTAATATGAGATCCTGGAATAGATAAAGGACATTAGATTTTTAAAAACAAGAAAGTTTGAAGAAAGTACGGACCTCCATTAATAATGTATCAATATTGGTTAAGAGAAAAAAACTAGTTTTGGAGGAGGAGAGAAGGGGCAGGTGAGAACTGTACTATCTTGACAATTTTCTGTAAATCTAAATCTGTTCTGAAACATAAAGTTTATTTTTATGGGCCGGACATGCTAGCTCACGCCTGTAATCCCAGCACTTTGGGAGGCTGAGGTGGGAGGATCACTTGAGCCCAGGAGTTCAAGACCTGTTTGGACAACACAGCAAGACCCCATTCCTATTTATTAATTAATTAATTAAAATTAAGTTTATTTTAAAAATCTTGGAGCAGAAAAGGAGTAAAAGTAATTTAGATGTCAAGCAACAGATAAATGATAAACTAAACCATGTCATATTTTTCAATTTTTTATGTATTTCACAAAAAGAATTTTGAAGATGTATGTAGAGTATGATTTAACTAAGTAAAAACATTTATGAAAATGCTGAAAGGGACAAATGGTGTTAATTATTTGAGAGAGGATTCTGAGTGACTTTTTAATCTATTTTCTAAGCTTCCTTTAATATCACAAAGTTGGAGGTTTTTTAATTTAAAAATTATACAAAAAATAATTATAACAAAAACTAGAGTGCCCAATATTGGTTTGCTACCCAACATTCACTTCTGTCTTCCTCCTTCCTCACAAAAATCTAGTTTTCATACAGGAAACACATCTCACCTTCAGCTCCAGTGACAGATACTAATTATTCTAATAAATTCAGTGTATGGCCTCCCCTGGTGACTGTAGTCAATAGCATTGTTGGCAGACAGGGTCTCCCTTTTTGTGTCACATGTCATCAAGAAAGCAGGTAGCCTAATCATACTGGCAGCCATCTTCACAACCATAGAGAAACCACCACTGGATTGCTGAGGACAGCAAAAGGCAACCTGATAACATCATCCAGTCACTGACTTTACTGGGTCTGCAGCTGCACAACCTTTGAATTCCCACTATATGAGATAATATTTTCTCTTATTAAGTCACTCTGAGTCAGGCATTTTTATAATTTGCTGCTAAAAGCATCCTACTACAAACTATTTAAAAAGATCATCCATGAGAAGCAAACTTCCCTTTCCCTCCATTCACTCTGCAACAGAAAATGTAAAGCTCTTACTACCAAAAATAAAATCTTAGTACTGTTGGCATCATAGATCTTGTAGAGGTATTCACTACACACTGACATGGAACTGCTGGGTTCTAGAGCATAAGAATACCATAAATGGCCCTTCCTTAGGCAACATAATTCTATCCTAAAGGTGCTCCCTTTATAACTTCCATGTTGAACTAGGCCCACAAAGCATATACCCAGATCATTTCATCTTCATGGAATATAGCAGCAAGGCCAGGAAGCCATCCCTGTCTCCTAGAGTGGATCTGCCTCATCAGTACTGTCCCTATCCTTTGGTTATATCCTCTTTCTTGCATGTGCCACTTTCTAGCTGTGTCATGGTGCTTTAGGTATGCCTCTTCCTTATCAATAGATGGGGGGGATCATCCATAAAAAGAATAAACATTTCTTTATTTCTGTGTACCACTGAGACTTGTATGCCTTTGGTGTCCAACACATGTTGGTGACTGAATATGTAAATAAACAAATTAATGCTTTGTACCTATTAGAGAGGCATACTATTCTTCCTTGAAATGCCAAAGGAAAGCTAAGAAAACAGAGGATGGCAAAAACAAATAAAACTCAAAGATAAGTACTTCAGTAAATTATCCAGTCCTACCATAATTAGCTGCCACATTAGCAAACTTATTAACACATCAAAAAATCAGGAATTAAAAAAAATGCCTGCTACTATTGCTTTTATTCAAAACTGAACTTTTATCAGTTACTGTGTGGGAAATACCTCCTCTCCAATTGTGAGTTGCCAATTCAAGATAAGAAAAAGAAATAAAAGTCATACAGATTAGAATGGAAGAAATAAAACTCTCATTACTTACCAATGATGTGATTATCTACATAGAAGAGCCAAAGGAAATTACATCTCAAGTACTGAAATGAATAAGGGGATATGGCAAGATGGCTGGATATAGGATAATGTATAAAAATTAACTGTAATTCTACATGCTGGCAGCAAACAAAAAAGACAACTTCAAACATCTATTCTTCAGAAGATACCATTAATAACAGGAAAAGACAACTCACAAACTGGAGAGAAGATAATTTCCATATCAGTGACTGCTAAAAAGATTACTTTCTGGAATATGTATTTTTAACTCCAAAAAAATCAAATGACAAACAGCCCAATTAAAAATGGGTAAAAGCACCAATGTATGCTAAAATGAATGGGTGAAATTAAGCAGAAACAGAATATTACACAGACTCAAAAAATCTTTCCAAAAATACAGTATAATAATTACAAGGGAAAAAAGTAGTAAGTTAGGAATCATGGCAGATGCCTCCTTAACCAGGTGATCAAGGTGAACATCACCAGTATTACTTACTGACATTATGTGCCCCCGATAAGATGCACATCACCTCTGTGGTATCTTTCCCAATAATGTCTAATCTTGATCTAATCATGAGAGAACATTAGACAAACACAAACTGAGAAACGTTTTACAAAATCACTGGCCAGTACTCTTTAAAAGTGTAAAGTTCGTGAAGGACAAGTAAAGAGTAAGAAATGTCACAAATTGGAGAGACTACAGAGACACAGCTAACTGTATTACGGGATTCTGGACCCAGATTCTGCAACTGAAAGAGAATGTTAGTGGAAATAGTGATAAAATCTGAGTAAGACCTATACTTGGTATCATACCAAGATTAACTGCTTACTTCTGATAAGTATTCCATGGTCATGTAAGATGTAAACATAAGGAGAAGATAGGTTAAAAGATATACAGGAACTCTCTGTTCCATTTTTGCAATTTCTGTAATCAAAATTATCTAAATAAAAAATTAACTGTTAAAAAAATGGGTAAAAACATGAAAACACTGTCTAGAAGAGGAAACATGACCATGAGTATATGGAAAGATGTTCAACCTCATCAGTAATTAGGAAAAAAATAACAAAAATCACCCAACGATTATCACTATTTTTACCCACCTGGCTGGCAAAAATGAGTCTAACAAGTGTAAATAAGAATGTGGAGCAATGGAACTGCATACACACTGCTGGCAGGACTAAAAATGGGTACAATCACTTTGGGAATGGTTTGGCTAGAAAGTTGTAAAGTTAAACATGTACCTATGTATGATTCAGTAATTTCCTTTTTAAGTAGAGTCTAGAAAAACTTTAGTTAATGAGCACTGGAACGTTTTCAGGAGCAAAATCCTCTGTTCAACCCAAATGTACATTGCTAAATTATGGTATATTTCAGAAAATGGAAATATTATCGACTAAAATGAGTGAAATATGTGAGTATATTTTAGAAACATGTTAAATGAAAAAAGGCAAATGATAGAAGAATATATATAACACGGTATTTTGTAAAGGTTCAAAAACAAGCAAAACAAAATAACATTTAGGGTTATAAATATGGGTAAATTTTTTTTTAAATACATTTTCATTAGTATATTTGAGATGGTGGTTACCTCTGGGGAAAAAATTATGGTTTAGGATACAGGAGAACAGACAGGGAACTTGAACAGTATTGGTGATGTTATACTTCTTAATCTGGTTCATGAGTTCATGGGTTGGTTTTAGTATTAGGTTTCAAAAATTATAGAAGTGTTACATATATTCTTTTTCCTGTGAAATATGCTTTGTAATTAAAGTTGATAAATATTTTTAAAACAATATTTTAGTCAAATGTATACCAAAACCTTAATAGTGATCGTTTCCGGGGGTGAAACTCTGGGAAATTTTCATTTTCAATAGTACACATTTGAATAAATTTAACAGTAAATATTCAATATGTATGTATTTGGAAAAAATAAAATTTAGAAATGTTTGTTAATTTGATATTTCAATAATAGTTGTAAGAGAGAAAGTTTTCCTCCATAGAGTTATTTATAATGATCACCACTTCAATTTTTCTTCACTAGAGCTCCTCCATGAATACTGCTGCCATTCACAAAGAATGACATTCCAACTGAGTCCTACTGTAAAATTAATCTGAATGGCACTGCAACAATATTCCCAACTTCCTACATATGATAGGTGGGGGCCTTGGGAAACATATAAACATTCTATATAAATAAGCATCAGATCTACTATCCTGGGTGATATGCCTATTAAAAACGTACTGAGGAAAGGGACCAGCTACAGACAGAAAAAAATATAACAAGAAAGTCCTTCAAATTGGCCTCTTTGCCTTAAAGAAAACAGGAACATTAAATAGTCAAGATTAGTGTTCTCAGCCATTCATCATCTTTCCTCTACTAAATATTCTTATAAACTCCTAGTCTTACAACTAGACGATATTTAGAAGACAGTCATGCACTCTTGCAGTGATTACCACTATCGTATTACTACTCTTAAATACATGCTCTCATACATGTTGGTCCAATGTTGGAAACTCCATGCAAACAGATATAATGGCATCACAGCCCTGAGAATGTACAAGTGGGGAACAATCAAACATCAACTATACCGAGGGCCCAAACTTCCAACAATACAAAGTAAAAACGAAGTGTGGCAAATACACTTGTCTTTGGCTGTATATTTTATGTATTATTTTCTATAATCAGGAGAGGGAACGAGTTATTTTCGCTTCTTATGGCTCAGTACTATGACACAGCAGAAAGTAGCACTTAAGGAATAGGGACTTCAGGAACGGTGTTTTTATCAGTGAAAATAGATAAAAGCATGGAGAAAAGAAGTAAGAGTCAACAATACTGAGTTATTTAAGAAAAGGTCTTGAAATTTAAGAGTGAATTGGTGTTGATATGAAGAAAGCAAAGAGGAAGCTGAAAGGATTTAATGAGTATAAGAGGAGGTTGATGGTTATCTAAGGTCCTCTAACATCATAATATTTTCAAGAAGGTGCACTAGAAATTGCAGTTGAAGATGGCGACTTTGGAAGAAGTGCCAAAACTGCATGCAGTGCTCATCAAGGAAAGGAACAATTTGGTAACCTAAGCCTGGATCAGGATCATTCTCCTCCATTCCTTTAACTTTTGCTCTGCCTTGACCAGGATTTTCTCAGTGTTGAAGACACAGCTTTTTCCAAAGCTGATCCTTACAGGCCACCAGGTGGAGCCCAACAGTCACAAAAAAAGAGCCCCCTCCTCAGCCTGATTTGCTTTTTGCCTCCTAGCCGGCCAGGTCCATACCCCTTGAAAAGAACATACAAACTCTATAGATCTGGTAATGCGAGTCCATAGCATTATATAACTTGGTTTCTCCCTCAGAGCTATCTTTAAAGAACATGCTCTCAAAAAGGTGAAATATTCCTTTTGCAAAGGGAAAGATTGGATACAGTTATTTTTCAGTTTGCTAATCTTGGAGCCTATGCTTCAATGAAACAAACTAATTTCTTCTGTTTGTTTTTTCTATCAATCTAGTCATGGTTTAATTTTCCTACTAATTACAATTCAATGTATTTAATGTAATTTAATGACCACCTCTTCAATTCCTATCTACCCTGTAAGAAACTGAGTATCTATCAAAACTGAATGGAATGTAAAAGTATTTGCTTCCATGGGTCAATAAATATTGCTGACTGGCTAACAACCACCACAAGGTGAAAAGCTAGGAGACAAAGGTGATACCAGAACAGACCTCCACCCCCTACTTCCCATCTCTACCACAGTCCTCTAAGGTCAGAATTTCCCTTCCTCTGCTTTCACCTCACTCCGTCATCTGCTCCAATGGAACCTGCTGTCCTTCACACTCATTAAAGCCAGCAGCACTGTGACCCATTCTCTGTTTCTCATTTCCACAGCCTCCCATTAAGCCTAGGCAATCCCATGTTCAACCAAGAACTTCTCAGCCTGTAATGACCTATTCATTTTTCCTCCTCCTCCTCCACCCCTCAAAACCACCAGACTTTGCTTGATAAAATAATATAAATGTGTCAATTTGCTCTAGGTCGATTCATGTCACATATCTTCAGCTAGCCTTCAGTGTTGCCAAGAAACACTATTAAGTTCCTCACGGTAGCTGCTGTAAAACGTTTCCATTTTATTCAAGACTTACCCTTAAATAGTCAAGAAGAAACCATGACAAATCTGGGAGAAAGTGACCATGCTATCTCTACGCTCAAGACATCCCGGAAAGAGAAGCTGGAACTGTAAACTCTAGACTGAGGATACCAGATTTCCCAAAGGGCTGAGAAAATATAGGCATGAATTCCACTGCAAGAGTTTCTAAAGGGAAAGATGATTTAAGAGGTTGGGAAGCTCTTAAAACTGTAAATCTGATTATGTAATTGCAGATCATTCCAGCGAAGAAACCAATGTGGCTTTTTAATTATCCTGGACTAGAGTGTAGTACTAAATATTAAAGGTACTAAATATGTTGTAATGTATAACAAAAAACAGTGATCCCTAAAAGCTAGCAAGGGTTCACTTGGGTTTTGATAGCATTACAGAACAAGATTCATAAAAATGTGGGCGATGTGATGTATAGAGAGGTGAACAAGGTTCAACTGAGATCTCTCATGACAATTCTAAGAACAAGATAGAAAATAACTTTATAACAACTGGAAGTCTCCAATGTTGTAATACTCTTTGAGCTGCCCCTAAATGGTGGCCCCAAGGCAGCACTAGGGTGTCAGAGAAGCAATGCTTACAGCAAAGGGGAGGCCAAGCTCCATGTCCTACCTAAGGATCCTTCCAAAGCTACTAACATCATATATTCTATTAATGTGTGCATTCTATTCAATCCTTCTGTTAAATATCTGTGCCTTCTCAATTTGGCGTTCTCCACCTGAGTTTTTATACTTGTTGTATGCCATTGTCAAGCATGGACTTTGAAGTCATAGAACCTTAGTTCTCATCATTTTCTGTTCCAAATTACTCCTTGTGTGTTTTCTAGCTTGATTCATGGTGCAACATCTTCCTAGTCAACCTGGCTCAAGACATTGGGGTCATCAATCCATTTCCATCTACTCATCTGACCAGCTAGCAAATGTTCACCAAGTGTCCTTGTCCTAAAGGAGTTCATGGCCAAGTAAAACAAACAAGCAATTGCAAACCAAACAGATGAGAAATATAATAATAGTACTAATAGAAGCTATGGGAGCACCAGAAGGGAGGCCTGTGAGTCAAGGAACATTTTTTTTTGAGTGGACAAATGAGTTTAAAAGTTGAGTATTTCACCAAGCAAACACTAGAGGAAGGAGAAAGCCACTGTTAGGAAAGGAAGTGTAATGTGCAAAAGTTTGGAACTATGAACATACACACTCAGCTTGGGAAATGGCAAGTTTGATTTTCGATAGTGAAGACCACAGAAGGAACTGAGATGGCTCCCAGTAAATTGTGGTTAAATGCCATCAGCATCCACCCACTCCCCCTAGTCAGAGCCCTGAAAGTTCATCCAAGATTCCATCCTTCTCCCTCATGCCCTATTTCTAATTAGTCATCGCATCTGGGAGAATTTACCTTCTTAATCTCCCCTGAATCTTTTCATTTCTTTTGTTTCCTCCATTGCAACCCTTTATTTCAGGTTCTCCCACCTCATCTGTCTTACTGCAATTGTGTATTATGACCTCCTGCTACTAGGCATGTCCCTTCTCATCTATTCTTTACTCTCAGTCAGAGTGATCTTTTAGCAAAGAGGCCTCTGTCCTATAAGAAATGATCCTGGATTTCCCCCTTTACCTACCTCCTCTAAATTCCCCCAAATTATTCTATTCTATGGAAGAACTTAGAACATTCTGTTTTGTACTGTAGGTAGAACTCAAAGAGATAAGCCATTCAAGCCATCTGTTTTATCCACGCTCTTTCCCAGGAGTCCCACAGCGCTGCAAATTGGGTGTGAGTCATGGATGGGACTCTGGACCCCCACCTCTGCTTGAAACTACTGACGAGGGAAAACACCTGCCTCAAGCTAGACCAGTAAGATTTTCCACCATAGAAATTCTGTATTATGATCTAGACTTTAGTATGTAACTGCCATAGGACTGGCAGTGCCATTTTGGGGCCACGTGTGCTGTTGTGCAGGTAGAAGACTACTGTGCAGAGAGAAGCAGAATAACACAGCTCATGTGCAAAAAGGGGTAAAGAAAAGATACTGTGTGGTGGCTGGGCTAGTCACAGGGGTGAAAGAGAAGCTGTGGTTCCTTTGTTGCCTTGTTAGTTCTGATTTTCTCATGAGACTTCCTCCATTTCCTGCTCTGGTTTTTAAAAGAATCACCAGCTTCTTATATTAATCTCTACTTTTATTTAAATTAGTTCAAGTGGGATTACACTTCTTAGAATCAAATTATCGCTATGATATATACATGCAAAAATCCTTTTGCATTAGACTATAAGTTCCTTAAGTAACGAATCCATAACTTGTTTACCATTGTATTTCTCAGATAATATAGCATAGTGCTTTACACATAGTTGGATCAAAACCAGCCTGGTGAACTAAATGTAACTACAGAAGAGGAAAATGACTTTGAACTTGAATAATTAGAAGCAATTACATAGGCAAAGGAAGTCCGATACTTTTAAGGAGAGAGGTATAGGAGTTGGGAACAAATTGAGAAGGAAGCCACCTTAGCTAAACTTGATTTTTAGGGATAGTTTATGTGGAAGCTAACCATAACACTTTCGCACCCACAGCAGGTATTACCGTCACACTCCTGGTCAAAGCCTGGCAAAGATAAGGGAGGAAACCTAGGCAGTCATAGCACAGCATGTTCTGATTAAGAAAAAGTGACCTCAGTTCTTAAAGATCAGTAACGGATAACCAGAACAAAATGGCAAGGCGACCACCAACATACTCAACAGCTGCAGCCCTCACCCCTCATACAACAGACGTCATTTGAGAAATTCATCAGGAAAACCTACCATGTTTTATTTCTTAAAATAAATTTTCTCTTCTTCACAAAGATTTTAAAAGGCATATTTCCATAAATGACAATTTTTATATCCTTATATTAAGAAGGTAGAGAAAAAGCATGATGTTTCCATCTAAATATGATTATCTTCATTTTTTATTTTGAAAATTACATGATTAATATGTGACTTTTTAAATATTATTTCTTTAAATCCAGCAAATGTGCTTGAGGCTTCAAAGACCTGACTCCCTTTTTGTTGTATTTTACCTTCAAGAAAAGGGTTCCTGATGAAGTAATGGCTCAGCTATAAAAAAAATAAAAATTAAAAAATACCTATAAGGCCATGAAAGTAATAAGAGAAACTCATACTATGAAGATTTCCTGACTACACCCTTACAACTTGAAAACTAAGGAAGTAGTCCAATCAAGTACACACAATGGGATACGACAGAAAGGCAGATAAAAAACAAGGCTGGATTTCCTGGTTTGATGTGAAAGTCTTCCTCTTTTACTGCCAAACAGAGTGTGGCTGCACAATCAACAGGACCAGGTGGCACAACCGTTACTGGGCCTTTTGATTTGATGGTGAGAAACGGGCAAGCTTGTAAGAAGGACTATTTAGGGCTCAAGGGGTTGACATCACTTTTGGATAATTAGTTAGGCTTAAAAATGATGACATTGCAATCACACCACTTGAGAGGAAAAAAAGAAAGTACAACTGTTCCTAAGTAGCTATGAGATCATTTAAATCACACCAATCTTCATATAACTGAAAAAGTGGCACAGGGTAGTGTTTCTTATATATGAAACACTCTTACATATGACACACACATTTGATTTGGCTTATTTTGCTAGGCATAAGAAGCTAAGTATAGAATAAACCTGATAAAAGCAGCACATTGTAGCCATCCATTCAGTGCTGACTCTCCTACCCATAGGACATTCCCAGGAGGGTGCATCCTGTACAAGTTAGATGACCAACAAGCAAGTCATTAAACTAGACTAAAAGTAAATCAACAGGCTCTTTTCTAGATTGTATACCTTTATAGTCATTTCCTGTGAAGCATAAACCAGACATCATCTATAATAAACACTTAACATAGCTAAAACTTACTGCTTTTCTTTCAATATGAATACCAGTTCTAAGAAGAAAATAGGCATAGCATTTGGTCAAACAACTGGGTCCAGCAGTTTCTTCAGATGAAAATGAAGTGGCCATCCATGATGCTCCTGGACTATGTCATGTATATTTAAGTTAGATTGATCTCTGACAGCATCCACAAAAACATGATACCCTTTTCCTTCTTACAATAGGGTAGTTTTTAATGCCACAGGCAAAATCAATACCGAAAAAGAATGCCATTTAAATATACCTTCATGTTCATATTTTAAAGCAAAGGAGCCTGGGGTCTCCTGAATATGCCTAGACTTTGCATGGTTTAACACTAGCATCTGCAAGGAGAGGACTGGTTGTTTGATGCAATGAATTATCTGTGGTACACAAGTACAAATAGGACACATGACATAACTAAATAAGTAGAGGCTCGGAATGTTCATGTTTTACGCCAAAAAACAAAAACAAGAATGTGACTGCCTGGTAATTCAAGGAACATACAGGCAATCAGTTGAGGTGGCAGCTAAGAGTGACTTCTGAAGAATCAGGACCAAAATACACCAGAAACCGTGCTTCAATAAAGAAATAATAATTAAAATACACAAAAAGTTTACCTAAAGACCACCTAAACTGAGTTCTGCCTGTGACCTGTGGTTTTTCCTACCAGAGATCACCTACCCCAGGGCAAAATTGCAGTCCTCCTTCCAGTCCACAATGCGGCAGATGAACAGTGTGTTGGCATAATCTTTAGGCCGTGCCACAAAGTCCTGGGGACAGTCCTTGAGAGGCACATAAATTCTAGGCACTCGGTGGTCTGAGGGAGAAAACAGGGCGTATTTCCTAAACAGTTCGCTGTTCTTATCAGCCAAGAGTTTGAGGAAGCCGGTTGCTGCTCGAGAATGTTTTTTCTCCAAGATGTAAACCACCTAAAAACACCAAAGATATAGTCAATGTTGTTTATCTGCAGAACTGAATTACACTTGGGAGAGGTCAGCAGGTTATAATTTGATCAACTAGCAGGAACCAGCAGTTTTTCTAGGTCAAAATAAGTGCCTCTCAGTGATGATCTGTGACTTAGTAATCTATATTTAAGTTGTAAGAAGTACCTAGTAGGCATACATATCCAAGAAAAATTATGCAATACATGGATGAATTAAATCAAAGTGCTTTTATTACCATGACCTGTGTCTTATAAAGACATGTGGGACTCCAGCAGGGAAGTACAGCTCCAGGTATTTGTTTCACATTATATTTTTCTCACATGAACAATACTAGTATCTCACACAAACAACACGGTAGGTGCTTTTTGCAAAAGTAAAAGGGTTATCAGACATAAATTACTTCTCTTAATTATGTCTTGAATAGCTGAAAGGAGAAATATTTGATCTTCCTTCTTTCCAAGATTAAGCCCAAGCTCTAATTTGACTAGATGAAGATTGAGGCCACCACTCCACCACATACACATGTGATTTCCATCAAGAGAGAAGTATTCTCTGAGAAAGTGAGTCTTCTCCCTCACCACCCCCTCCTCAACACATTCTTCCTGAAGTGCTTCCTTTCCCTACCGTAGCCAGTCTGCAGGCTCATCCCTTCCTCAGAGCTTGCCGACATCCCACCAGACCCCTGAACAAAGATTCAGCCTGCAGTTGAGCTGGCTGCTGCTCTTCTCTATGTCCCTGACTCCATGTGGAATCTCAGCCTGTCTGCAGGAAACCTCCAAACCAATTGAGTGCACCACACCTCTCCCCCAGTCACTCCCAGCTACTACCCCACAGGAAAGCACCTTAGGGCACCCGTCTTCTCATGCAAGCTCAGTCCCAAAACATGCTCTACTTTCTTCCTCTTAACTCTTCCTTCTTCCCTGAAAAACAGCTATTTTAAACAAACTGCTGTGCCCTCTTTCAAGAAGGCTGTGGGACACCCCCCTTCGCCACTCCCTTGCATGTAACTGTCTCTCCTAAGGACTGCCTTCCCCAGCCCATTTAGGAAGAGGATGCTCCTTTTCCCACATACAGCCTCTGAAATGGGTGTCCATGTTTTCCCATGCTGCACTGCCACACCCAGACCTTTACTCTTCCAGCCTCATGCATGTATGTGCACCCTCTTCTGGTTCAGGTGGTCCCCATCTTATTATTATCATCTCCTGGCCTCCTGGTTACTCTGTGAAACCTGGCTTACAGTCTGGCCCTCCCACGTCCATCCAGGTGAGTAACTTAGTCAACATCCTGTCCTCACCTTTCCCTATCTCTTCAACGCCAGCAACCTTCACTTCTATTTGATTTCAGCAACTTGTCCTCATGGCCACACCTCAGCATCATCTGGAACTATTCCAATTCCAACACCTCCTCTCCGATGAATCCACCACACAGCTCGCTTGTTCTCCAGTGCTGCACTCCACAGGCTTTTTCACCACATCAAGACTTCTAGCACCTTTAACCCTTGCCTGTTCTCCAAGTCTGTTATCTACGTCTAAGCCTCGAATCCTTTCCTCCCTTCCCAGAGCCACCGTGTGTGTGTGTGTGTGTGCGCACACACAATACCAATACCACATGCACACTTTTTTTTTTCTTGGAGACCTTGCTCTGTCACCCAGGCTGAAGTGCAGTGGTGTGATCTTGGCTCACTGCAACCTCCGCCTCCCAGGTTCAAGCAATCCTCCTGCCTTAGCCTCCTGAGTTTCTGGGACCACAGGTGTGTGTCACCAGTCACCACGCCTGGCTAATTTTTGTTTATTTAGTAGAGACAGGGTTTCACTATGTTGTCCAGGCTGGTCTCAAACTCCTGATCTTAAGAGATCTGCCCGCCTTGGCCTCCCAAAGTGCTGGGATTATGGGCGTGAGCCACTGCATCCGGCCTTGAACCACCATATTCTATCACCTCAAGTCCTCTTACCCAAGCTGTCAAATGCCTTATCTTCTGGTCCTTCCACTAACCCCACCCTAAAAACCCTCAGTCCTGCAACATTTCAGCCACCAGTATTCTCTAACCTTAAACGCAAGGTATAGAGTTGATCAGAAAAGAAATTACAATTGTACAGATGGACAGCATTATACATTGTTATACAACTTTTGCTAGAACCTTAAATTCTCTGAAGATATATTTTCACCTGTCCCCATTCTGCACAATCTCTCCTTTCATCTTCAGTCTCTTGATCCTCTCCTAGGGCTCCAGTTGTCTGAATGTTCAATCTTCTTCTTGTCCCACAACTCCCTGAGGCTCTGTTCAATTTTTTTCAGTCTATACTTTCTTTGTTCAAATTGGGTTAATTCTACTGATCTCCTCAAGTTCACTGATTCTCTGCTGTGTCATCTCTACTACTGAGCCTATCCAATAGTGTTTTTACTTCTGTTATTGTACTTTTCAGGACTATACTTCTCATTTGGTCCTTTATATAATTTTTTTTTTTTTTTGAGACAGAGTCTTGCTCTGTTACCCAGGCTAGAATACGGTGGCACGATTTCAGCTCACTACAACCTCCGCCTCCTGGGTTCAAGAGATTCTCCTGTCTCAGCCTCCCCAGTAGCTGGGATTACAGGTATGTGCCACCACGCCCAGCTAATTTTTGTATTTTTTTAGTAGAGACAGGGTTTCGCCATGTTGGTCAGGCTGGTCTTGAACTCCTGACCTCAAGGTGATCTGCCCACCTTGGCCTCCCAAAGTGCTGGGATTACAGGAGTGAGCCACTGTGCCCGGCCTTTTTATAATTTCTAACTCTTTGCTGAGATTTTCTATTTTCTCCAAGGTTTCAAGAAAGTTTTTAATTGCTTATTGAAGCACTTTTATGATGGCTATTTTTAAATCATTGTTGGGTAACTGCAAGACCTCAGTGTTGGCATCAGATGATTGTCTTCTCATTCATGTTGTGATCTTCCTGGTTCTTGATATGATTGGTGGTTTCCAATTGTATCCTGGACCTTTTGGTTATCATGTTAAGACACTCTGGGTCTCATTTAAATCTTTTATTTTAGAAGGCAGTCATACACCCTGTTGGGGTTTAACATGCAGGTCCTGACCTACTTTTGTGGGCTGTAGTTTCAATGACAATTTCCTTGGAAAATAGCCTTTGCAGTGCTATCTTGGTATGTTTGGTTTATATGGTATCACTGGGGCTCCCGCTGGTCTCTACTGGTACTGCCTATGTGGGTGGCAAGAAATTCCCCAAGCCAGGCCACCTGGTCTAAGTATGGAATGGGGATCTCCAGCCTGCAAGGACAAAGAGGCTTCCCATTTTGGGTTTCTTGTTGTGGCAGGATCACCTTTATTGGTGCTACCTGGCTGCCCAGTGTTTCTGAGTGGGAGAGGGAAGTCTCTGGCCCACAAGGATAAAGAGGCTTCCTGGACCACACACCCATTATGACCAGATCTCCCTTGCTAATGCCACCCAGCTGCTTGGTGTCTCTGGGTGAAGAAGCAAAATTCTCTTGCCTGTGAGAACACAGGGGCTTCCCATACTTGACTGCATGTTGTGGCCAGATCCCCTTTCCTGGTGTTTTCTGGGTAGATGTCCAGTGTCTCTGAATGTTCAGTGCCTCTGGGTAGACGAGAGTCGCAGTCCCACAGAAACAAAGAGGCTTTCTGGGCCACTTCTAGAATCCTTCTTGTTGGAGCCACTCAGATACCTGATGTCTCTTGGTGGGAAAGAGAAGCTGCAGGTCCGGTGAGGAAGGAAACCCCTTCTCTTAACCACTTACGGTCATTAGGGCTCTTTACAGGTGCTGTGGATGTTGCTGGAGGGATTTCTGTTAGATATGGGTGAGAATTAGTCTAGCTGGGCCACCCTCTATTGCTAGGTTGGCATTCAGAAACACTAGGCCTGGGCCACCTTCTGTTGTTGCTGTTGTTGGTGGGGGTTGTGAGGTCCCTGCTGTTATGTTGTTTCTCTAGTACTGACATAACTAGTTTGCCTTCCTCTTTTCACCTTTCAGAATTCTCCTTTGGTTGCCTCTTGTTTTTTCCAGGGTTTACAGTTATCCTCAGTGGGAGGAGCAAGAAAAAATAGGTCTATGCCATCTTGTCTGAACTGGAAATTCCTGTTTCTTGTTTTAATGTTTGACAGCACGGAAACGTATAAAGTAGGCTGACATTACTACATTACTTGCAATTCATATAATGTTAATTGTCATGGAAATGACTCTACCATAGCATAAGTTTCGCAGGCAAGTGCTGTTTGCCTTGTAATTTTTGGTTGAATCCATTAAAAACATTATCCAAAAGAAAGGGAGATAGGGAAAAGGGAGAAGGGAGAGGGAAAACATGTTTGGAGGGCAGTAGCAAATCAAAGAACACAGGTTCCAGGGCTGCCTCTACTCAGCTCTGACTACAGTCATTTAGAAATTTGGCCCAGTGTTACCAAATGTTTTGTTTTGACAAGAGAAGCCAAAAGTCTAATTTTTAATGTGAACACCCCCACCCCCGCCCACCGACGACTCTTTTTTTTTTTTTTTTTTTTTTTTTGCTGAAAGCCATGAAGTCAAAATTTTTAAATACTGCACAGGTCAAACAAAATAGGTCTGTGAGCCAGATCCATCCCCAGGCTTTCCATTCATTCTAATCTCCCACACTTAGCATGCTGCCTGGAGCACAGTTAGTACTCAAATATATAGAGTATAATTTAGAAATTCCTCATGTCAGTATGCAAGAGCAATACTCTATTAATCAACTTGCTTGGTAGAGTAAGCACACTGCATTCCCATATGAAACACACTGATGGATGCTTCTGAAACATAAAGCCTCATGCCATTATGCCACTTTATACGTTGCCCTTCACCATTTCTGCCACTATGAGCTATGTGCACAGCTAGAAGTCAGCTGTGTTTAGTCGAGCATGTTGGCTCACACCTGTAATCCCAGCACTTTGGGAGGCTGAGGCAGGCAGATCACGAGGTCAGGAGTTCGAGACCAGCCTGGCGAAACCCCATTTCTACTAAAAATACAAAAAATTAGCCAGGCATGGTGGTACACGCCTGTAATCCCAGCTACTCAGGAGGCTGAGGCAGAAGAATCGCTTGAACCAGGGAGGCAGAGGTTGCAGTGAGCCAAGATCGTGCCATTGCACTCCAGCCTGGGCAACAACAGTGAAACTCTGTCTCAAAACAAAAAAAAAAGAAGTCAGCTGTTTCATCCCACATCTGAAAATGACACTAGCTTCTATAATTAAAGAATACAAGTGAATTGTGCAAAATGGTGAAATAGGAATATAAAAACAATTGTTTCTATAACTAAATTGAATACTTTGGAAAAACTAAAAAAGACATTAAAATTATTTTTAAATTAGGTATGGGCATGGTAACAACAAAAAAATTGGAGCAAAAACTGTACAAATCTGAAGAGAGTCTATATTCATACTGCTTCTCCACTGTCTAAATTCTCACTCCACCAAAACTCAAAGTGATAAATGCTGCATTACAAGTGTGGTTTAAGCAAGAAAGATAACACAGAACTCCAATCAACATACCCACACTCAAAGAAAAGGCCTTGACCCCTTATCCAAAGGCAGGAAGATGGATTCGTATTTATATGTTTAAAGTTTTTTTTTTTTAATTCACTTTTTATGATTCTCTGCTCTAACTTTTCTGATTAAATGACCAAATACAGTCCTGACTGAATCACACGAGATCTTCAACAAGTAGCTCAGGTGAAAGCCATTTGGACACGTGGAGAAAATCTGTAGGCAATGACCTTTGCTGATCTTTGCAGGGATTTCTCCGATAAAGCTCTTGTGTCTTGTGAAATGCAGGTGGTCTCATCTTTTGTAACCGGTGCATCACCATCCTCTCTTCCTACATTAAAAAGATAAAGAGAGAAGAGGAGTCATCAACCAGATGCATATCAATTAGTGGGATTTTAAAATTCAATCTAGAAAGATGCCTGGATACCAGTTACCCCAAACTACTCACTTTACAGAAGAACCCCAGGCCGCCAGTGGACCTGTCACATACCAGTATTATACTCAGGCTGAGCACTCAGCCTCAGCAGACCACATTTTATCTACTTAACATTATTCACATACTATCATAAATATCATACAACTGGAGAGCATCAAACTATGTTGAATTAAACTAAATAGCCTGTGTGTCGAAATTCCAAAAAACTAGATGTTAAATGCTGCCCCAGCCCAAAATGAAGAATAGAGATAGGTTAATTTATTATGCACATCTGCTGAAATAAAACAAAATCATAATAAATGTTAACTTTTAAAAGTACTTTGGTACCAGCCATAACAAACAAAATGGTGGAAAATAGATTATATTTATTAAATAAATAAATTTAAAAACCCAACCCTGATTTTCCTGGCTTTTTCTTAGTGACATTATATAAAGAGTAAAGTACTTAAAGTCTTTTAATGTTTAATTTCCTTTCTTAAAAAACTTACAAAACGCACATTCACCCAAGAAACTGAAACCACATCTCCTGAGGAAAGAGGCAGTTAGGCTCTCTACCAGAAGTATTAAAAACACTCATGAACAAAAGCAGCAAATTACACACTTCTAAACATTTAAAATTTTGAATCTTTACTTGTTACATTAGATTTCCCCACAAAATATTCTTATCCAACTATGTTAGGGATTCTGGATTCTAGGGGTCACAACCAATTTACGTGGGAGCCTCTCCAGAGAGCTAAGAGAAACTTGCACTTATCATCATTTAGATGTTGCCAAGGCCAAAGTAAATAAATCAATCCTTTTCAGGACTGGCTGCCTTTTAGCAAAAACTCAGCTTAAAGCCAACTTTTACCATTCTGGGCGTACTCTGGAAACACTGACATGATCTGACCTACCGGGGTTTAAGAATGATCAACTGTTTGCTTTTCCATCTATGCTGAAATCTACCTACTGAAGTGCCCTCTGAATGCAGAATCCTCATTGTTTTCCAAAAAGTAAAAGCAAACACAAACTTTCCTATCGTAGATTGCCCTCTCTATCAGTGAAAGAGGACATCAGCAAGGTTCAACTTTTCTTTTAAACCCATAATTCAGGATTCCAAAATCATCAAATGCTTTTAGAACATTTTTTATAATTGTAGAGAGAAAAAAAACCACACAAGTTGTTGATCTGTTTGTTCCATAACATACCTCACCAATGTGCTCTGCAGAACAAAGTAACTGAGGAAAAAAATCAAAGCGTGGAATTACCATGAATAAGTATCCTCTACTTAGATATTTGACAACTAGTTTGGTCTCAAATGCTACCAATCAAGACACTGCAGTGAGAGGACTGGGTTTCCAAGGCAGCCTAAATCCTGGGCAAACAGCTTTCTGTGATGATCACTGATGGCTCCATCTTCAAATGACTGTTACCTCAGATTCCATCCCAACAACAGCAAGTCGGCTGTTCAAAATGTTATACCAAATTACATCTTAAGAGAGAGGGCAAGCCATAGAAGTGGGCCCAATCATGATTTTCTATCAGACCTGAACATGACCTTTTCAGGTTCTATATTCAGAAGGATATCCTGGCAGAAATGAGGCTTTGTTCAGACAAAGTTACATTCTAATAAATTAAACCAAGGTTTAAAGCCTTACAGGTGAGAATCACAGATAACAGTCAATGGATATAAAGAAACACAATGCCAGGTTGAAAAGGTGAATCACCTTAATACATTTCCAACAACCATGTCTTGCCACACTGAATAGTAAAGTTGTCGGCTGGTCTTGGGTGGCTCATGCCTGTAATCCCAGTGCTTTGGGAGGCCAGGGCAGAAGGATCACTAGAGCTTTGGAGTTCAAGACCAGCCTGGGCAACACGGCGAAACTCTGTCTCTACTAAAAATATAAAATTTAGTTGGGCATGGTAGTGCTCGCCTATAGTCCCAGCTACTCAGGAGGCTGAGGTGGGAAGATCACCTGAGCCTGGGAATTCAAGGCTGCAGTGAGCCAAGATTGCACCACTGCACTCCAGCCTGCAAGAACCTGTCTCTCCAAAAAAAAAAAAAAAAAAAAAAAAAAAATTAGCAAAGTTGTCAATTTAATGAGACTCTACTACATTGTTTAATCACAAGATCAGTTATTATTCATTTATTCCATGTGTATTTATTGAACACATTAATGCACTGAAGATCCAGTGTTAAAAGAAATATGATCCCAGCCCTATAGACTAATGTGGGAATATCATATAAATAATCACTCAATAAATATAAAATTATAGGGTGGGCATGTTGGCTCACGCCTGTAATCCCAGCACTTCAGGAGGCTGAAGTGGGAGGATCACTTCAACCCAGGAGTTCAAGATCAGCCTGGGCAACATGGCAAAACCCTGTCTCTACAAAAAATACAAAAAAAAAATCCACCAGGTGTGATGGTGTACACCTGTGGTCCCAGCTACCTGAGAGGTTCACGTGGGAGGATCACTTGAGCCCAGGAAGTGGAGGCTGCAGTGAATCAGGATCGTGCCACCGCACTCCAGCCTTGGCGACGCAGTGAGCCCCTGTCTCAAAAAAAATAAAAACTGTAATAAATGCTAAGAAGGAAAGAATAATCCCAAAAAGAAGGGGGAAAGGACATATGATTTAGATTAGAGATCAGGGAAAGAATTTAAATTGAGACATAAGGACAGTGTATACAGGAGTGAAGAGGAGAATGAGAGACCCAAGATAGGAATGGCACACAGGAAAGGGTAAAGGCAGGAAGTTCTTCACACAATCAAGGACCAGAACAAAGACCATGAGGCATGGCTGGAGCACAGTGAGCAAGAATGGGCATGGCTAGAGATGAGAATGAGAGGTAGATAGGTGCCAAGTCAGGTGTGGGCCTTGCAGAACATAAGAAGCCAGAATTTAAGTACAACGGCAAGATGGGTAAGGATTCTGTGCAAGACAGCAACATTGCCCAGGGCAAGATAAGAGCAGGCTAAGAGTGGGTGTAGGGAGACCAGTTAAAAGCTACTGCAATAGTCAAGGCATGAGAGGCTGGAGCTGTGATGCAGGCATTGGAGATGGAATTAAGATATATTTTGGAGTTGAATAGTCTTGGTGATAATTACATATGAGAGCTTAAGGATTATCAGCTAAGAGAAGTCAAGGATTATTTCCAGCTTTCTGACACTAGCAATTAGGTTGATAGTGGCATCACTTATGGCACAGGAAAGACAAGAGGAAGGGGTAAAGATCAATAATTCTATTTCGGAGGTGGTTCTATTTGATAGGTCACATATGAGACTTTTAAGTGAAGAAACTGAGTAAGCAATTCAAAATGAAGGTCTGGAACTCAGAAAACAGACCTGGGCTGTAGCTTTACAAACAGTTTATATGCTGAGAAACTTTCCAGCCCAAGCTGGAGAGAGGATATTGAAATGCAAGTCCATGCAACCCCTAAATCCATGAAACTCTTCCAGTGCACCACACTGCTATACACAAAAGTAAGGGATAATGTTCTGTCACTGTTAATGAAGAAAATTCACTGAGGAAGTGAGTTGAGCCTTGAAGGATATATAGATATAGATGTTCCAAAGAGAAATAAGGAAGTTGAAGGCCACTCCAGACAAAGGCCAGAACTTGTGAAAGACCTAGATCTGTGAGTGGACCTGCCATGGTAAAGGCCCAGTAAAAGATTTACTGTAGCTATTAACAGGTTGGGGACACAGTGCTGGGTAGGGAGGAACTAGAATAGGGGGGAAATAACGCTGGTAGAATGGCCCTGTGGGAGGGACTAGTCACTGCCCAATTATCCAGCCTCTTCTTTCCTAGTAAAAAGAACTCCAATTTTTAGCTGGGCATACTGCCACCTAGTTAAAAGGCCACATCCCTCAGCCACATCCCTGCATGTCTACATTTTAGGCAACAAGATTCTGGGGAAAGTGTGTTGTTAGTGACTTCCAGGAGTAACCTTACAAGGCAGAGGCCCAGCCTTCTCTCTCTTCTCAATCCTGCGGGCTGGAATGTGGATTTGATAGCTGGACCTTGATCGCTCATCCTGGTCCTGGAGGCCAGAGGTCAAGGGTGTTTTCTACTCTGCAGAGCAGTACAACAGAATGAGCTGAAGACTGTGGAGCTATCCTACAAGTCTTGGCCTG
This sequence comes from Homo sapiens, assembly GCF_000001405.40. Lineage (NCBI taxonomy): Eukaryota > Metazoa > Chordata > Mammalia > Primates > Hominidae > Homo > Homo sapiens. The sequence continues at coordinate 232,126,391 of NC_000002.12, read as the reverse complement.
CCTGTCTCTGATCTTCTTCTACGTGAGATAGAAATTAACTTCTTTCTTGTTTAAGCCACTGATATTTTAGGATTTAATGCTATTCTCTACGGAATATACTTTCTAACATACAGGCCCAGACAATGAAACTGACAAGCTAGGACACTATCCTATAAAGCATTATAAATGCCAGGGCAATTCTTCTCTTAAGAGCTATATATCACACATGTATTTTAGAGCTATGAATTTGATAGAACCCTGGAATGAAGAGACAATGGTAGCAGAGATCTTAGAAAGCTGAGGTTAGAATCTAGGTGAGACACAATCAGAACCCAAATTAAGATAATGGCAGTGATTTAAGTCCAAAGCTGACAAATCCAAGCTTGTTCAATCTCTGAATGGAGGGCCACAGAAATTTACAATTTCCAAAGAGTTCAATGAAAAGAATGCAGTATGTATTTGTAAATGAAAATATGTCCCTTCTGGATCTCTCAAAACCAACTAGGAAAACTTATCTTATGGGCCCCCCTCTCTTCAGTGAAATGTAGAAATGAAAACACAAGTCCTCACAGGGGCAAGGTAACATACACTGTGAATAATCATTTGTGATGCTGCAAGCTTGCTGGGCTAACGAGTGCTTATGATCATTCTAGGACCCCACATCTAGCTCCTGTCAAGGCAAGACTTGGGAGGGACAGTCTTCAGGAGCACCAATAAGCTCCTTTCTTCACAAAATCCCTAGGCCTAAGCAAATTTCACTCTGATATAGAGCTAATGAAAATGTATGATGCCAAAGAATTTTCACAGCATGCTCGCCTATATTACCTCTTTTAACTTACAACTTATACTATGGGTAAAGTGGGTACTGTTATTCCAGCTTCACTGAGGAAAGAGGAGTAGTGAAGAGGGGGAGCCAGTGAATGACAGCATGCAGGATGCTGGTGTTGACAGTGGTGACCTGTTCTCCACACTAGCAAGAACTGGGCACTATGAAAAGAGCCATGAAAACCTGTATCAAGATATTATTTAAATGGCATGGGACCTCCTGAAATGCTGGAGTCAACCCAGTGAGCATCCTGAATATTGATGGAGTATCAAGCTCTGTCCTCAGGGAGCTCGCTCCTATGTTGGAAGGGAGACAAAAATGCAAACAAATTTTGAAAGCACATGCTGTTCATGACTGCTGGCAAGCAGTGTGCCTAAGGGCAATGAGATGGGAGCCCCGCAGTTTGACAGAGCGGCTAAACTCTTGAGTTGAGAATGGAAAGGCTGAGTAGGAAATAGCTAGGTGAATGGGACGAGGGAGCATTTTAGAAAGGGAGAAGAGAGCGTGCAAAGGCACACAAGCAAGAGTAAACTGAGTAGGAGGAAAGCCGTGTGTGTATAAATGAGGTGTAGGGACCAGACCATGAAACGCCTCATATGACATTCTGAAGAGTATCTATTTTATATTTTAGTGATGGAAAACCATTGCAAATTCTGAGAATAATATGATCAGAATTATATTTAATGAGAAATGGTTAAATTATATTTAATGAGAAAAGGTTATCCTGGTCAGTCTAGTGCTCCTTTGAAGACAAACTTTTTTTTCTCCAGCTGCTTTTTTCTCTTTGCCTTTGGCTTTCAGTAGTTTCCTCCTGGTGTATCTAAATTTGGATATTTTTTTAAAAATTAGACTTGCAGTCACTAATCTGCTTAATGGTATCTCGCCTGCTATGGAAAATCTCAGCCACTGTCTTCAAATTTCACCTTTGCCCATTTTCTGTCTCATCTTCTTCTAGAACTCTAATTCAACTTATTTAAACCTTCTCACTCTGTTCTCTATGTCTCTTGCCTTCTCCTCTGCATTTTCTATTTGTCTCTCCATTGCAATACTCTGAATAATTTTTTTCTTACTCTCTTCCAGTTTGTTAACTTTCTCTTCCACTTTATCCAATCTGCTGTTAAATCTATCCACTGACTTTTTCTCTTCAAAATATTTAATCAAACATACACTTTTCTTCATCCACAAGTTTTTAATTTCATTAATTTAATGTTTATTTCTAGAAGGATTTTTTGGTTTCTTTTCCAATTTGCTATGTCATAATTCAGAGTTATCTTCAAAGTTATCTTTTATTTCTTTAAACAGGGGAAACAGACTTTTTTTTTAGACTGTGGTGATTCTAGTATCTGATGATATTTTTGAAGGGCCACTTCTGTTGTTTGTGTTTTCTTATGGTTCTTGTCTTTGAAGTCTGATTTCAAATAGACATTTTTTAGACTGTGATGATTCTAGTACCTGATGATGTTTTTGAAGAGCTGCTTCTGTTGTTTGTGGTTTCTTATGGTTCTTGTCTTTGAAGTATGATTTCCTTGGATGCCTGGTTATATTTATGGGCTGGTCACTGAATAATCTGAGGCCTAGGTTGAAGAAACCTTTCTTTTGAAAGAATTTCCACTTGATTTTGCCAGATATCCAGAGGCACCAGTCCTTAAACCAATTCAAGACTTTAGATTCTTTGATTGACCCAGTCAGCTTGAACCTGGGCTGCATTTCCATGTGAGAGCTGCTGTTTCATGTCTACCCTGATGGTGTAGCCCTTTGGGGTTCCAGCTTCTTATAAAGAGTCTGGACCTTATTTCTGTCCCCAGCAACTGGTGGTCAAACCTACAATGTCTTATCAATTCCAATTTTAACCTGGTAATGCCCGTCAGTTCTTTAATGCTTTGAGATTTTTTTTAAATCCAAATATTTTTAGTTGTTTCAGTGGGAGGGTGTATCTGCCTTTGGTTTTCAGTAGTTTCCTCCTGGTGAATCTAATAGCCCACCATAACGATTAACGGAAAGTCCCTAGGATTTGTATCTTAGAAATCTTTTTCGGGTGGCAGTGTAGAGCATAGATGGGGAGCAGTGATGGGGGTAAGAATAGGGGAGGGGGACAGTGTAAGCACAAGCAAGGAGATGGTAAGGAAGCCATTACAATAATACCCAATGTTCCATTAAGGCACTGTCGGATAAGGTACTATCTCATTAAGGCACAAGGATGGAGAAGTGGGTACTCACATTCATTTGTCTCAGCAACCCCATGAGGAAAGTATTATTATCTTAGGGTTTTTTTTTCTTTCAGAAACCCATTGCTTGTTAATATCCTGAGTTTTAATGAAAAGCAACCAGCAATTCAAAGAAGTAAACTAACTTATCCCAGGGTTCATCCAAGGAGATGGTTAGTAGAGGGGCATCAGAACCCAGTCTGACTCCACGTCCAAGCTCTTCCCACCAAGGTATGATGGGATCTGGAAGAAAGATGGGTGTATGTGGGTGGGTTCCAATTAGGGTGGGAGGGTTGTGGAAAATTTTATAATTCAGTTATAGACAGTGATGGGTTTTAAATTTTAGAAGCTGCCTAATGATCAACAGCTCTCCTTATATAATTTCACTGCTTCCATCCATAGGCATGACAGATAGCATGAGCTTTGGAGTCACAAGATCTAAATTCAAACCTAGATCCTATGAGCTTGAGCTATGTGGCTCCAAACAAATAAATTACTCTTTGTCTCTGAATTTCCTCCTTTGCCCACTGGAAATAGTTTATATGAGTTATGTTTACATGTAGTGTCCTGGCACAAGTATATTTTTTAACAATTGTTAGCTACTATTAATGTTTTTGTTGTTGTTGTTGTTGTCTCTTGGAGTTTTGTTTTTGTTTTTTGTTTTTGAGATGGAGTCTTGCTCTGTCGACCAGGCTGGAGTGCAAGGGTGCAATCTCAGCTCACTGCAAATTCTGCCTCCCAGGTTCAAGTGATTCTCCTGCCTCAGCCTCCCGAGTAGCTGGGATTACAGGCACCTGCCACCACGCCCGGCTAATTTTTGTATTTTTTAGTAGAGACAGGGTTTCACCATGTTGGTCAGGCTGGTCTTGAACTCCTGACCTTAGGTGATCCACCCACCTCGGCCTTCCAAAATGCTGGGATTACAGGCGTGAGCCACCGTGCCTGGCCTGTAGCGAGTTATAAGTGAATCCAACCCTGTTATTTTGGACACAACTGGCAGGACAGGACTGGTATACAGGACAATGGCAGCATTACAAAATAGGTCACATTTCCTTGTCTGTAAAATGTAACTTACCCTAAGGAGTTAATGGGAGGATTAAATGAAATTAATATCTGTTAAAGTGCCACAGGGGCTAAAACACAGTAAGCACTCAGTAATTGTTATATATATAAATTGCTGATATTTTTCTGTGTGCCTGGTGTATGCTGTGCAGAGTAAGGAGGAACAAGAGAAGGTACTACATAGATAGGCAGAGGCCAGTTAAACATTACAGAGTTTGGATTATCACAAAGGCAATGGGGAGCTATAGGAGAATGGTGGCAAAAGGCTGACATGATTAAAGTATTGGGAAGCTTAGACAGGTTTCTGAACAGGGAACAGATTTAGGAAAAGTGAGACTGGAGGCAGGAGGCCAGTTAATAGGTCACTGCACTAAATCAGACTAGTGGCCAAGGGAATGGAAGGTCCTGGCTAGAGAGGTATGTAGAAGGCAAAACTGGCAAAATTATAATATTTAGATGCTAGTGGGGAAGTGGGGAGGTATATGAGGTAGAGTAGGGTGTGGGAAAGACTGCCTGATTTCCTTATAACAGAGCTTCCTTACCAGCAGCATAGACATGACCTGTGAGCTCTTAGAAATGCAAAATAAAAGGCACCGTCCATGACCTACAGACTCGGAGCCTCTGGGGTTGCGGGCCAGTACTCTGTAGCTTCACGAGCCTTCCAGGTGATTCCAGTGCACACTAAGGCGTGTGAGCCACCACTATAGATTGATGAGGAGCCATCACAGGAAGAGTATTTCAGTGCAACCAAGAAAGGATATAAATTCAGTCAGTTTTTAGTTTAAGGTATCAGATATTAGATCTGGCACTTCAAAGAAAGGAAGGTCTGGGCTGGAAACAGAAATAAGGGAGTCACCTGTGTACAGACAGCAAATGAATGAGTAGACTCTTTCCCTGGGAGATTGTTCAGAATTAGAGGGGAAGAGAACCTAGGACAGAATAGTGGAGAACATCAACATTTAAGAAAAGCAAAAGTAGAAAAGTTTGCAAAGGAAACTGAGGTGTGGTCAGAGGTAGGAGAAAAATCAGGCTAATATGGAATCAGAGAAGACAAAGAAAGAAAGTATTTCAATAGGGAAAGTGTAGTCAGCAGTGTGGCCTTAGTGACAAGGTCACAGGTGACCCTAGTGAGACTAATCTGAATGAAGGAAAAGTGAAGTCAGAATGCTGTGCCTGGGAAATTGAGTGGGAGGCAGACTGTGGGAATGAGGGTGTGGAAGAAGCTCAGGAAGTCTGGCTGTGAAGGATTGGAATAATACAGGGTGGAAGCTGTAGGGGGAGGACAGAAATCATGACATGGCTTTTAATATTTTATTTTTTTAAGATAAGGGAGGCCTGGACATGGTTAATTGCTGATGGGAAGGAACCAGTAAAGAAGGTGTGGTTGAAGTGGGCACAATTAGGAAAGGGAGGGGTCCCTGGACAGGAAGGGATGTGATCCAGAACCCAGGGGAAGGGTTAACTCCAGCAGAAGGACAGAGAAACGCCAACTTCATTGTATCGAAATAAATGCAGGAGGGGAGGAGATTAGACATAAGCCATTTGTAAATCTAGTGGCTGTAAGCTGCAGGGGATCACAAAGGGGTCAGCTTTTGTTTCCTCTGAAACATCAAAGCCAAACACATCTGGTGAAAGTGCTAGGGAAGGTAGAGAAGACCCACTATGTGCAGAGCTCTGTGTTCCACAATGCCAGGGGAGGCCTGAAAGCGAATGACATCCCAAAACAACGGCCTTGAACATGCCAGGCACTGTGCTCAATGCATTCAAACTAACCATTGGTAGCTTGTCATTGAGCCCGTCACCTGCACTTGGCACTGTGTTAGGTGGTTTACATGCATACCACATTTAATATTCTCCAACAGTCCCACGTGGTAGGCAGGGATTATCATGCTGGTTTTAGAGATAAGGGAACTTATCTCTAAAGGCTCACACATACCAAATAACATGCTTGCCCATGGTGACCAGCTCGGAAGTGGCTGGGGCAGGATTCGAACCTAAATCTCATGGATGCCAGCACCTCATCCTCTTTCCATGCTGCCACACTACCTTCAGAATCCAAACGGCATTGATGGGAGTGAAAATGGAAAACATGATTCCTAAGAGTTATGCCTGAGTGACAGATACTGCAAGAGTCAATCAACTTTATTTTGAACACATTTCAAATTTGGTGTCACAATGCAACATAAGCATAATGAGGTCCTCTGCCCAAGCCAGGGATATGGTTCTACATCTTATGGTAGAGGCTGGGTATATGAATTCTATGATAACATCATCTGAGAGTAGATAAACTGGGCAGAGACTGGGGGGAAAAAAAGCCTTAACATATTAGAGCGTAAGATGAATAAAGGAATGCAAAGGAAGCTGATACCCAAGGAATAAGAGAGGAAAAACATCCTTTCACTACCCCATTTCCCTTCATTGTTCTAATTTACAGATTGGTAAGAGATTAAGAAAGGTGGTACATATTTTGGCAAGATTTGGTCACCCTCCTCTTTAAGCTGGCCATGCAGTGGCTTCAGATTCCTGAGTTGGACCTGAGCCTTGGATACTGTGGCTTTCAGGCCCAAACTGGAGTCCCTCACAGGGTCTTCTCAAATGGGGCTTTGCACTGATTCCCATTCCCAGCTATTAACTGTATTAATTACATCTTCAACACTCTTCTGCTTTTCCCTGAGCACTCTCTGCTCCAAATCTTTCTCTTGCCCAGGAGAAACCACTTTTAAATTTCTCTACTGAAGTTTTAATTGACTTTTAGTCTGATGGCTCCCCAAAGACCCAAAATGTAGGTACATACACTTATATGCTTCCATCTCTAGCTGGCTTTAACTGACTAATTCTGCATCTTACTCAACAGATGAATGATTCCTCCAAGTTTAAGTAGACTTCCATCTGAATTTTTCTGAAAGAGGCCAAGCTTCACGTCTTCCTGTGATGTGATCATGTCAACACTAGAAATATGGTGTTTACTAAAGTCCGACAGGTGTTTCTCTACCCGTCTTCTAAGGACTAGCTAGTTATCCATTAAAACTGCAAAAAATAAAAAAGGTGTTAAGTCATCTGAGCGAGTTAAGTAGAGACTAGCCTCAAAGCATGGGAAGCTAGACTAGATGAGTCAAATTGGGTCTGCAAGCCCACATATATGAAATACATATCATATCTCTCTTATGTTCCAAGCCTCTTAAAGCACATTCAATATTTCATTCTCTTGAACATCTCCAGCAGCAATAATGATATCCAGCCTACTACTCGACAAAAGGGAAATAATTAAAATGCTACTTCCCCAAGAGCCAGTCCTCTTTTTCAAATCATTTGGTGTGACCTGAAAACAGGAGGACTACCAAGTGAATTAAGGGAAAAGAAGCTAGATAGATTAAAGGAGAATAAATTCATTTTTACAGATAGCATCATTTCTGAGATCCACGAAGGCCCCTAGGAAAAACACAACAATGCACTACTCAGAAACAGCTAATGTTTGATGCATCTTTGATGGAAAATTGCTTCTCTTTTACAAGGTAACAAGCTTCAGCTCTAAGTGCAAATCAGGCTAACATGGACCACTCCAGCCAGGTTACATAGACATGAATGAGTCACTGCTTTTGATGCCAAATTGGCAAATCTGAAGGTTTTACAATGGATGCTATATGGCTATTGTGGAGAAAAATACTCAGGAATTAAACATGAGAGCAACTGGCTTGGTCCTTCTTTAGTTTCAAAGGGTGGAAAGAAGGAGTGCCTTCTGCACAACAGTTGCTAAATACAAGACTGTTGTGGGGTTGCAAGTGGATGATTAAAGATGAGCAAAAACGGTTACATGAGAAAAAAGTTTTTAAGTCAATTGTAAAAACACCAGCCATGAATTGTAAACTGGAAAAAATACGTTGTTATAAAGAAGACTCACAAAAGGAAAAGATCACACACTTGGTTGGAAGAAATAAGTAAAGGCTGATAGAGGAACCATCTGTGACAAGCAGACTCTACTATGGTCCCCAATAATCCCCCACCCTCTTGGTCTTCATGCCCTGTATGATCACCCCTACCTGAGTGTGGGCGGGACCTGGGACTTGTTTCTAACCAACGAAATATTGCAGAGATGATGCCCTGTCACTTCCATGATTAGCTTCCATAAGACCGTGACTTCCATCGTGCCAGCTGACTCTCTGGATCTGATAAAGCATGCGGCCACATAGAGAGGCCCATGGAGCAGGCAGCGGAGGCAGCAAGGAGCTGAGGTCATCAGTCCAAGAGCCCACAAGGAACTGGATCTGGCCAATAATCACAAAAGCCTGGAAGCAGATCTTTCCCCAGTCTGCCTTCAGAAAACTGACACCTTGACTACAGCCTTGTGAGGAACTCTGAAGTAGGGGACCCAGAAGGGCCCTATCCAGATTCCTGACCTACAGAAACTGTGAGATAATAAATGTGTTGGTTGAAGCCACTAAGTTTGTGGCTATTTGTTACACAGTGAGAGATACCTAATACACATCTAAAATGACAGTTTACATTTGAAGAATGGGAGGCCTTTTCACAGGAGATGGCGAACTAGGTGGCATTCATGTCAGAAAAGATAAAGCACAGCCACACAAGGACAGAAGAGGAAAGGGAGTGCTCAGGAACAATACGGAGCCTGGTTAGGCTGGCCCTGAGGTCTGAATGGGCAGATGCAAGAGCAAAGGTTGGAGAGGCAGGGAAGAGGCCCCTGGTGGGCAAGGGGAGCCAGAGAGTCATTAAAGCTCATCACTGACACCATGTGGTCTGAGAACTTCTGCAGGAAGATTCATTTGACACTTGCTAGTTCAAGAGGTAACAGGCTTCAAAAAATGGTTTGGAAAATTCCCATAACAAAATGCTACGCTTTACTCTTTTTAAGGTGCTTTCCCTTCCATTACCTCACTTGATCTATGCAAGAATCATCTGATTTACGTAAGAACCTGTGAAGTAACCAAGACAAGTATTTATTATGAAGGTTTCATACAAATAAGGAAAATGAAGCACTAAGAGGTAAGAATGACTGGCAAAAGCTCTTGTTTAGTACTGTTTTGTCCTACTAAGAGTGCTGCCACATTTTGTTGGATCCCCCTTCCCTGATGGAGAGGTGAACAGAGCTAGCCAGGCAGGTTTGGATCCTGGCCCCACTACACCAGGGTCGGCCCAGAGAGCATATTCATACCTGGAAGAAAAGGTGCAATGAGGCCTGGGTGAACTGCAGAGTCATGGGTGCAGTAGTCTAAAGTGCAGAAGCAGGTACCAAAGGGGCTCTGAAACAGGGCTGAAATGAGTGTCAGAGCCAAGGGGAGCAGCCACATGAGGGTTAGCTAGCTGAGGAGCAGAGATGTGGGACTTCACAGTGCAGCTGAACTTTTGTTCAAGGGACTAGACAAAAGCTATGAAGCGTGGACGGCTGGTTCCACTTACAGGAACAGGGGTGGCATATTCATTCTTTAATGTTTTGAGTTGGGTGGGGTTTTTGTTGTTGTTGTTGTTGTTGTTCTTTTTGTTTGTTTTTTGTTTGTTTTAAGCATTATCTGAAAACCAGGGACAGTTTTCAATTGTAAAATGTTAAATAAGATCTGTCCTTAATGGCGGACATTCTATAGCCAGAGTAGGGCAGCTGTCAGTTCCCTCTCCCCATTCAGAGCCACACGACCCAGTTTTTAGCCAATAGGCTTGGCTAGACTCTTCAATAGCTTTTTAAAAATCTCAACAGGTTATAACCATCATTACTCCAAGTCTATTAGTCAGGCAAAGATTTCCCTTGGCATGTTGTTGCATGACTTGAAAAACCTAGTTGAGAATTCTCTAAGGAGAACGGGAATTATTTAGAGTGATCCAAAGAAGAATCAATGACAGTAGGATGAACTTGTAGGCAAGGATAATTCCACATAGTGACCATGAAAGGGTCTCTAACAAAGGAAAAAATACATAAACCTTAAAGACACGGGTAAAACACCAGTTACCCAAAAGGCTTCATTACTCAACTGAATAAACCCAGCATATGCTGACCAAAGGGATGAAAAGGGAAGAGCTACTTGACTGGCTCGAGCCTTCCCTTCTTGAGCTCTGAAGACCTGAAGCTTAACTTCACAATAGTATTCATCTGTTTTATTTATTTATTTATTTATTTATTTATTTATTTATTCATTTATTTATTTAAGACCAAGTCTCACGCTGTTGCCCAGGCTGGAGTGCAATGGTGCAATCTCAGCTCACTGCAATCTCCACCTCCAGAGTTCAAGTGATTCCTGTGTCTCAGCCTCCTGAGTAGCTGGGATTACAAGTGTCCGGCACCATGCCAGGCTAATTTTTGTATTTTTAGTAGAAACAGGGTTTTGTCATGTTGGCCAGGCTGGTCTTGTGCTCCTGACCTCAAGCCATCTGCCCACCTCAGCCTCCCAAAGTGCTAGGATCTGTAATCCTGTGTGTGAGCCACCGCGCCAGCCTTGTATTAGTCCGTTTTCACACTGCTATAAATAACTTCCCTGACATGGGGTTATTTATAAAGGAAAGAGGTTTAATTGACTCACAGTTTTGTAGGCTGGGGAGGCCTCAGGAAACTTACAATCACAGTGGAAGGCAAAACTTCTTCACAAGGCAGCAGGAGAGAGAAGAGCGACAGAGGAACTTCCACTTATAGAATCATCAGATCTTGTGAGAACTCACTCACTATCACAAGAACAGAATGGGGGAAACCGCCCCCATGATCCAATCAACTCCCTCCCTCGACACATGGCAATTACAATTCAAAATGAGATTTGGGTGGGAACACAGAGCCAAACCATATCATTCACAGGCAAACAGCCTCAGAATCTCAGGAAGAGAGAAGTGAGAATGAAGACATAAAACATCCCACGTGGAGCTGATTCTCAGGTTCCTGAGTATACTGTACATTCATTCAGTAAATACCAAATTTAACTTTTCTCTTTCAATACATTCGTATGACATAAAGATTGAATGCAAAAGCGGCTGACAGACTGATTCCAAATAATTGTCAGAATTAGGTTTGTTTTTCTTTTTTTTTTAAAAAAATCTTCAATCACCTGACACCTGCTAAGGGAAACAGAGGCATTCCTTTGTTCCTTGAAAGTAATCATCCCTTTCTTCTTACTTCCTGCTATGGTTTGAATATTTGTCCCTTTCCAAAACACATGGTGAAACTTAATTCCCAATGTGGCAGTACTGAGAGGTGAAGCCTTTAAGAGGTGATTGGATCAGGAGGGCTCTGCTCTCATGAATGGATTAATCCATTAATGGATTAATGGGTTATCATGGGATTGGAACTGGTGGCTTTATAAGAAGAGGAAGAGAGACCTGAGCTAACACATTCAGCTCCCTCTGCATGTGATGCTCTGTGCTGCCTAGGGACTCTGCAGAGAGTCCCCACTGGCAAGAAGGTCCTCACTAGATGCAGCCCCTTGACCTTGGACTTCTTATACTCCATAACTGTAAGAAATAAATTCCTTTTCATAATAAATTACCCAGTTTCAGGTATTCAGTTATAACCAAGAGAAAACAGACTAAGACACTTCCAGATACTTTTCTTCTAGGTTTTCTTCAAGGCTTTCAAAATCTTTACCAGATTTACTTCTCAAACACCCTCCCCTATGCCTGAGTTTTCTGTATCTTCCAGGTTGTGCTCTGGTATTATAGGACAATGATTACTTCGGGTAATTCAATCATAGTCCACTTACTCAACAATCTCATTGATTTCCCATAGCTTGACAAGATTCACGTGTATAACTCTCACCACCCTTCCTATGGGTCTATACTTCTATTTCCAATTGCCCACTGGATGTCATAACCTGAATGTCCCCTATGAAACTCAAATCAACATATAATCACAACCTGAATCCATGGTCCTTCTTACCCTTGGTCTTTTATTTTTTTATTTTTTTCACTAAAGAACATCAGCATCACACAGTTGCTAAGCTAGAAACCAAGTTACTCTCATTAATTAATCCTTCTCTGCCTAAGTCCTATATCAGATCTGCCGTGGAACCATGTCAATTCTAGTTCTGAAATGTCTTGTTCATCTATTATTTCCTCTTTATTCCAGCGCTGTTGCTCTTAGTCAGGTCTTCCAGCATCTCTAGTCTTTGGGGTGGGGGGATGGGAATGGGAGGGACGGGAGTCTTATTATTACTCAAATCAGTCTCCCTGAGCATTCAGGGATCAGAGATTTTAAGGATAATTTGGTGGGTAAGGGAATAGTGAGTCAAGAGTGCTGATTGGTTGGGTCTGAGATGAAACCATAGGGAAATGAAGCTGTCCTCTTGCCCTGAGTCAGTTCCTGAGTGGAGGCCACAAGATCAGATAAGCCAGTTTATCAATCTGTGTGGTGCCAGCTGATCCATCAAGTGCAGTGTCTGCAAAATATCTCAAGCACTGATCTTATGAGAGTTTAGGGAGGGAGGGTCAGAATCCTGTAGCTCCAGCTGCATGACTCCTAAACCATAATTTCTAATCTTGTGCCTAACTTGTTAGTCCTACAAAGGCAATCTAGTCTTCAGGCAAGAAGGAGGTTTGTTTTGGGAAAGGGTTGTTATCATCTTTGTTTTAAACTGTAAACTAAGTTCCTCCCAAAGCTGGTTCAGCCCACTCCCAGGAATGAACAAGGATAGCTTGGAGGTTAGAGGCAAGATGGAGTTGGTTAGGTCAGCTCTCTTTCACTGACTCAGTTACAATTTTGCAATGGTGGTTTCAATCCCTCCTTTTGGGTTTTATAATACCTTAATCTTAAGGTGTTGGCTAATGAAGATGGAAAAAGGGTGAAGACCATTCTAACTTCTTCCTGCTATCAGAGGCATAGTGGGAATAGGTGTGGACCCTAAGATAAAAGGAGTGGAACCACTTTGCAACTGTCTAAGCATATTCATGCAGGCCTGGCTGGACTTCCAAGACTTGCATGGCAAAGGTGTTAGTACTGTCACCTATAGTTTTAGTACCGCATAAGGGAACAGCATACTATAAAGTAAATACTGAGTAGTGGAATGAGCAGTGCAATTCCCAGTTTTAAAAGTAAAGATTTGAAAGCTTTGATTTGGAGACTTATAGCCCACAAAGAATTTAGGACATAGTCCAAGCTGTAGGAAAAACTCAAGGACAGCTAGGAACAGGTGTATTATAGTTTTTCTTTTGAAGCATAATTTTTGTCTCCAGCATCTCTAGTCTTAATGGTTCCCAGCCATGCCCCAGTTTCTCCCCTTTCTAATGACAAGTCTCCTTTCTGTAACAACCTTGGATGACTCTTCACAATCCAGAGCTCTAAGCAGCCATAGATAATTCTGCAAAACCTCATCACAGCCCATTTTTTTTCTAGCCTCCTTTCCAGACTCCCCACTGTGCATCCTGTACTAATCCCACTATAGGTATTACTCTACCTATCATCCAGCTCTGTGACCCTGTTCATACCAAGAATATTCTTCATCCTCTTTCACTTGGCAAGCCCTACTCACCCTTCAAGGCCCAGGAAATACATTGTCCTCTTTTTTTCTCTCCCTTTTTCTACCATACCTCCTTTTACCTTGTCCCCCTTCCTCTCTGAATGGTCCCTCCTTCTGCCTGCAAATCTGTTCCTCTTGTCTACATGCCACTGTCTACAGTTGCTAGAGCCTCTGTTCCCTAACAACTTTGTTTCCAGCCCTAACTCCATGTGACATCTCAGCTCCAGAGCTCTCAAGCCATGAAGAAAAATATCTAGTGGATCACTGGCCAGTCAATGTGTTGGTTTTCCTTGGGACAGGAGTCTACTCATGGTCTAAGCAAGGCCCTGGGGACAAGAGCAGACTGTATTTACCAGTTCAGTAAGGGGACTTCCCACTGAAGGAGCTACAGCAGGCAAGATCCAGAGCACATCTGTTATGGTCTCTCCTCTTAAGGACTAAGTGCACCCGAAGACTAGTATCCAGATTTTACTTTGTATTCACTTTTCTTTCCCCAGCAAGTAACATAAAGCCTGGTGTGTGTATAAACCCACTCAGGCCCCTATTTTTAAAGTTGTAAAATAGCATAATCCTCACTTACGTGAAGTTTGCTGAAGGATAATGGCCTCCAGCCCCATGAAAACCTTGGGATCTAAGAAGAAAATTGATTTGTCCAAGTTACCTGGCAAGCAAGCAGCAGAGTGGAACTAGAGGTTGTTCACATCATCTTTTACCACAAAGAAGCCCTCTCCCTCAATTACAAAATTTGTTCATGACAATGCCCATCAGAAACTCAAAAGCCTTATATAAAACATGAAGTCTATCAGTGCCTTTGTATCTGCTTAGTTGCTCTTGGCTGAAATGACAGAAAATTCAACTCCAACTGACTTACACATCAAAGGTGACAAATTAGCTCATGTATTTGGAAGTGCAAAGGTAGGCAAGGCTTCAGAGTCAGTTGATCCAAGGTTCACTAATGGCCTTAGATCTAATGTAGGAGCACATATTTGCTTCTGGTTCTTTACTCTTCTATGTATAATACTTAGCAAGTCATAAGATAGCTGCTAATAGCAGTAAGGAATAAGTGTTGCCTTGTTCATATCCATCAGGAAACTACTTACACCACAGAATTCCAAGCAGGATTCAGCCTGACTGGACTGCTTAGGTCATGGGCTTATGGGAAGAGGCAATGGTCTCATGTTATGACATCTCATAAAGTGACCACTAACCACATGTAGCTATTTAAAATTAAATACGATTTAAAAATTAAATTTATTAGTCACATCAGCCTTATTCAAGAGCTCAAGAGTCACATGTGGCTGGTGGCTACAGTACTGAACAGTATAGATTAGAACATTTCCATTGCTACAGAAAGTTCTACTGGTGCAGGCAATGAAGTATACTAAGCAAAACTTGTATAAGCCAACCAAGACCCAGCTTGGCAACTGGGATCAACTTTGCCCAAAGTACAAGGAATCTGGGGAACAAGCAGATATCCAGACGAAAATCGGTATACATATGAGAAAGGGAAAAGGGAAGCAAACACTAGATGAACAATGTCCATGATGTGCTCTTTAAAAAAATATGATCTATTCTAGAAATTGGCTGCTACTAATAGAGGTACAAGTATTTTTCTTTAATGAACTCACTGACTTCCTGTGGGATACTGGATAAGCCCAGGAACTTCTCTGAGCCTCAATTTCATTGTCTGTAAAACAGAAGGGATGAACTATATCAGTTGTTTCTAAACTTTTAAGCACAGCAGTTTTTTAATAAGATCTTTTTAAATTTGCCCAGGATCTCACATTTTGAAGTATTTTTAGTAACAACTACATCTATCATTAATTTCCTATCCTTTTTAAATATCAAAAACATATAACTGTTAATTAGAGCTTCTGGCCAGCAGGCAAAGTCAATGTAACTACAGTGGGCTGGTACCATTCACATAGAAAGTAATCTAAGTTGATCTTGCAGTCTTATTAAAAGCACATTTACCATTTTCTTTTTTTTTTTTAATTTCCAACTTTTAAGTTCAAGGGTACATGTGCAGGATGTGCAGATTCATTACACAGGTAAACATGTGCCATGTTTGGTCACATGGTGACCATGGTGGTCCGCTGTACAGATCATCCCATCACCCAGGTGTTAAGCCCAACATCCATTGGCTATTTTTCCTGATCTTCTCCTTCCTCCTACAACACAACCTCTGACAGGCCCCGGTGTGTATTGTTCCCCTCCCTGTGTCCATGCCTTCTCATCTTTTAGCTCCCACTTACAAGTGAGAACACACGGTATTTGGTTTTCTGTTCCTGCATTAGTTTGCTAAAGGATAATGGCCTCCAGCTCCATCCACATCTCTGCAAAGGACATCATTTTGTTCCTTTTTATGCTGCAAAGTATTCATAGAAAATGTGTGTATGTACCACATTTTCTTTATCCAGACTGTCACTGATGGGCATTTAGGTTGATTCCATATCTTTGCTATTGTGAATAGTGCTCCAATGAACATACGCATGCATGTGTCTTCATAACAGAATGATTTATATTCCTTTGGGTATATATCAAGTAATGAGATTGCTGGGTCAAATGGTATTTCTGGCTCTAGGTCTTTGAGGAATCGCCATACTGTCTTCCACAATGATTGAACTAATTTACACTCCCACCAACAGTGTAAAAGTGTTCCTTTTTTCTCCACAGCCTTGCCAGCATCTGTTGTTTTTTGACTTTTTAATAATAACCATTCTGAGATGGTATCTCATTGTGGTTCTGATTTGTATTTCTCTAATGATTAATGATGTTGAGCTTTTTTTTACAAATGTTGGCCACATGCATGTCTTCTTTTGAGAAGGGTCTGTTCACGTCCTTTGCCTACTTTTTAATGGGGATGTGTTTTCTTGTAAATTTGTTTAAATTCCTTATAGATGCTAAATATTAGACTTTTGTCAGATGGATAGTTTGCAAACATTTCTCCCATTCTGTAGGTTGTCTGTTTACTCTGTTGGTAGTTTCTTTTGCTATGCAGAAGCTCTTTAATTAGATACCATTTGTCAATTTTTGCTTTTGTTGCAATTGCTTTTGGTGTCTTCATGAAATCATTGCTGGTACCTATATCCTGAATGGTATTGTCTAGGATTTCTTCTAGGTCTTTTATAGTTTAGGGTTTTACATTTAAGTCTTTAATCCATCTTGAGTTGATTTGTGTATATAGTGTAAGGAAGGGGCCCAATTTCAATTTTCTGCCAGTTCTCCCAGCACCATTTATTAAATAGGGAATCCTTTCCCCCTTGCTTATTTTGTCAGGTTTGTCAAAGATCAGATGGCTGTAGATGTACAATCTTATTTCTGGGTTCTCTACTCTGGTCCATTGGTCTGTGTCTTGTACCAATACCATGCTGTTTTGGTTACTGAATCACTGTAGTACAGTTTATTTTTATTTTTTTTTATTTATTTATTTTTATCTTTTTGAGACTGAGTCTCGCTCTGTCGCCCAGGCTGGAGTGTAGTGGTGCAATCTCGGCTCCCTGCAACCTCTGCCTCCCTGGTTCAAGCAATTCTCCTGCCTCAGCCTCCTGAGTAACTGAGATTACAGATGTGTGCCACCGAGCTAATTTTTGTATTTTTAATACAGATGGGGTTTCACCATGTTGGCCAGGCTGGTCTCAAAATCCTGACCTCAAGTGATCCGCCTGCCTTGGCCTCACGAAGTGCTGGGATTACAGGCATGAGCCACCGCCTGGCCCCTGTAGTATAGTTTAAAGTTGGGTAGGGTGATGCCTCCAGCTTTGTTCTTTTTGCTTGGGATCGCCTTGGCTATTCAGGCACTTTTGTGGTTCCATATGAATTTTAAAATAGTTTTTCTAATTCTGTGAAGAATGTCAATGGTAGTTTAATGGGAATAGCATTTAATCTAAAAATTGTTTTGGGCAGTATGGTCATTTTCACAATATTGATTCTTCCAATCCATGAGCATGGAATGTTTTTCCCTTTGTTTGCGTCATCTCTGATTTCTTTGAGCAGCGGTTTATAGTTCTCCTTGAATAGGTCCTTCACTTCCCTTGTCAGCTGTATTCCTAGGTATTTTATTCTTCTTGTGGCAATTGTGAATGGGAGTTCATTTGTGATTTGGCTCTCAGCTTGCCTGTTGTTGGTGTAAAGGAATGCTAGAGATTTTTGCACACTGATTTTGTATCCTGAGACTTTGCTTAAGTTGCTTATCAGCTTAAGAAGCTTTTGGGCTGACACTATGAGGTTTTCTAGATATACAATCATGTCATCTGCAATGCAAACAAAGATAGTTTGACTTCCTCTCTTCCTATTTAAATACCTTTATTTCTTTCTCTTGCCTGATTGCCCTGGGCAGAACTTCCAATACTATGTTGACTAGGAGTGGTGAGAGAGAGCAACCTTGTCTTATGAGGGTTTTCAAGTAACCTTGTCTTACGAGGGTTTTCAAGAAGAATGCTTCCAGCTTTTGCCCATTCTGTATGATATTAGCTATGGGTTTGTCATAAATAGCTCTCATTATTTTGAGGTATGTTCCCCTTCAATAACTAGTTTATTGAGAGATTTTAACATGAAGAGATGTTGAATTTTATTGAGGGTCTTTTCTGCATCTATTGAGATAATCATGTGGTTTTTGTCTTTAGTTCTCTTTATCTGATGAATCACATTTATTGATTTGCGTATGTTGAACCAGCCTTGCATCCCAGGGATGTAGCCTGCTTGATCAGCTTTTTGATGAGCTGCTGAACTCGGTTTGCCAATATTTTTTTTGAGGATTTTTACACTGATGTTCATCAAGGATACTGGCCTGAAGTTTTCTTTTTTTGATTTAACTCTGCCAGGTTTTGGTATCACGTTGATGCTGGACTCATACAATAAGTTAGGGAGGGGTCCCCTTTTTCAATTTTTTGGAAGTTTCAGTAGGAATGATAGCAGCTCTTTGTAGAATTCAGCTATAAATCCATCTGGTCCTGGGCTTTCTTCGGTTGGTAGGTTATTACTGCCTCAATTTCAGAACTCAGTATTAGTCTATTCAGGGAGTCAGTGTCTTCCTGGTTCAGTCCTGGGAGGGTGTATGTGTCCAGGAATTTATCTATTTCTTCTAGATTTTCTAGCTTATGTGTATAGAGGTGTTTATAGTATTCTCTGATGGTTATTTGTATTTCTGTGGTGATAATATTCCCCTTATCATTTCTTTTTGAGATGGAGTCTCGCTCTGTCGCCTGCCCAGGCTGGAGTGCAGTGGCGAGACCTCGGCTCACTGTATCCTACACCTCCTGGATTTAAGTGATTCTCCTGATTCAGCCTCCTGAATAGCTGGGATTACAGGCATGCACCACCATGCCCAGCTAATTTTTGTATTTTTAGTAGAGACGGGGTTTCACCATGTTGGCCAGGCTGGTCTCAAACTCCTGCATCAAGTGATCTACCCACCTCAGGCTCCCAAAGGGCTGGGATTACAGGCGTGAGCCACTGCGCCCAGCCTACCCCTTATCATTTCTGATTGTATTTATTTGAATCTTCTCTCCTTCTATTAGTCTAGCTGGTGGTCTATCTATTTTATTAATTTTTTTCAAAAAACCAGCTCCTGGACTTCTTAATTTTTTGAAGGGTTTTTCATGCCTCTGTCTCCTTCAGTTCAGCTCTGATCTTGGTTATTTCTTCTCTTCTGCTAGCTTTGGGGTTTGTCTGCTCTTCGTTCTGTAGTTCTTTTAGTCGTGATGATAGGTTGTTAACCTGAGATCTTTCTAGCTTTTTGATGTGGGCGTTTATTGCTATAAATTTCCCTCTTAACACTGCGTTAGTTGCATCCCAGAGATACTGGATCATTGTATCTTTGTTCTCATTAGTTTCAAAGAACTTCCTGATTTCTGCCTTAATTTCATTATTTACCCAAAAGTCATTCAGGAGCAGGTTGTTTAATTTCCATGTGGTTGCATAATTTTAAGTGAATTTCTTAATCTTGAGTTCTATTGGACTGCACTGTGGTCCGACAGACCATTTGTTATGATTTCAGTTCTTTTGCATTTGCTGAGGAGTGTTTTACTTCCGATTACGTGATCAATTTTAGAATAAGTGCCATGTGGCAATAAGAATAATGTATATTCTGTTGTTTTGGGGTGGAGAGTTCTGCAGATATCTATCTATCAGGTCCACTTGATCCAGAGCTGAGTTCAGGTCCTGAATATCTTTGTTAATTTTCTGTCTCAATAATCTAATATTGTCAGTGGGGTGTTAAAGTCTCTCGCTATTATTGAGTGGGAATCTAGGTCTCTTTGAAGGTCTCTAAGAGGTTGCTTTATAAATCTGGGTGCTCCTGTATTGGGTGCATATATATTTAGGACATTTAACTCTCCTTGTTGAATTGAACCCTTTACCATTATGTAATGCAACTCTTCTTGTTGAATTGAACCCTTTACCATTATGTAATGCCCTTCTTTGTCTTTTTTGATCTTTGGTGGTTTAAAGTCTGTTTTGTTGGAAACTGGGATTACAATCCTGGTTTCTTCTGTTTTCCATTTGCTTGGTAAATCTTCCTCCATCCCTTTAAAATTTACCATTTTCATTCAGTATTATAAAACAGTATTTGTAAATAACATAAAGTGCCCCACTAAGAGCCATTAGGGGTAGAGTATCACATGTCAACAAGAGTACATGATCTTGTAGGACCCGACCAGGGCCAGAATTTTATTATTTCTATGGCAATGTAATGTAATTGTAAATAGATATGGCCCTGAGTCAATACCTTGTCATGAGCATGGACTGGACTGATCTGGAAAGTAACACAGAGTGGGATCAGTAGATGGACTGGGAAGAAAGAGTCCAAAAGTGGCTAGAATCTAGAGAGCATGGAAAAGGAAGTAAGGAAAAAATGATACCATTACTCAGAGACCCTTTTCATTACCAGTAAACCCAAGGAAAATGAATTATAAAAAAGCCCAGGGAGCCTAGTATAAAGCTAAAACTGCAGAGCAAGCAAGAGAGTCAGGAACACCATATTGGAAAAGGTGCCGGAAAAGCCATGGGGATGATAGGCACAGGGGCCTTCAAGTCTTCACTCACCTCCAACAAAGGAGAAGGACAGGCACACATAGCGACTGACATGTTGGGAGCCTGGGAATCCCTGTTTCCAGATAACAGGATGAACATTTGTGAGACATTATTTCCTTTCATTTAGGTTTCCATCCCAACAATTTTGTGCTAAAAGTGTTAGCAAGGCTGATGTTTCTTGCTAGCTGGAAGAGGCAGAGTGGGGCAGAGTATATTCTATAAAATAAGTCCTTTGTAATGTTAGAAAAATGTTCTGAAACCCAAGCTGCCTAGGTCTGTTGATGTGTCAAAGAGAAACTAGGCAAGTAGGTAGGAATGACTCCAGGATTTTAAAAAATGGGAAGAGAAAGAAGTGAAAAGGAAAAGCCTGAAAAAGAGCTGGGCAAGCTCCAGTTATATTTGAATAAAGAACAGATGTAATCATTATTATTTCAAGATTTTCTATAATACATCAACATTTTCAGTTTCTGTTAACCCCCCTAATAACCAAGTATTTAATAACCAACAAAAATCCCTCTTTTAAAAACCTCACAATCCTCATAAAGCTAAACACAGAATTACCCTATGACCCAGCAATTCTACTCCTATATGACTTAGGTATAAAAAGAATTGAAAACAGTGACTCAAACGGATAGTTGTACACCAATGTTCATTTCAGCATTATTCACTATTCAATAGCCAAAGGTAGAAATAATTCAAGTGTTCATCAACATGGATGGATAAACAAAATGTGTGGCTGGGCATGGTGGCTCACATCTGTAATCCCAGCACTTTGGGGGGCCAGGGCAGGCGGACCACTTGATCTCAAGAGTTTGAGACCAACCTGGGCAACATAGTGAAACCCCATCTCTACAAAAAATACAAAAATTAGCTGGGTGTGGTGGTGCCACCTGTAGTCCCAGCTACTCCAGGAGGCTTAGGTGGGAGGATGGCTTGAGCCCAGGAGGCAGAGGTTGCAGTGAGCCGAGATCACACCACTGCACTCCAGCCTGGGGAACACAGCCAGACCCTCTGAGTCTTTGTCTCAAAAGCAAAAAACAAACAAGCAAAAATACCAGAATTCAGTATATACAATATAATGGAATATTATTCAGCCACAGAATAGGATGTTCTGATACACACTACAACATATATGTGCCTTGAAAACATTGTGCTAAGTGAAAAAAGCCAGACACAAAAGAATATTGTATGATTCCACTTATATGAAATCTCTAGAATAGGAAAATTTATAGAGAGGAAGTAGATTTGTAGTTATCAGGGGTTGGGGGAGAAATGAGGAGTGGATGGTTATTGGTTACAGAGCTTCTGTTTGGGATGATGAAAAGGTTTGGGAAATAGTGGTAGTGGTTGCACAACACAGAAAATGTAATTAATGACATTGAATTGTACACTTAAAAATTGCTAAAATGGCAAATTTTTTTTTACCACAATAAAAAACAAATTTAACCCACAAAAGTTTCTGTGTGTTATAGAGACTCCAGGGCAGGGGACAGTTTGATAAACAATACCTGCTGCGTCAGGGAGGGAAAGCCAGGTGGCAGGAAAAGAGAACAGGTAGGCCCTCGTCCTCTGACAGTCTCTTAAAAGAACTCTCAGAATCCAGGAGTTACTCAAGGAATTAATTTGACAGTAATGACTCATGAAACTGCATTTCCAGTTCACAGACCTCTATCATGAACTTCAGTCTGTATTTCTAATTAAATATGACCATCTCACATTTACCATATCTAAAAGAAATTCCTTGGTAATAAAAACAGTAGAAATTATTTATAATAAACAAAAATGGCAGAAATCTATTTCCATTAAAAATTAAACAGATTAAGTCACTAGCTAGTGTTAAAAAAAGGTGGTGGGGGGGGACCTGAAAGGGGTTATGATCACAGATACAGATGAAACTAAACAACTGAAAATACTTCATATAGCTCTATTCTAATACATTACAGTATGTGCTCAAAATGTATTATTTTCCTGGAAAATATAATTATCAAAATACATGCAAAGAAAATTTAAAGAAATCAATAATCACCGGAGATTGAGAAAGTTGCCAACTAAAGAAAGCTCTAGCCCATGTTTCAAGTATGAGTTCTTCAATTGCTTCAATCATTGAGAATATGTGATCACTCTCAACGCTATTGTAACTATTCCAAGGCAATGAGAAAAGCTCCCCAATTCTTCCTACCAAGTTACGAAAACAAGAAGAAACTGCAGACTAATGTCACTTTTTATTGTAAATCCAAAAATCATGAATAAATTAGCAAACACAACTGAATTACATGTTAATGCATGCTACATACCATGACTAAATGAAGGTCATGGTCAGATGAGGAATGCAAGAATTATTCAATATTATATGTCATCATGTTAACAAGCCAAAGGGAAAAACAGCATCTTGAAAGAGGCTCAAAAGGCACTTGAGGAGAATTCAATATCTATTCCCAACAGAAACTTTTAATATAAAAGAGGACATTTGGTTAACTTGGTCTCAAGCCAATAACCAGCATTGTGCTTGAGGGTTTAATATTGGAAGCATTCCCATTAAAGTCTGGAACAAGACAATCACCACTATTATGCAACACAGTTCTTAAAGTAATGGCCAATGAAATAAGGTAATAAATAAAAGGTACAAAATTAGAAAGGAAAAGACAAAATTATTTTACACCTAGAAAATCAAAACAACCAACTACAAAATTATTAGAAATAATCAGAACATTCAAGCAAATGAACGTTTCACTTTTACAAAAGTCATTCTGTTTGACTTTTACAGGAGGTTCATAAAAACAATCATGTTTACAAAATTACTTGAAGGCTTCATTAATTTTCACAAGAATTTCTCTTAATCCACTGTTAACTCAAATAAGTTAAAAATCTTTACTCAAGATTTTTATTTTACTACCACCTTGTGTGACACACTGGCATTTTTAATGGGAAATAAAATTGTGACTGGCCGAATAAAAGTAATTTTTAGAAAAAAGACCCAGCTGAAAACAGCAGTCCTGACTATATTTGTATTGAATAAGCAATTATTATTTTATGCTTTAGAGTTACTTCAGGGCCAAAGATGGGATGAGCAATGCCAGCTCTTGAAATCCACACCGAACTGTAGAACATAGCAATTTTTCTCTTTCACCCAATGTTTTATTTTAAAGATTTTTAAATTTACTAAAAAGCTGAAACAGTGATATTATGAACACCTATTGATTCACCAATTAACATATTGCTACATTTGCACCCATTCTCTCTTGATTTGTATATGCACGTGTGTTTGCACACACACACAACCACATAGTTTCGTTTCTTCTTTTTTCTGAACCATTCAAAATAAATTAAAGACATCAGGATACTTCACCCCAACCATGTTAGCCAGTATCTCCTAAAAATAAGGACATTCTCCTATATCTCTGCAATATCATTATCGCACCTAAGAAAATTAATGGTAATTCCAAAATGTCACCTAATATCCACTCTAAATTTAAATCTCCCCAATTGTTGCTACCATATTATTTCCCCAACCCAGGTTCTAACCAAGCTTCACACAATATTTTTAGTTATGTCTCTCTTGCTTTTTGTTTCACTAGAACAACTCCCCTTGCTTTTCATGGCATTGGATTTAATCTTATTATTTCTCCCTTGGTGTCATTTAACTTATTCCAATATCCCCTGTATTTCCAGTAGACTGGAAGTTAGGGCTAGAGGCTTGATTCCGGTGAAACATTTTTAGCATGAATGCTTCACAGACAATGATATTCAATAATGCATCCCATCAGAAGGTACAAAATGTCAGACTATCCCAATTAATGATGCTAAGCTTGATCAGTTGGTTAAACTGGTGACCACCAAATATGTCCACTATAAAAGGACATTCTGCCCAGTGTAATTAATTAGTAAGTCAACTGTGGCATGATACTTTGAGTCCATGTGAATATCTTGGTCCCCAAAACCTTTATCTCAATAGTTTTAGTATCCAGCAATGATTCTTGATTGAATTATTAAACTCAGGGTTAGAGAACTATGAATGTTTAACCTGTATTGTATATATTGCTATTTATTAGGGGAGAAAGAATGTAATAGTTGGGAGGACAAGCCTAGGGCTGATTCTACAGCAGCAATGCTGAGTATGTAGCAGAATCCTTGAATCTCTAAAGAGCTCTTTCAAAATACCAATGCTTAGCCCTATTCCAGATCAATTAGAATGATCTTAAAGTATACTTACCAACTGCATAACTTTTCTGCATCTTGGGAATAAAAACTACTGGAATTCCTGAGATAGATACTATTTATATTCCTAAAATAGACACTATACTAGGTATGTTCTAAGGATTAACTAATGTAATGAGAATTAATTACAAAGTGCTTAGAAAGGGCCTAGCACATTGTAAATGTTCACTAAATACTGATGATAAATATGGGTACAAATAGTTATCCACATATATGGATATGCATGTATACAAAAAATACATCTAGGTATATTCTAGCATACACATATGTATATAACAACACAACTTCAAAATATATCAAGCTACAATTGACAAGACTGTAGGAAATACAAATAAATCAAAATGTAAGAAATACAAATACATCAAAATTTACAGACACAGATTTTTAAATGGAAGGTATATCTTTTTTTTTTTTTTCACTCTATCACCCAGGCTGGAGTGCAGTGGTATGAATCTTGGCTCACTGCAACCTCTGCCTCCCGGGTTCAAGTGATTCTCCTGCCTCAGCCTCCTGAGTAGCTAGGGCAACAGGGGTGCACCACCACGCCTAATTTTTGTATTTTTAGTAGAGACGGGGTTTCACCACGTTGTCCAGGCTGGTCTCAAACTCCTGACCTCAACTGATCCGCCCACCTCGGCCTCCCAAAGTGCTGGCATTACAGGCGTGAGCCACCACACCCAGCCCCCAGACATAAATTTTTAAAGATCCCTCTCAGAAACTGACAGATAAAGTACACACAATAATAAACAGCTTACTATGAAGGGAAGAACAATATAATTATAAATCAAATTTGTGGAGATATATATACACACACACACACACACACACACACCTTTCTTTCAAAGCATATGTGTAATATTTAAAAATATAGACAATATAATAAACTATAATGGAACTATCCATAAACTATAAAGAATTAAATATACAGACATCCTATACTCTGACAATAAAATTAAACATTAACAAAAAATAGCAAAATACAGAATTAAATAGCCTTAATAAATAACCTAGTTACAAAAGAAATCACAAAGAAAAGAAAACATTTAAAAGTGAATAATAATAAAAACACTGGACATAAAAATCTGTAGAATAGAGCTAAAGAAGTATTTAGAGGTACATATGTAGCTTTAAAAACAGTTCAAAGAAAACAAGAAAAGTTAAAATTAATAAGCTAAGTACTCAACTCAAGAATTTGGGGAAAGGGCAAAAAAGCAACATCCCTGGAAAATAAGAAATTAAATTAAAAAGTTAAGGGCAAATATCAAAGATACACAAAACATCAACAATAGAGGAAAAAAAAGGCCAGGTGTGGTGGCTCACGCCTGTAATCCCAACCCTTTGGAAGGCCAAGGTGGGCAGATCACTTCAGGTCAGGAGTTCGAGACCAGCCTGGCCAACATGGTGAAACCTTGGCTCTACCACAAAAAAAAAAAAAAAAAAAAAATATTAGCAGGGCATGGTGGCAGGCACCTGTAATCCCAGCTAGTCAGGAGGCTGAGGCAGGGCCCAGCAGGCAGAGGTTGCAGTGAGCCGAGATCACGCAATTGCACTCCAGCCTGGGCAACAGAGCAAGACTGTCTCAAAAAATAAAAATAAAAAATAGAGAAAAATAACACAACCAAAATTGTTCTTTGAAAAGATTAATAAGATAAGACCCTTGATGAGCAAGAGTTATCAAAGAAAAAAGAAGATTCAAATAATTAAAATATAGAATGAAAAGGAATACAAAAGTACAGACACAAAGGAGATTTTTGAAATGATAACAGAATATAACGAGCATTAGGAATATCTACATGCTAATAAAGTTGAATGGATAAATTCCCATTAAATTATGCCAAAACTGGCACAAGAACTGATAGAGAATCTGAACAGACCAATTAGTATAATAGGGATTAAAACAGCAAAGATCTTGCCTTCTGAAAAACAGCAGGTACAATTTTACAATGAGTTCTACCAAATTTCAAGGGTTCATTCCTGTTTTACACAAGCTGTTCTAGAAAAACAGTAAACTCTCAGAAACTGACCAAGACATTTCATTAATTTATTATAATCTTGATTCTAAACACTGAATTAACAAAAAAATCAAAGATCCATTTTAACATGACACATAAAAATACTACACTTGGCCAGGCAGTGGCTCATGCCTGTAATCCCAGCACTTTGGGAGGCTGAGGTATGCAGATCACTTGAGGCCAGGAGTTCAGACCAGCCTGGACAACATGGCAAAACCCCGTCTGTACTAAAAATACAAAAATTATCTGGGTGTGATGGTGTACATCTGTAATCCCAGCTACTTGGGAGGCTGAGGCAGGAGAATCACTTGAACCCAAGAGGCAGAGGATACAGTAAGCCACGATGGTGTGACTACACTCTAGCCTGGGCAACACAGCTAGACTCTGTCCCAAAAAAAAAAAAATACAAAAAATACTACCCTAATATTACCTAAGTGAATCCAATCATGTATTTTTAAAATAATGACATATCAGGATTAAGTAGAATTTATATGACGAATAAAAGGATGGTTCAACATCAGAAATAGACTTAGAAGAGAGAAACCAGACGATAATCTTAATCAATGAAGAATGCGCATCATAAAGTTTAGCAAAAGGCAAAACTTAACAAAAGATTTGCCTTAATAAAATCTTAATAAAGATTTGCCTTAATAAAAGATTACAAGGGAGAATATCTTTGTGATCTAGTGACAGGGAAAAACTTAAAAACCCATAAAGTGTATGACAACTTTTACTGCATTAAAATTAAAAATGTTTGTTCTATGAATGCCACACAAAGTTAATAGACAAATGACTAAATGACAAAATGAGAGAAGATGTTTGTAAAACTGTTAGGAAAGGGATTATTAGATAGAAGATAAGAAATTCCTGTAAATCAACAAGAGAACAGTCACCCTGATGGAAAAATGGGCAAATGATATTAAAAAAGCAATTAATAGAACTTAATCTATATTACAAAAATTAGAAAGCTAGGCTGGGTGGGGTGACTCACACCTGTAATCCCAGCACTTTGGGAGGCCAAGGCAGGTGGATCACCTGAGGACAGGAGTTCGAGACCAGCTTGGCCAACATGGTGAAAACCCATCTCTACTAAAAATACAAAAATTAACCAGGCATGGTGGTGTGTGCCTGTAGTCCCAGCTACTCGGGAAGCTGAGGCAGGATAATCGTTTGAACCCAGGAGGTGGAGGTTAAAGTGAGCCAAGATGGTGTCACTGCACTCCAGCCTGGGTGACAGAGTAGACTCTGTCTCAAAAAAAAAAAAAAAAATTAGAAACCTCGATAATCCTAACTGTTGGCAGAGATGAGAAGATACAAGGAGCCTCATACATTGCAAGTAGGAGTGTACACTACAATCATTCTGGCTTAGATGGAAGCTTCAGTTAATAAAAAAAGAATTGTTCCTCCGCCTTGCTTTGTCCTCTGTGTATATTTCTTTTGTAAACTTCATAGGGAGGAATGTCTGGTCTAGCATAGGATTTGGGTCTTAGAACACTGTGGGTCCTGACCATCTATCCTACCTAGTATGACTACATTGTTCACCCAGACTAAAAGACAGGGAAGAAAACTTTTCCACTGATGACATTTCTAGGTACACCCTACGCCCAAAGAGAACCTGTTGCCTTGAAGGGAATGACTCAGTCACGGTAGGACTCATCACCTGCTGAATTAAAGAGCCATCCGATCCTGAATAACCAGCCGTGATACTCAAGTAGCATGCCATGGGCCTTGAGTGAGACTCTGAGACATGCCAGCTTAAGGTTAGACACAGCATATTCTCAGCTGTGGTGGCTATCGCGAGAGACTCCATCTGCTTGAGAAAAGCAGAGAAAAAAGAAAGGAAGACTTTGTCTTGCACCTTAGGTACCAGCTCGGCCTCAGGGGAGAAGGGTACCAAGTGGGCTCTTGGGGTTCCTGATTCTAGGCCTTGGCTCTTACATGGCATCACTTCTGGACCTGCCCTGGGCCAGAGGGGAGCCCACCACTTTGAAGGGTAAGTCCCAGGCCTAGCAACATTCATCACCACAAGTTGACTGAGGAGCCCTTGGGCCTTAAGTGAACATTGGTGGAAGCCTGGCAGTACTCCCCATGGGTCTGTAGTGGTGGCAGCCACAGGGTGAGGCTCCTCTGCCTGTGGAAAGGGGAGGGAAGGGTGAGAAGGACTGCATCCTGTGGTTTGAAAGTCAGCTCAGCAGCAATACAGGTTGTTGGGTTGTGGTTACAGTGGGCCTTGCGTGAGACCCAGTGCTGTGCTGGCTTCAGGTCTGATCCAACACAGTCCCAGTGATAATGGCCACAGGGGTACTTGGGTCAGCCCACTCCCAGCTCCAGGTGGCTCAGCACAGACAGAGAGATGTGGTTTGTTTAGGAGAAAGTAAGGGAAGAGAACAAGAGTCTCTGCCTGGTAATCCAGAGAATTCTTCCAGATCTTATCCAAGACCACCAAGGCAGAACCTCTACAAGTCTGCAAAAACCAGTGTTACTGGGCTTGTGGTAACCCCTAATGCACATACGGCTTAGATTACAATACACAAATCCTTTTGAATACCTGGAAAGCCTTCCCAAGAAGGACAGATGCAATAGGCCTAGACCACGAACACTACAATAAATACCTAACTCTTCAATGTCCAGACACCGATGAACAACCACAAGCATCAACACCATCTGGGAAAACATAACCTCACCAAACAAACTAAGGCACCAAGGACCAATCCTGAAGAAACAGAGATATGTAACCTTTCAGACAGAAAATTCAAAATAGTTGTTTTGAGGAAACTCAAAGAAATTCAAGATAATAGAAAAGGAATTCAGAATTATATCAGATAAATTACCAAAGAGATTGAAATGATTAAAAAAAATCAAACAGAAAATCTGGAGCTGAAAAATGAAACTGACATACTGAAGAACACATCAGAGTCTTTTAATAGCAAAACTGATCAAGGAGAACAAAGAATTAGTGAGGTTGAACACAGGTTATTTGAAAATACACATAAGAGACAAGAGAAAAAAGAATAAAAAAGAATGACACATGCCTACAAGATCTAGAAAACAGCCT
This sequence comes from Homo sapiens, assembly GCF_000001405.40. Lineage (NCBI taxonomy): Eukaryota > Metazoa > Chordata > Mammalia > Primates > Hominidae > Homo > Homo sapiens. The sequence continues at coordinate 232,096,569 of NC_000002.12, read as the reverse complement.
CAAAAGGACAAACCTACGAGTTATTGGCTTTAAAGAGGAGGTAGAGAAAGACATATGGATAGAAAATTTAATCCAAGAAATAATAAGAGACAATTCCCCAAACCTAGAGAAAGACATTAATATCCAAGTACAAGAAGGTTATAGAACACCAAGCAGATTTAACTAAAAGAAAACTACCCCAAGGCGCTGGGTGCAGTGGCTCACGCTTGTAATCCCAGCACTTTGGGAGGCCGAGGTGGGCAGATCACGAGGTCAGGAGATCAAGACCATCCTGGCTAACACGGTGAAACCCTGTCTCTATTAAAAATACAAAAAATTAGCCGAGCGTGGTGGCGGGCGCCTGTAGTCCCAGCTACTCGGGAGGCCGAGGCAGGAGAATGGCATGAACCCAGGAGGCAGCGCTTCCAGTGAGCCGAGATCACGCCACTGCACTCCAGCCTGGGCGACAGAGCGAGACTCTGTCTCAAAAGAAAAAAAAAAAAGACAACTACCCCAAGGCATTTAATAATCAAACTCCTAAAGGTCAGGGATAAAGAAAGGATCCTAAAAGCAGAAAAAAAGAAAGAAAGAAAAGAAAAGAAGAAAAAGAAAAAGAAAAGAAAAGAGAGAGAAACAAACAAACAAACATACAATGGAGCTACAACACATGTGGCAGCAGACTTTCCAGTGGAAACTTTACAGTGGCATAATATGTTTAAAGTGCTAAAGAAAAAAAAAACTTTTACCATGGAATAGTATATCCAGTGAAAGTATCCTTCAAACATCAAGGAGAAATAAAGACTTTCCCAGACAAACAAAAGCTGAAGGACTTCATCAACACCAGACTTGTCCTAGAAGAAACGCTAAAGGGAGTACTTCAATTAGAAAGAACAGAACATTAATGAGCAATAAAAAATCATCTGAAGGTACAAAACTCACTGATAATAGTAGGTACACAGAAAAACACTGAAATATTATAACACTGTAACTTTGGTGTGTAAACTACTCTTACCTTAAATAGAAAGATTAAAAGATAAACCAATTAAAAATAATAACTACAACAACTATTCAAGACATAGATAATATTGTAAGATGTGAATAAAAGCAACAGAAACTTAAAAAGTGAGGGGATGAAGTTACAGTGTAGAGTTTTTATTAGTTTTCTTTTTGCTTATTTATTTATAAAAACAGTAAGCTGTTATCAGTTTCAAATAATGGGTTAAAGGATAGCATCTGTAATACTGATTGTAACCTCAAATCAAAAAACATACAACAAATACACAAAAATTAAAAAGCAAGAATTATATCATATTACCAGAGAAAAATCACTTTCACTAAAAGGAAGACAGGAAGATGGAAAGAAGAGAAGACCACAAAACAACCAAAAAACAAATAACAAAATGGCAGGAGTAAGTCCTTACTCATCAATGTTAACACTGAATGTAACTGGACTGAACTTTCCAATACAAAGACACAGAGTGGCTGAATGGATGAAAAAACAAGATGCAATGATCTGCTGCCTACCAGAAACACACTTCACCTATAAAGACACACATCAACTGAAAATAAAGGGATGGAAAAAGATATTCCAAGCCAATGGAAACCAAAAAAGGGGAGAAGTACCTATATTAATATCAGATAAAATAGATTTCAAGGCAAAAACTATAAGAAGAGAAAAAGAAGATCACTATATAATGATAAAGGGGTCAATTCAGCAAGAAGGTATAAAAATCTTAAATATATATGCACCCAACACCGGAGTGCCCAGATATATAAAGCAAATATTACTAGAGCTAAAGAGAGAGAGAGATAGACCCCAATATAATAACAGCTGGAGCTTTCTTTCTTTTCTTTCTTTTTTTTTTTTTTTTTGAGATGGAGTCTCGCTCTGTCACCCAGGCTGGAGTGCAGTGGCGCAGTCTTGGCTCCCTGCAGCCTCTGCCTCCCAGGTTCAAGCAATCCTCCCACTTCCACCTCCCCAGTAGCTGGGATTTATAGGTGCGCACCACCATGACTGGCTAATTTTTCTATTTTTAGAAGAGACGTGGTTTTGCTATGTTGGCCAGGCTGGTCTCAAACTCCTGTCCTCAAGTGATCCACCTTCCTTGGCCTCCTAAAGTGCTGGGATTACAGGCATGAGCCACCATGCCTGGCCAACAGCTGGAGATTTCAACACCCCATTTTCAGCATTTGACAGATCTCGCAGACAGAAAATCAACAAAGAAAGAGCTGGCTTAATCTGCATTATAGATCAAAATAGCCCTAATAAATATTTACAGAATACTTCATCCATTGGCTGCAGAATACACATTCTTTTCCTTAGCATATGGATCATTCTCAAGGACAGACCATATGTTAGATCACAAAACAAGCCTTAAAACACTCAAAAAAACTGAAATAGTATAAAGTATCTTCTCTGACCACAATGGAACAAAACTAGAAATCAATAACAAGAGGAATTTTGGAAACTATACAAATACATGAAAATTAAAAAACATGCTGAATGACCAGTGGGTTAACAAATTAAAAATTTCTTGAAACAAATGATAATGGAATCACAGCATATTCAAAACCTATGGGATGCAGGGAAAGCAGTGCTTACATCAAAAAAAAGAAAAAGAAGAAAAAATTCAAATAAACCACCTAATGATGCATCTTAAAGAACTAGAAAAGCAATAGCAAACCAAACCCAAAATTAGTAGAAGAAATAATAAAGGTCAGAGCAGAAGTAAATGAAATTGAAATGAAGAAAACAATCCAAAAGATCAATGAAACAAAAAGATAGTTTTCTGAAAAGTTACACAAAACTGACAAATCTTTAGCCAGACTAAGAAATAAAATCAGAGATGAAAAAGGAGACACTACAACTGATACTGCAGAAACTCAAAAGATCATTAGTGGATATTATGAGAAACTATATACCAATAAATTGGAAAATGTAGGAAATTGATAAATTCCTAGACACATACAACCTACCAAGATTGAACCATGAAGAAATGCAAAACCTGAACAGACCAGTAACAAATAACAAGATTGAAGCTGTAATAAAAAGTCTTCCTACAAAGAAAACTCAGGACCTGATGGCTTCACTATTGAATTCTACCAAACATTTAAAGAAGAATTAATACCAATCCTACTCAAACTATTCTGAAAAACAGAGGAGAAGGGAATACTTCCAAACTCATTCTACAGGGGCAATATTACCCTGATATCAAAAACAGATAAAGACATATATTTAAAAAAAACTACAGGCCAATATCACTGATGAATATTAATGCAAAAATCCTCAACAAAATACTAGCAAATAAAATTCAACAACACATTAAAAGGATCATTCATCATGACCAAGTGAGATTTATTCCAGGGATGCAAACATGGCTCAACATACGCAAACCAATCAATGTGATGCATCATATCAACAGAATGAAGGAAGAAAACTATATGATGATTTCAACTGATGCTGAAAAAGCACTTGATAAAATTCAACATCCATTCATAATAAAAACCCTTGAAAAACTGGGTACAGAAGGAACATATCTCAGCCTAACAAAAGCTGCATAGGACAGACCCACAGCTAATATCAAACTGAATGGGGAAAAACTAAGACTTTCTTCTAAGGTCTGGAACACAACAAGAATACCCACTGTCACTACTGTTATTCAACACAGTACTGGAAGTCCTAGCTAGAGCAATCAGACAAGAGAAAGAAATAAAGGGCACCCAAATTGGAAAGGAAGAAGTCAAATAATCCTTGCTTGCAGATGGTATGATCTTATATTTGGAAAACCCTAAAGACTTCACCAAAAAACTATTAGAACTGAAAATTCAGTAAACTTTTAGGATATAAAATCAACATACAAAAATCAGTAGCATTTCTATATGCTAACAGCAAACAATCTGAAAAAGAAAGCAAGAAAGTAATCCCATTTACAATAGTTATAAATAAAATTAAATAACTCAGAATTAACCAAAGAAGTAAAAGATCTATACAATGAAAACTATAAAATATTGATGAATCTCATTAAAGAGGACACAAAAATGTTTAAAGACATTTCACATTCATGGCTGGGAAGAATCAATATTGTTAAAATGTCAATACCAAAGCAATCTACAGATTCAATGCAGTCCCTAACAAAATACCAATGACACTCTTCATAGAAAAAAAAAATCCTAAAATTTATGCAGCACCACAAAGATCCAAAATAGTCAAAGCTATCTCAAGAAAAAGGAACAAAACTGGAGGAATCAGATTACCAGACTTCAAATTATAATACAGAGCTATAGTAACCAAAACGGCATGGTACTGGCATAAAAACAGATACACAGACCAGTGGAACAGAGTAGAGAACCCAGAATACATACATCCATACATACATCCATACATCCACAGTGAACTCATTTTCAACAAAGGTGCCAATAACATGCACTGGGGAAAGGACAGTCTCTTCAATAAATGGTGCTGAGAAAACTGGATATCCATATGCAGAAGAATGAAACTAGACTCCTATCTCTTCTCACATAAAAAATCAAATCAAAATGGATTAAAGACTTAAATCTAAGACATCAAACTATTAAACTACAGAAAGAAAACATTGGAGAAACTCTCCAGGACATTGGACTGGGCAAAGACTTCTTGAGCGAGGAAGACAGACAAATGGCAAAGAGGTTTACAGAAAAGTGCTCAACATCATTGATGATCAGAGAAATGCAAGTCAAAACTGCAATGAGATATCATCTCATCCTGGTTAAAATGGCTTTTATTTAAAAGATAGGCAATAACAAATGTTGGTGAGGATGTGGAGAAAAGGGAACCCTCATACACTGTTGGTGAGAATGTAAATTAGTATAATCAGTATGGAGAACAGTTTGGAAGTTCCTCAAAAAACTAGAAATAGCTACCATACCAGCAATCCCACTCCTATGTACATATCCAAAAGAAAGGAAAACAGTGTATCAAAGAGATATCTGCACTCCCATGTTTCTCGCAGCACTAACCATAATAACCAAGATTTGGAAACAACCTACGTGTCCATCAACAGACAAATGGATAAAGAAAATGTGGCAGATATACACGATGGAGTGCTATTCAGCCATTTAAAAAAAATGTGATCCTGTCATTTGCAACATTAATGGAATTGGAGGTCATTATGTTAAGTGAAGTAGTCAGGCACAGAAAGACAAACTTCATATGTTCTCACTTATCTGTGAGAGCTAAAAAACTAAAACAACTGAACTCATGGAGATAGAGAGTAGAAGGATGATTACCAGGGGCTGGGAAGGGTAGTAAGTGGGGAGAAGTGGCAATGGTTAATGGGTAAAAAAAGATAGTTACAAAGAATGAATAAGACCTACTATTTCCTAGCACAACAGCTGAACATTTTTAAAGCCATTTACGCATTTGATACCAAGAAAATTTTAATTGGTTGTCCCTAAGCTCCACATGGATGGCAGCTTTCTATGCTAACAACAAAGCTACTGCTTGTAAAGTGGTAAAAGTTCAATCTCAAAGGGGGATTGGGGAGTGGATCTCTAAAAGGGGCCCAGGTCTTTGGCCCACTCTCTCTCAGGGGCTGGGGATAATGCAGACCTGTGTAGTCGTCCTCAAAGAAACTACTGTATGAATGTCTGAGATGCTGAGATGTTTCTCTTAACGCAATGACAGGCACTTGCTACAGACAACGGGAGCAATGTGCTCTCTTACCAGAGAAACTGGTAGTTATCACAAAGATATAAATATTTCCTCAGCAAATAGGTATATGCTATAAATACACATGCAATATAGAGCATTTGCTTTGGGCAAAGAAACATAATACTAAAGCAAAAACAAACAAAAAAACACTTTTGAACACAAGCATGAACCAGGATTAATAATCCACTTGCAAGTAGAACACAAAGCAAAGAACCTTTCTAGAAGTCTTAGGAAAAGTTTGATATTCTCAAGGTTATGGTTTGTTTCAATAACAAACTTCAAAACCCTAAATAGTGCAAAAAGTACTAACATCCTAATGGTAACCAGATTTTTTTTATTATCCCAAGTAAGAGAAGATGGTTGAAATATCCTTAAAAATGCTGTGATTTTCAAAAGAGCAAATTGCAATTTTCCTAAATATCAAGAGGGCAAGAAATGAGAAACAGCCATGTGGTTTCACAAACTCTCCATTTAGAGGCTAGCAGGAAAGAGAAATCTGTACCAGATACTGAGGGAAGGATTAAGGTTGTTCCCTCAGTCAGGGCTACTAAGGAAGTAATATAAATAACAGTGGGCTAGGAAGGATGCAAAAAGAATAAGGAAAGAAACATGCATACAGCGGGCTTGTAACGTACTCAGTGATATTTACTTGTAAGAAAGAGGGAGGGGCCAGGCACAATGGCTCACACCTGTAATCCCAGCGCTTTGGGAGGCCAAAGCAGGAGGATCGCTTGAGGCCAGGAGTTCAAGACTAGCCCTGGCAACAACAGGGCTGTATTAAAAAACAACAACAACAACAACAAAAATTATCTGGGTGTGGTGGTGCACACTTTAGTCCCAGCTACTCAGGAGGCTGAGGCAGGAAGATCGCCTGAGCCCAGGAGGACAAGGCTGCAGTGAGCTATGATGACACCATTGCACTCTAGCCTGGGCAAAAAAGTGAGACCCTATCTCAAAAGGAGTGTGGGGGAAGAATTATAATAGAGGGTGAATCAAGAGGAGGTATAGCATCAGAGTTTCGCAAAACTCTGGGTTGGATGCCAGCAAAGTAAACCGTTAGCATCCAACCCAGACATCCATTCTGCTGTCACTTCCATCCATCAGTATTTCCTTGTCCTTATATTTGTACCAACCACTAATGAGAGATCAATGTGTCTTATCCCTTCACTTGGAGCCCAGAGGAAAAGAGGCTGCTGAGATCTGCCAAGCCTATCACCAGAGCTGGGTTTCCACGAAGTAGTTTTAAGCCAAATACTCAATATGCTTTAAAGTGTTCCTTTGCCTGGCTTTATCCTGTGAATATCTCTCTTCCTTGCTGATCTTGTTAATGAAGGATTTGGCTACTTAGAGTCCTGGTTATTTGCCACTCTTCTCACTGAAAATACATGACTCATAGTACTGATGTGATTACGATAATACACATTTACTTTAAGAGGAATGTCACAGTATTCGACTATTTTTAAAGAAAAGAAAGTAGAAAAATCGCAAGAATAAAATGTCAAGGAATAGCATCCAAAAGGAACTGGCTGAGCTCTAAACAGGGAAACCACTAGTTACCTAAACGTGTCCCCAAACAAAAGGAACCTGGGTACCCTGAAGGCAGTGATACCTGGTGGGGCCCATAGCAGTACCTGACACAGGAAGTAGTAGCCTCTTCAGTCAAGAAGAATTTCAAAGTTGGAAAGTCATTCTGAATGAGTACTTGGCACCAAAAAGGACACATGCTTTCAAAAAATGCTTTCTTTCACAGATCACTACCTCCTCAGCAATGGAGAAAAGCAGTCATCCTTCTCCAGTCATGTCCTGAAGATACCTTCGGCTTTCTTTACGCTGGGGGGACATATGCTCACCAGTCCCTAAACGAGTTGTCTGCTGAACATCCTCCTTTAGAAATCTTCTGGCATTTCTCCTAGCCTTTCATGGGAACTGTGCCAGAAACTTCTTCTTGATAACAAAGCTCATTATCTAGTCAGCCTGGCCAGGTCAGAGTTGGTCGGTTTCCATTAATAGTATACATAAAATTCGATTTGGCTAGAAAATATACTCCTTCTATGTAGAATTTCTTCAAAATCTCTAACTTGAAATATTCAAATTGTACTTAATATTTTCCTTAAGTCTCTTCAAGTGTGGTCAGGTAGGGTCCGTGGTCACAGCTCTCATGTGTTTACAACTGCTTTTTTTCTGCATCCAGAGGGCCCATGGCTTAGATTTCAATCAGAGAAAACAAAACTGGCTTTTTAAAAGGCTTAGAATCAAAATACTTTCTAAGGCTATTTGTTTATAAAATTTTGGGTGATCCATGCCCACCAGAAATGACAAAAAAAACTTTTTTTTTTTTTTGAGACGGAGTCTCACTCTGTCACCCAGGCTGGAGTGCAGTGGCACAATCTAGGCTCACCGCAAGCTCCACCACCCAGGTTCACGCCATTCTCCTGCCTCAGCCTCCCGAGTAGCTGGGACTACAGGTGCCCGCCACAACTCCCGGCTATTTTTTTTTTTTTTTTTTTTTTTGTATTTTTAGTAGAGACGGGCTTTCAACGTGTTAGCCAGGATGGTCTTGATCTCCTGACCTCGTGATCCGCCCACCTCGGCCTCCCAAAGTGCTGGGATTACAGGCGTGAGCCACCGCGCCCGGCCCACGCCTGGCTAATTTTTTTGCATTTTTAGTAGAGACAGGGTTTCACCATGTTAGCCAGGATGGTCTCGATCTCCTGACCTCGTGATCCGCCCGCCTCGGCCTCCCAAAGTGCTGGGATTACAGGCGTGAGCCACTGTGCCCAGCCGACAAAAATACTTCTAAAAGATATTTAAAGTAAAACTGAAAGTAAAATAAAGTGATTTTTCATATGAATTTTACATACCAGTTTAATTGTGTTCACATCATCCACAGGATTGCGCCTATCGCAAGAGATGTCAACGTTAACCAGCAACACAGCTCAAGCCTATTAGGAATGTGGCAACTGCAACTACTGCCCACACAAACCGCTGGAAGCACTTTCATCCCCTCTTTCATAACCAGCAGCTAAACCTGTCAAAGATCCCCCTTTTCTGAAAGCTGCCACAGGTCAAAAATTAGGACTATATCAATGGCATTGTGTTATTTACTCTGCAGCAGAGAGGGAATTCCAATACTTAATCAGTGTACTTAAAAAAAAAGTAAGACAATAGTCTAGTACTCACCTTTCTCAGAAACACAAACTGAGAGTTTCTTAACACCATCAACCAGCACATTTTGTGTGATGCCATGTCCATCTTCTGAGTCGCTGCCATCAAACTGAGCCTCTACAATGACATCAGGACTGTCATTATAGCTTTTCAGGGACTGTTGCGGGAGATGGTGTCCACAGAGCTCCTCGGGGATATCTGATTCATACGCAGCTTCTGTTTCTTTGTCATTGCTCTCTGGTTTAACTACCTAAAGAAAACAGAAAAATTCTGCTAAATCACTGAGAGAGGAAAAAAAAAAAAGAGCAGATTTTTCTTTTCTAAGGAAGAAACTGCATATTCAGAAGCTAACGGTATTGGACACTAATCATGTAGTTCAAAAAAGGATCTTTATTTTCCAGAAGCACAGACCACCTAATGCACATAATCAATCCAGCAAAGCCAGGCTGACACTCAGCTCTTCAGGATGCCCCAAATTAATGCCTTATCCACTTCTCATATTTCTGATCTACATTTTCATCCCCTCTCCCCAAAGGCCCTGAATACCAGAAGTAGTACCATGCTGCTTCATAAACCCTCACCATATAGGAACAATTAGTAAGTTAGGGAATGATAAAAGAACTCAACAAAGTATGCCACAGTGTTCCTAAAGGAAACCAAGGAAACCACAAGAATACAAGATGAAGTGGAAAAAAAACAAAATTAAGTGTGAACAAGAGTTTATAAAATGTTCTTATAAAAATATAAAGCTTTATTGGCCAGGCGCGGTGGCTCAAGCCTGTAATCCCAGCACTTTTGGGAGGCTGAGGCGGGCGGATCATGAGGTCAGGAGATTGAGACCATCCTGGCTAACACGGTGAAACTCTGTCTCTACTAAAAATATAAAAAAATTAGCCAGGAGTTGTGGCGGGTGCCTGTAGTCCCAGCTACTTGGGAGGCTGAGGCAGGAGAATGGTGTGAACCCAGGAGGCGGAGCTTGCAGCGAGCCGAGATGGCACCACTGCACTCCATCCAGTCTGGGTGACAGAGCGAGACTCTGTCTCAAAAAATATATATATACACACACACACACACACATATATATATATATACATATATATATATGTGTATATATATATATATACACACACACACATATATATATATATATTTAAAGGCTCAGGCCTTTAGTTTCTATTATGTATTTATTTCTGCCACTAATGGTTCCACAAAGGATTTGGTTCCCATCAACCATGGAGAAAATATCACAGGTACCAGAATTCTGACTTTGTTATACAATCTGCAGGCTGAACTTTCTCACAGTGAAAGGTCTTTCTCTGCATGTATATGTATATATACACATATACATATACATATACATATACATATACATATACACATATATATACATATATGTATATATACATATGCATATGCATATACATATACATATGTATATATGTATACATATATACGTATATGTATATACACGTATACACGTCTATACGTGTGTATATATACGTATACACGTCTATACGTGTGTATATATACGTATACACGTCTATACGTGTGTATATATACGTATATACGTATAAAGCACACACACACTGATGGACATTTACACTACAATACTAATGAAGCAAGTAGAGGAAAAAAATCCAGGCCAGGCACAGTGACTCACACCTGTAATCTCAGAGCTATGGGAGGCCAAGGCAGGAGGAGTTTAAGACCGGCCTGGGCAACATATTGAGACCTTGCCTCTAAAAAAAATTTAAAAATCAACCAGGCATAGTTGGGGGGCAGGGCGCCTGTAGTCCTAGCTACTTGGGAGGCTGAAGTGGGAAGATTACTTGAGCCTAGGAGTTAGGAGTTACAGTAAGCTATGATCACGCCACAGCACTCCAGCCTGGGCGACAAAGGGATATTCTAGCTCTAAAAAAAATAAAATAAAATAAAATAAAAAACCAATCCAGATACTAATCCATTTTATGAGTTTGTCACATACAGCACTCTGATGTCTATGGACACTATATTAAAATACACCAGGTGTTATTGAGTCACTGAAAAAAATTGTGACCCTACATGTAAATCTGCCCATCCACATTAGCAAAAAAGCAGCAGATTTTGTAGGTTCTTGGATGTTACTTGAATACTGCATCCTTTTTAATAATCTATTTCTATATGATAAATACCTATGTTCAATTTAAACATATAATTAAAACTTAAATGATCACCTGTATATACATAAATATAAAAAATGAATTTGATCACTACTTGTAAACATTCCTTTTATTCTTTCAAACAAATGTTGGAATGCCCACCTCGTGCCAGGCACCGTCATGAGTCCTACATCCTAGTGGGGTGACAAATGATGAACAATTTACTCATTCAACAAGTCATTATGGAGTCCCTTTCATGGTGCCAGAAACTGTTCTAGGTGCCAAGGGCAGAACAGTGAACACAATCAAAAGTCGACTAGTGAGAAGCGCAATTAAATATATTGAAAGAATGAGAAAGCTCGTTAAGTAAATGAGAGAATAATGGAGAGGGTGTGCCTAGTTTATCAGTAGGGTGATTAGGAAATACTGCTTAGAGGAAGCAGCATTTGAGCAGAGACCTGAATGAAGTAAGAGAGCTCTAGCAGTTTCACCATGTTTATATTTGATAGGTCTAATGTTCTAATTAAAAGTAACACAAAGATCATGCTTAGTGAAAGATCTTCACCTTATACAAGAGAGAAAAAGTTATTAAATCTTTCCTAAAGCATTTTAATACAGTAGGTTCAATTAACATAACCATTCCTAGACAATTAATATTATAATATCAACTCAGAAAACCAAAGTAAAATATTACAAAGAACGATCAGAATAAAGGTAAGAATATATCCTCAGTTTGTAAAAATTGACTCCATAAAAATATAGTAATAGAAAAACTTGTAAACAATGCTTTTTTTTTTTTGAGCAAAACTGTGCTCAAAACTTTTGAGCAAACTTTTTTAAAAACTTGGTTCCCAGTCCCTGAGTATATTTAATAAAATTTTCTTTTTTGCTTGTTTTGACTCATGTCAGATTCATACATTCATTTGTCCATTCATCTGTCAATGGGAAGTTAGAAACAGACATATCTCCCTCTCTTTAATACTACAAAAAAGTTCTACTGGCCAGGCCAGCAATCTCCAAAAAGATTCCCGCAGGGCCCTTCCTGCAAGAGCTCATGTGAGTGAAGCTACAGCTAGGGCACTGATACACAGGTTGAACATCCCTAATCTGAAAATCCAAAATGGTCTGAAATCTGAAACTTTTTGAGCATCAACATGACAATCAAAAGATATGCTCAGTGAAGCATTTCAGATTTCAGATTTTAGGATTTAGGATGCTCAACTGGTATAATGTAAATATTCCAAAATCCGAAAAACATCCCAAACCCAAAAAAAACACTTCTGGTCCCAAAAAGGACCTTATTTTGGATAAGAATTCCTTATTCTGGATAAGGAATACACAGCCTGTACAATTAAAAAACCAGCTCCCCCATCTGCACTTCTGCTTTACCACATAAGCCTTGTTTTCATAACTGACCCAAAGAAGATCATCCAAAAATAAGAAAATTTACTGACAAGTTACAGCAGAAAAAGAATCCGATATCACTCAAATCAACAAATTCATTCAATTTCCTTAAATATGCCTGGCAAATTCAGAAATATTTAGGAACATCTGCCCCTGACCATCCTCAAAGAACTAATACAACCTTGGGTACTGTCAGAGCAGCCTAAGCACAGGCAGAAGGCACAGGTGTATACCCTATGTCTAAAGCATGGTGGCTATATACAATCTCGGGTTTAATGGTTTTTCCTGTATCATCCCCATACATACTTTATCTCAGAGAGAGAAGTTCTGGGCAAGAAAGCAACTGTCATGCTGCAGTTGGTCTAGCAGGTAAAAGGTAGTCTCCTGGAAAGACATTATGGGCCTGGCGTGGTGGCTCACACCTGTAATCCCAGCACTTTGGAAGGACAATGCAGGCAGATCACTTGCAGTCAGGAGTTCAAGACCAGCCTGGCCAACATGGTGAAACCCTGTCTCTACTAAAAATACAAAAATTAGCTGGGTGTGGTGGCACACGTGTGTAATCCCAGCTACTCAGGAGGCTGAGGCAAGAGAATCACTTGAGCCCAGGGGGCAGAGGTTGCAGTGAGCTGAGATCATGCCACTGCACTCCAGCCTGGGCAACAGAGTGAGACTCTGTCTCAAAAAAAAAAAAAAAAGAAGAAGAAGACATTATGCAAAGAGCTCAGGCCTTTAGGTTCTATTTTGTATTTATTTCTGCCACTAGTGGTTCCACAAAGGATTTGGTTCCCACCAACCACGGAGAAATATCATAGGTACCAGAATTCTGACTTTGTTATACAATCTGCAGGTTGAACTTTCTCACAGTGAAAGGTCTTTCTCTGCATGTATGTATATGTGGGGGGGGGGGGGGGGGGTATAAATTGTAATCAGCGTGATTCTGCCTGCCTACTTACTTAATAATTTATGCTTTGGCTCATGCATACGAAGTTTAAGAAGAGAATGGGAAGAGAAGGCGACATGGTTTGGCTGTGCCCCCACCCAAATCTCATCTTGACTTGTAGCTCCCACAATTCCAATGTGTCATGGGAGGGACCAGGTGGGAGGTAATTGAATCATGGGGGGGTGGGTCTTTCCTGTGCTGTTCTCATGATAGTGAATAAGTCTCACATGATCTGATGGTTTTATAAAGGGGAGTTTCCCTGAACAAGTCCTCTTCCTTTGTAGGCCGCCATGTGAAATGTGCCTTTCACCTTCTGCCACGACTGGAAGGCCTCCCCAGCCACGTGGAAATGTGAATCCATTAACCTCTTTCTTTTGTAAATTGCCTAGTCCTGGTTATGTCTTTATCAACATTATGAAAATGGACTAATACAGAAGATCAGTGGAAAGCAACAACCAGAGTACAGCAAGCTTAACTGTAGAGCATATTCAAAAACTAACCTACGTCTGATTTTGTGATAATCTTCATGGTTTATACTGAAGAATTAGTGTTGTAGGGACTAAATTCACTTTTGAGTTACTAAACCAAAAAATGCTACAAGGCAGCAGTCTCCAACCTTTTCAGTGCCAGGGACTGGTTTTGTGGAAGACAATTTTTCCACAGACCAGAAGTAGGGGGCTGTTACGGGATGAAACTGCTCCATCTCAGACCATCAAGCATTAGATTCTCATAAGGAGCATGCAACCTAGATCTCTTGCATGCACAGTTCATAGTAGAGTTCATGCTCCTACGAGAATCTAATGCCCCTGCTGATCTGACAGGAGGCGGGGCTCAAGCGGTAATGCTCACTTGCCCACTGCTCACCTCCTGCTGTGTGGTCCAGTTCCTAACAGGCCACAGACCAGTACCAGTCCATGGCCCAGGGGCTGGAGACTCCTGAGGTAATAGGACTTAATAAATTAAGTCATTCAAAACTGTGCAATTAAAATATAAATTAATGTGTTACTTCTTTAAAGCATTTTATTCTATGTTATTATCCTAAAACACATAAGAAAAGAACAAAAGGTATGGGGGGAAAAGATCATTATGAGATCACAGGACTCAAAACCTGTGTACTCTCTAACCATCTCATATTGCATACTGGTTAAAAGTAAGGATGTGAGGCCGGGCACGGTGGCTCATGCTTGCAATCCCAGCACTTTGGGAGGACAAGGTGGGCGGATCATCTGAGGTCAGGAGTTCGAGACCAGCCTGGCCAGCATGGCGAAACCCTGTCTCTACCAAAAATACAAAAATTAGCCAGGCATGGTGGCATGTGCTTGTAGTCCCAGCTACTTGGGGAGGCTGAGGCAGGAGAATAACTTGAACCCGGAGGCAAAAGTTGCAGTGAGCCAAGACTGCACCACTGCACTTCAGCCTAGGCAACAGAGCAAGACTCCGTCTCAAAACAAACAAAAAAAGTAAAGGTGTGGGACTCCTTAGAGAAATGGCTAATTCAAATCTGGAGCAGGAAATGGACAAGACAACCCTGGAACCTCCTGTCATACTGGGAAAACAAGAAAGCTATCAATGGCTACTAGTGTCTTGTCTAAAGGACACAGGAAGTATCATAAAGGGGCTTCTCTGGTCAACTATGGAGAATTCTACGCATTTATTCTACCTGGCCTGTACGAACTGTACCTCAAGGTAACCAAGTAATTGATGAGGTAAAGTTTTTCTTTATACAAGTGTTTCAGCTAATTAAATTAAGAAAGAAAAAAAAAAAGGCTTTCGGTATCGCCATTTTGCCATCCCTACTGAATAATGGATTCAGGTAATGGTCATCAATGGTTGCTAAAACCAGTAAGTTGTAAGCTGATGGAGAGGGAGTTTTATAACGTATGAACGTTTTATTATGGGTGGACCAGAGAGGTAATAATAATGGATGGATGTTTTATAATGGGTGGACCAGAGTTTTATAATGGATGGACCAGAGAGGCAATACCTGAACCCACTGATACATATGCATATTGTAAAAAGAGAAAGAACCAAAGTGCTTCCTGATTCACTATATCAGGAAGTACACATCACCACCTACGAAGTATTTTTTTCCCCAAAATTAAACCTGATCCAATATAGGAAATGGAACACAGGAACATGTTAAACAACATTACCATGCACACTCAATCACATTCACAATTTGAGAAATTTTGTAGAACAAATAACCCAGTTTTGCCAACAAATAAATTGCAAGAAAAAAGGGTAAGCCTATAGATTAAAATATTTGTTACATATCAACAAAAGGCAATTTTGTAGGTTTTATTTTAATCCTGATTCTAACCAACCAACTGTATTTTTTTTTTTTTTTTTTTGAGACAGAGCTGCACTTTGTTACCTACGCTTGAGTGCAGCGGCACCACCTTGGCTCACTGCAACCTCCACCTCCCAGGCTCAAGAGATCCTCCCACTTCAGCCTCCCAAGTAGTTGGGACTACAGGCACACGCCACCATACCTGGCTAATTTTTGTATTTTTTGTAGAGATGGGGTTTTGTCATGTTGCCCAGGCTGGTCTCGAACTCCTGAGCTCAAGCAATCCACCCACCTTAGCCTCCCAAAGTGCTGAAATTACAGGTTTGAGCCACCATGCCCAGCCCTGTATTTTTAAAGAAGAAAAGAAAGGGAAAAAAAGGAGGAGAGACAAAAATCTGAGAAATGTAAATAGTGATTAGACAATGAATATCATTAATTCGTTATGACTGTTTTTCAAAAATCTCTAACTTTTGGAGATACCTGAAGTATTCAGGGATGAAATGATGGATCCATCCATACTCACTTCTTAGGTGATTTCATGCAGTCTTTTGGCTTTAAATCTCCCTCTACATGCTATTAACTCCCAAAGTTAAGTGCCTAGCTCAATCTTTCCCATCTTCAGACTTATATTCAATTGCCCAGATGACATCTCAAACAAGAGAACCCTTGATCCCCACTAGAACCTGCTCCTCACCCAGCACACTCTCTCAGCAGATAACATCACCTTCCATCTAGTTCCTCCAGCCCTAAACCGCAGCACTACCCTTGACCCTCTCCCTCTCATTCCCCACATTCAATCCATCAGAAGAGCCCAGTGGCCTTTCCTTTAAATGGATCTTCTTGCCATTTCCACTGTTACTACATAAACCCAAACAACCTTTATTGCCACGCTGAATTAATGCAATAATTGGTCTCTTTATTTCCATTTTGGACCAATAAAGTTAGAGCGTTTCTTTTAAAACACAAATCAGATCATGTCATTCTCCCAACAGCTTTCCAACCTCCTTCCATTGCCGTGCTACAAGGCCTTATCAAGACATTTTTCTATCCTCATGTTCTACAGTTTCTTCTTTTGCAAATGACCCTCCAACTCCAGAGACTTTCTTGCTGTTCCTAGAATACTACAACCTTCCATCTTAGGGCTTTTTCACTTGCTATCCTTCTATCTGGAAAGCTCTCTGCCTGGCTATTCATAGGGCCTGCCCTCTTGTTTTGTTGAAGTCTCTGCTCAAATATCTGCCTGTCAGAGACACTTCCCTGATCACAGTAACTGAAATAGCCCCACCTTGCTATCATTTCTCTAGCCCCTTATCCAGCTTTACTTTCTTTTCTTTACTTTTTTTTTTTTTTTTTTTTTTTTTTGAGATAGAGTCTTGCTCTGTCGCCCAGGCTGGAGTGCAGTGGCGCAATCTCGGCTCACTGCAAGCTCCGCCTCCCCGGTTCACACCATTCTCCTGCCTCAGCCTCCCAAGTAGCTGGGACTACAGGTGCCCGCCAGCCACCACGCCCAGCTAATTTTTTATATTTTTAGTAGAGACGGGGTTTCACCATGTTAGCCAGGATAGTCTTGATCTGGTGACCTTGTGATCTGCCCGCCTCAGCCTCCCAAAGTGCTGGGATTACAGGTGTGAGCCACTGCGCCTGGCCTTATCCAGCTTTATTTTCATTTGCACTTACCACTATCTGAAAGTATATATCTCCTTATTTACTTTCTGTTTCCCCAACTAGAATATAGGTTTCATGAACATAGAGGTATCTATTCTATTCACTGCTGTATTCTGAGTTGAGAGCAGCATTTAGTAGCCACTGAAATACATGCTAACAGAATCAACAAATATGACAATTAATTAGGAAATGATTTGTTCAGAGTCTATCTTCCCTGATAAACTCCATGAAGTGCCCATGGCTAGGCCTGGCACACAGTAGTACTCAATTGTCTTTCAAATAAACAGCCAGAGATGGCACACTGTATCTAATATCTCCACATATCTAAAATCTATCCATCTTTTAAGACCTACTCCAAAAAGCATGAATTTTCTATAATCCAAAATCCACCACATAATCTTCCCAGTTCCTCTCTATCCTCCTGCCTGCCCAGACAAGAATAATTTCTCTTTCTTTGAAGTCCCAAAGCAATTTATCTATACCTCTTCTTCAGCACTTCTCAATTTCTTTACTGCATTATTGTTATCTAGGCATATGATTTATCTCATCTGTTAAGACTATCTGCTCACTAACTGTATACTACACATTTTTGTGTATTCTATAGAAACTTGCATAATTAAGTACTCAATGTTTGATGAATAAATGGATAAACAGGTAGAAGAACAATAAAATGCACATAGTAGATTATCAAGATGCAAGAGCTTTCAGAAAAGTTTTCAAGCACAAGGGTATGTGGGTTAGAAACTAGTAGCCCAATTTTCCTTGACTCTGTAAAGTAAGAGGCTTTCTTCCATGGGGTTGTCTTTGAAAGAGTTAAGAAGTCTAAATCAGTGGTTCTCAACTTTGAAAGTTAGCAGATCCCTCTGAGAATCAGATGAAAGCTGTAAACCCTTCCTCCCGGGGAGCGGGGCGGGGGGGAAGGGCATATCTACAAGCAGATAGAAAATACTCTAGGCTGGGCGAGGTGGCTCATGCCTATTATCCCAGCACTTTGGAAGGCCAAGGCGGGTGGATGACCTGAGGTCAGGAGTTTGAGACCAGCCTGGCCAACATGGCAAAACCCCATCTCTATTAAAAATACAAAAATTAGCCAGATGTAGTGGCACGCGCCTGTAGTCCCAGCTACTCAGGAGGCTGAGGCAGGAGAATCACTTGAACCCGGGAGGTGGTGGTTGCAGTGAGCCAAGATTATGCCACTGCACTCCAGCCTGGGTGACAGAGCTAGACTCCATCTCAAAAAATAAAAAAAAAAAAAGAAAGAGAAAGAGAAAGAGAAAAAGAAAGAAAGAAAGAAAGAAAGAAAGAAAGAAAGAAAGAAAGAAAGAAAGAAAGAAAGAAAGAGAAAGAAAGAAAAAGAAAGAAAGAAAGAAAATACTCTATAACAAAGTACAGTAAAGGGCCTGGTGCTGAAGGATACCAGTTCAGGCTGGCCAATATTTTGGAGAACTCTGGGCTCAGCGTGAAAAAAGGGGCCCTGAGGATAGCAGATATATTACTGACATGGTTAACTGAGGACTTTTTAAATTCTTCTGGTTTCTCCATAGACCTGCAAGGGTGGGGCAGCTGACTGCACTTATTACCTGAGTGCATGCTGCAAATGGGATTATTTCTCCCTTGGAGATTTAGTCTAATCTCTGAAGGACAGGACAGAAACAGATTAGTGGGAGAATCAAATCACTGGATCATAAAGAACTTTTTCACTCTCAGTCTTTTTCCATGAACAGGGTGGGATGGGCATCACATAAAACCCTGCTGATAAAAATAAGCAGTGAAAATATAGACAGATATCAACTGAGGAGTATTGATAAGAAATAAATGGCATTTGCAGCCACTAAAAATGCTCTAGAAATAGCACATTACAATACTTATTTTAATCTATTTGACCTCACCCCCAACTCCCAAACACACACACACAGAAACTTGTGTCAGATACATCCTGAAGTTAGTTTTACCAAGCACAGATCTGTAATCTATCTACTGTTTTTTTTTTTTTTGGAAGGTAAAATTGGGCACTAAGAGTGGTATGGCAGTGTGCTGAAAGGAAAAAGTAAGGCTTTCTCCATCAGGCAGGATTCCCTATGCTCCGGAAGACAGAGAACAGCAACCTGGCCTCTACAGCAGGACCCATGGTGGGGCAGTGGGTAGGGGTGGAGGGCACCCAGAAAAACCATGAAGGATGGCTGAAACTGAGGGGCAGCTATGAGAGGCTCTCCACTTAAAGGAACAGAACTAAGCCCAGAATCCTGAGTTCAGAGACACAGGAGAAGAAGAGACACCCTGCTGGAAAAGTAGGCTGGGTATAGCATGATGTCAGCATTTTAAGGGGAACACAGGCCTTGTGTTGGCAGAGGAATGGCAAAATGCCTTGTAGCATCCTATTTCAAAGACAAGAACACTTGCCGGGTCAGAGACACTATGCAATACTGGGAGTGGGAAATAGCTAAGGAAGATGTAATCTAAAAAGCTGGCAGAATTTTAGAAAACGTGAGAAAATATGTTGGGAAATATGTTTTAAATATATATAAAAAACACTGCCACGAAAGAAAAATAATGATAAATTCAACTCTATTAAAACTTCTTTTTATTCTAAGATATAATAAAAGAAATTTTAAAAGGCAAGCCACAGAGGAGCTCATATCCAGAATATATAAAGAACTACTATAGATCAATAAAAGACAAATAATCCAATAGAAAAATGGAAGAAAAGGCTTAAAATACTTCACAAAATAGAGATGCCATGTAGCAATAAAGATGGAAAGGTGCTCTGCCTTATTAGTCAGAGAAATGCAAATTAAAGCCACAATGAGATATCACTACAAACCCACAGATGGGCAAAACCCAAAAATTCTGATAATACCAAATGCTAGCAAGAACACACAGCAGTACATATCTAGTGTGAATGTGAACTGGTCCAGCCCTTTGTAGAAGAGACCAGGACTATGAGGGAAAGCAGAAAGCAGATCCACTGGACTCCGGAGCCCTGGCTTATTCCACTACACTGCCCTGTCTCCTTCAGGATTCTGACAGGTACACATGAAAAAGAGGTATCTAAGCTGAGAAAGAACATATGGAAAAGCAAAGAGATAAGAAAATGCAAATTCTCCTTTAGGAATGGCAAATAATCGTGAAAATATACAACAAGAGGGAGAAAGGAAGATCAAGATGTCAAGAGCCCTAAATGCCAACTTAATGAGTTGGGACTTTACTGTCAAGTCAGTGAAGTGTGAAAGCAGAGTGGAGTGATTCAGAGCACAAACTCTAGGGACAACACAACTGGCTTGAGTCATGGCTCTGCACTTACCTGCAATGCCACCTTGGAAAAGCAGTTTCTTTGAATCTCAATTTCATTATCTTTAAAATGGGGACAAGAGTGTCTAATATCACAAAACTATTGTGGGAACTAAGATAATAAATGAAAAACTCTTAGCACAGGTGCCTGGAACATGGTAGGAGCTTAAGTAAAGTGAAGGATTTAATAATAACAGTACACTCAGTTGGGAGCCTTTACATCCTGAAGAACAACCTGAAGCAAGGGGAAGGGGAAGGAAGGGTCAAAAATAATTGCAAGGTCCTGAACTCAGACAATAGAAACAGAAAAATTAGGAGCAGTTACATATAAGGAAACAAATGTAGCCTTCAGATGACTCGAGAAGTGCAAGATGATGAGGAACATCCAGGTGGCAGCTGGAAATGTAGGTCTGGAGACTAGAAGTGTCTTGGAGGACAGAAATCAGATTAGAGGGTTACCCATAATATGGGTTGACAGTTAAGCAAAGGTGACTCAGGGCCAAGTGTCTACTGAAAAGAGAACCTGAGGATAAAGCCCTTGGGGAAGACTCAAATAATGGGGTTTCAACAAGGAATAGGAGTGAGCAAAGTAGAGAGAATTTAAACATAACTATGGATATGGGAATCACAAGAAACACTGAAGTTTTTATTATGAATCTTCACATTCTATTGCACAATCGTCCCTGTGCTTTTATACACATTAACTGATTGGATCCACCCAATGACCCTGGGTGATGCACAGGAGAATGAGTATCTCCATCTCACAGAGGAGGAAATGACTTCAGACATGTCACAATCTCACAGCTACTAAATGGCAGAGTTGTAATGTGCCTACAGGTCTAGGACTCTAAATGCAATTCTCTTAGTCCTGGACACTGAAGGAAATCATCCACAGGAGTTGAAAACAAAGAGATTCAGAGTGAACCTCACCCATACAGCTCCCATCCCTGACACACATTGCATGAAATGCCTCTGAACCTTTTGTTGGCCTAGCAAATAATCAAAATTCAAGACCCAGCTCTTCTGTGAATGTTTATCTGCTAACTTCTCTCTCTCTGCCTAAATGTTGTTGCCTTCCTCTGCAGCACTGCTAGTCCTTAGCCATTCTTTCACTATACGGTTCCTCGGCCAGGTGTGGTGGCTCAAGCTGTAATCTCAGCACTTTGGGAATCCGAGGCAGGCAGATCACTTGAGCTCAAGAATTCAAGACCAGCCTGGGCAACACGGCAAAACTCCGTCTCTACCAAAAATAAAAAATTAGCCAGGCATGGTGACATGCGCCTGTGGTCCCAGCTACTCGGGAGGCTGAGGAGGAAGGATCATTGGGACCCAGGAAGTCAAGGCTGCAATGAGCTGTGATTGTGTCACTGCTCACGTGGTGAACCTGGGTAACAGAGCGAGATCCTTTCTCAAAAGCAAAAAAAAAAAAAAAAAAAAGGTTCCTTGATGGGGCTATATTTCATTTATTTGTTTGCATATTTTTTCTTCCACTAGACAGTAAACCACATTACATTCATTTTTATATTTCTGAGAGTCTCCCATGATCCATGGCACATAGAATGTGCTCAGTAAATATTGATTCTCTTTTCTCTTCTTCTGAAGAGAATGAGAAAGACTTGAATCAGCTGTAAAAGAAGCATTTGCAAAAAATAGTGAGAAATAAATACTAAGCAGCAAGAGCCAGCTAAATTAAAATGCATGTCCATAAGATACTTCATGATACAGCAATGTCCTCCATTAACACAATGTGTCTGGAAACCAGGAAATAGTCAACAATTATTTCATCAAAATTGAAACTTATCACTGTAAGAGATACAAGATAAATAAATGCAAATGAATAAAATTGGGAGGCACTGAAATAAATTCATTTTTCTAAAATAATTCTATGCCTTTATATCTAAATTATAACTCCAGTTTTCAATATAAATGCAAATATAACCATAAAGTTAACTGCTCCCCAACTTGAAAAGAAGTGTCTTAGCAAGAAAAGTCACAAATGTCCAGATGAAGGAAAGAAAGCCTAGATCTGGCAACACCTCAGAGGGACATTTCCTGATCTTTCCAGAGTTGTGAAGTAGCAATCTGTCACTCAGAAAGCTGGAAATCTCGTCTACGCTGTGTAGTAAGTTAGATCAGTTGCAAACAGCAATTCAAACCTACCAGGATCTAGAGAAGAAACTGGTCACTTCAAAACTGTTTGATGTGCATTAGGTTTTTCTTCCCTTCCTTTTAAAATCAATATACCGTATTTCAAAATTGAAAAGCAAACAGAAAAAGTCCCTGTAACCAAAAAATTCTAATGGAATCCTAAATAAAAGTGCCAGGTAACCTTTCCATTATGCTGGCTCACCCGAACTCCAAGCATGAAACATTTCATAGCTTCCCTGTTTACTGATATAGAAAAAACCTTTCCTCGAGCTCAAAGACCATCATTAAAGAGTGCTGTTTTAAATCTTATAAAAAGAGCAAGTCCATATTAGCACTGGAAAATTCTGTTGCAGCAAATAAACCCTATTACATTCTCCTTAGGCAGGGGGTTGCTATCAACTTGGTATTATGGAGTTTTTCCAAAAGATTCACATATACCCATGTCCACAGACATTTTCCGCGGAAATGGCTTGAGAACTGTGTCCACTGACACTTTGTGCACAGGAAATAATGCCCTGTCCACCCCACTACCTGAGCCTCGGATTCAGAGCTAAAGCATGTCAGGAAGTCCAGCAAAGAGCTGCTTTTCATTTCTTGGCTTCCCTGGCTAGGCTTAAATGACAGCACTCACTTGCCACACATGTTTTAACAAACTTTCAAATCCCTTAATGGCACACTCGGGACAAAGGATAATACACTGTTCAGGAAACACCTTGAAGCCAAGAAAAGCAACTGATATTTCCACAGGGAGCTCTTGACAAGGCTTGCCAATAAGCTTTTCATTATAAAATTTAACTATGGGCACTATCATTTAAAAGACATATTTACAGACATTTTCAAGGGCGTATTTGTTGGGAACTTCGTTTGCTTAGGGTAGCTAATCCAAACGTACCTTTTATCTAGTTAACAGCCAAAGAATGAACAATCTCTCTCCATTCTTCCAATTACTCAGCCCAAAATCCCTGTGCAGTCCTTATCAATCAATCATTCGACTTCCTTCCCCACCCCACCTCAACCTCCCCTTCTCTCAAACACACAGCAACACACACACACACACACACACACACACACACACACCCCACATCCCAACTGTCAGCTGATCTTGTCAGCTCTACCTTCATTGCCACCATCCTGGTTTAGTCTCCATCATCTCCATCCTGGAAGTAAGCAATAGCCATGTAAGGGGTCTCCCTGCTTCTACCCTTGCCTCCTTTCAGTCTATTCCCAACATAACAGAGTGAGCCTATGAAACATAAGTGATATGTCAGTTCTCTACTCCTACCACTCTAAGCCTTACCACTTCAATCAGAGCCAGAAACAGAATCCTACCTATGATGTAAAGGCTCTACCTGACTGCACCCCCACCCCGGATCCCTCCGACCTCGTCTCTGACAATTCTCTACCTCAGCCCCTTTGCTATTCCTTGAGCACACTAGGAACGCACTGCCATTCCCCAAGATCTCCATAAGGACAGCTTCCTCTCTTCCTTTGTTTCTTCCCAAAGTCATGCTCTCAATGAGGTCTTCTTTCATCACCCTATTTAAAATCTCAATCCTTATCCCCCAAAATCATATTTCCTTTCCTTATTTTTTTTCTCTTCAGCACATATCACCATTGAGTATGCTACATGTAGTATTTTATTTAATATTATTATATCTTTCCCAGTGCAACACAAACTCCATGAAGGCCACTGCCACCTGAAACTCAAAACATCAAAAGCACTCTGGTCCTTCCCCTCAAAGCATTTCCCTTTCCTGTTCTTCTCTTTCTTCAAACACCACTACTACTTCTTCCAGGCCACTCAAGCTGAAAACCTTGCAACTACATTTGACTCTTCCCACTGCTTAACATACCAGTCACCAAATCCTTCACTTACCTTTTTACAAGCAATCTTAGAGCTCCACAAATTCCCTGGTCTTCTAAGTGACACCACCCTACAAATCTCCAGAAATAAAAATTCTGATTATCCTCTTATTCAAAAACATTCCCATGGGTTTCTCTTTCCTAGAGAAACTACTTATCAGCCAGGTACAGTGGCTCATGTCTATAATCCCAGCATTTTGGGAGGCCAAGGTGGAGGACTGCTTGAGCCCAGGAGTTTGAGACCAACCTGGGCAACATAGTGAGACCTCGTCTCTATTTTAAAAAGAGAAACTACTTCTCTATTCTTTGGCTTACAAGACCTTGACTTTCTCAATGTCCACTGACCTTTTTCAGTTATTTTAATCTTATCTGCCATTTCCTTCCATTATACACCATTCACAGACCACTGCAAACTCTGTCTTGGGTTAAATCCCACCAGCTCAATAACAGGTTTCTTTTTTTTTTTTCTTTTTTTTGAGACAGGGTCTCACTCTGTTGCCCAGGGTGGAGTGCACTAGTGTGATCACAGCTCACTGCAGCCTCGACCTCCCAGGCTCAAGCTATCCTCCCACCTCAGCCTCCCGAACAGCTGGGACTACCAGCATACACCAACATGCCTGGCTACCTTTTCTTTATTTTTTGTAGAGACAGGGTCACTATGTTGCCCAGGCTGGTCTAGAACTCCTGGGTTCTCAAGATCCTCCTGCCTCAGCCTCCCAAAGTGCTGGGATTATAGGCAAGAGCCACCACAGCGAGCCAAGAATAGGTCTCTAACAACTCAGAACAGCAGGATCTGTCTCTCTCTTTCTGATTCTTTGTGATACAGTACAGAAAACTATATTAACTCCCTTTAAAAATGGCTGAATTATGTTTTAACTCTTTTAAGAAAAAAAAGAAAAATAGATTTGGAGAAATAATCAGCACCCGTTAAGGAGCCCTCCTCTATGCAGACCTGGCTTGGACTGCAGGAGAAGAAGAGTTCAGAGATCTAAGGGTCAGGCTATAGGGCCTCTGGACACTGTTCCCATGTTTGAATCAGAATTAGAAGTGTTCTGTAACATGTGCCCTCTCTCCTCTCCTGCATGGCCACCACAATCAACTAAAGAACCATAACCTGGCTGGGCGCAGTGGCTCACGCCTGTAATTCCACACTTTGGGAGGCCGAGGGGGGCAGATCACAAGGTCAAGAGATCGAGACCATCCTGGCCAACATGGTGAAACCCTGTCTCTACTAAAAATACAAACGTTAGCTGGGTGTGGTGGTACGCGCCTGTAGTCCCAGCTACTAGGGAGGCTGAGACAGGAGAATCACTTGAACCCGGGAGGTGAAGGTTGCAGTGACTGGAGATGGCGCCACTGCACTCCAGCCTGGGCGACAGAGTGAGACTCCATCTCAAAAAAAAAAAAAAAGAACCATAACCTAACTCCGGTACAAGCAAGCCTCCTTACTGAATCACTAACGAAGAGTGAGAAGCAGGCATACTTCCCAGAGGAGACCCAGTTCATAGAACACAGCAGGATCCAACTAGAGTTCTCTCAGTAGCAAGGTGATAAATATTTTTGATGCCAGAAATAAACAGAGAGCATTAGGCAATTTGACAGAATATCACACCAAGTTCTAAAGCTCAGAAACAGGAAAAAAACAAACAAACAAAAAGGCAGGAAGTAAATCTGGGTAAACTAGAAAAGCAAGCCCTAGGAAAGAATTTTTCTTTTTCTTTTCTTTTCTTTGAGACGGAATCTCACCTCTGTTGCCCAGGCTGGCGTGCAGTGGCACGATCTTGGCTCACTGCAACCTCCGCCCCTACGAAAGAATTTCTAACAGAGATAGAAGGACTGGATTTCTACTTGAACAGAGTTCACAGGAGGAATAATTATTGAAATTTAGTGGATGAACATATATACATGTATATAGATATACCTTGTACATGGGTGGTTGCTTTTCTTTGACTCATACTCTTTACTGTATTTTGACTTAAGTCTCTAAAACATAGTCAATGTATTAGTACTGCCTCTATTAGCTACTAGAGACAGAAAAACCAACTTGAACTGGCTGTCATTTTTAAAGTAACTTATTAGCTTATGTAATTGAGACAAACTGATCAAATTGAGAGGCTCAGATGATATCTGTGGGACAGTGTGTGCACAGATGTGTGTATGTGCCTGTGTGTATGTGTGTATGTGTCTCAACTCAGCCTTCCTCAATATTGCTCCATTATCAGGACAGCTTCTCTCCTCATAGAGAAGGATGAAGGATGCAAGGATACCAGTAGCTCCAGAATTACATTCCATCCTCTTAGAGATCCCAGTAAAAAATTAAAACAAAAACAAAACCCGATAAGCTCTTAATGAGAGACTCTGCAAATAAGTCCCAAGGCTGGGTCTGCTGGGGTTGATTTGGGTCACATGCCCATTCCTCCATCTATCACCACAGCAAGGAAGTGAACTACACTGATTATCCCTGTATCTGAGGAATATGGCCAATTTTTCAACACTAGTAAAGAATAAAGTTGAAGCTTCCTTAGAAATGCTCAAGTAGGATCATTTTAAAAGACAAGTCTCTGTATTTTTATTCATAGAACACTACACTGATAAAACAATACACAGAAGCCTACTTCTATGGGTATAATTTCCAACTGCTTGCCAGAATGAAAGATTATTCCCCTTTTAGAATCACAACAATTTTTGATAGAGAATCAAAGCAGAGATATAACATCATTCAGGAAAGAAAATAACCTGTAAAGGTTAAACAACTTGTCAAATAAAGATCATCTATATTTAAAGATTTTATGTGTGGAGAGACTTAGCTGCAGTCCCTTACCTCAGATTTCATCTTAGAAACACACTTAAATATCCTGGACCTCACTAAAAAATAAGCTCAGGCCAGACTCGGTGGCTCACGCATGTAATCCCAGCACTTTGGGAGGCTGAGGCGGGCAGATCACTTGAGGCCAGGAGATTGAGACTAGCCTGGCCAATATGGTGAAACCCTGTCTCTAATACAAATATAAAAATTAGTCAGGCATGGTGGTACATGCCTGTAATCCCAGGTACTCGAGTGGCTGAGGCATGAGAATCACCTGAACCCGGGAGGCAAAGGTTGCAGTGAGCCGAGATCGCCACTGCACTCCAGCCTGACTGACAGAGTGAGACTGTCTCAAGAAAAAAATTAAAATTAAAATTAAAAATAAGCTCAATTTGCAGACCATTTCAGAAAATCAAACAGTATATAATAAAAAAAATTTCAGGACAAGGGAGATTCAGGACAGTGATATAACAGCCATAATTCCGGAGCCTGAGGATATTCCAAAGGATCAATTTAGTATTAAGAAATTAACCACAATTATCTGAAAGATCAGCCAACACTTTAATTACCACCCTCATATAAATATATATACATATAACTTTTTTTTTTTGAGGCAGGGTCTCACCCTGTCACCCAGGCTGGAGTGCAGTGACACAATCATGGCTCATTGTACCCCCAACCTCCCAGGTACAAGTGATCCTCCCGCCTCAGCTTCCCAAGTAGCTGGGACTATTGCATGCCATCACGCCCAGCTAACTTTTGTATTTTTTTTTTTTTTTTTTAGTAGCAATAGGGTCTCACTTTGCTGCCTAGGCTGGTCTTGGACTCCTGGGCTCAAGCGATCCTCCTGCCTTGGCCTCCCAAAGTGCTGGGCTTACAGTTGTGAGCCACTGCACTTGGCCCACCCTCATATATTGATGACAAAAACTGAAACCACATTTCTTTGATCAGTGGTTTCTGGCATACTGTAAAGTACATATTGCTAGATTTTAAAAATCTAAAATATATAGATTTCACGTATAGCCAACTCTAAAAATCTACTTATGTCTATAATCATCCTTGCCTTCTTCTGCAGTGCAAATACAGATGAAGTGATTCACTTCTTTTGCAAAAGACCAATCCCAGCACATGCTCTGAATACTACTTCTTGCTCTGAGGGTTTTGCTCCTTGGATAATCCTTCTCTCCCCATCTCATTGCCTCTCCCTCTCTATGGTAAATCTTTCTCATATCAGCACACAAATGTTCTCTATTACCTCCCATCTTTGAAAACATTCCCATATTAATATTAGACACAGTGATTCAAGAAAAAAGGCATTACCAGGGAAAAAGAGGAACACTTTATGTTGATAAGCGGCACTGTATTAGTAAAATATAATGATTACAAATGTATATGCACCTAATAAAAAAGCTTTAAACCACATAAAGCAAAAACTGACAAAAGTAAAAGGAGACATAAACAAATCCCCAATCATAGATATTTTCACAATTAAATAAAGTAAGACAAAAACCAGTAAGGAAACAGAAGCCCTGAACAATGCAAGCAGCTGTAACCTAAGTGGCCTTTACAGAGCATAACACTGAACAACTGCAGATATAAGTTCAAGTGCACAGAGAATGTTTACCACAATAGACCATATGCTGAGCCACATGAATTTCTGTAGGTTTCAAGAGCTTGATATCTTGCAGAGTATGCCCTCTGACTATAACACAATTAAATTAGAAATGAATAGTAGTATGATATTCTAGAAAAGTTCCTAAGTATTTGAATATTCACCTATACACCTGAAAATAAAGAATGGGTCAAAGAAAAAAATACAAAGAAAACTTTAACTTATTTTGAACTGAATAATAAAAATACAACACGCTAACATGTGTGCAATGCATGTAAAGTAGCGTCTAGAGAAAATGATATAGCTCTAAGTGCTTCTAATGGGAAAAAGGGACTAAATCAATTAGCCAAGCTTCACCTTCAAAAGTCTGGAGGTGGGAAGTATAAGAAGCTAATTTAACCCAAAATAAGTGGAAGGAAAGATACAGTAAATTTAAGAGAGAAAATCAATGAAATAGAAAATCAGACCAAAAACTAGAGAAAATGAATGCAACCAAAAGTTATTACATGAAAAGATTGATAAAATCTTCCACTAGAATGATAAAGAAAAAAGAAAAATAAGGCACATGATTACCAATAATATTTCAGAAATTAAAGAGGGGCAATCATTAAAAATCTTACAGACATTAAAAGGACAGTAAAAGAATATTATGAACAGCTTTATGCCGATACAGTCTACAAATTAGATGAAATGAATAAGTCCCCTAAATGAAACAAATTACCAAGACAGATACAAGAAGAAACAGAAAAATTTAAAAGCCTTTAGTATCTGTTATCAATAATAGGAATGTCAAAAAAAATGTTGGGTCATGTTTAAAACCATCACACTCTATATCAATAAAGAAATTTAAACTGTAATTAAAAACCCACTAGAAAAGAATACTCTAAGCCCATATGCCTTCACTAGTAAATTTTATCAAATACTTAAAAAGGAAATACCAACCCTATCATACTCTCTCAAAATATAGGGGAAGAGGAAACATTTCCCAACTCACTTTATGAGACCAGTATTATTACCCTGATACCAAAACCAAAGACATAATAATACCAGTAAGTCACAAGTTAATAATCCTGATGAGGACACATGTTAGATCTGTCAACAAATTATTAGCAAACCAAACCAATGAATAAAAACCTAATTTAACATTTTAAAATCAATCCCTGTAATTCAACATGTTAACAGGAAAAAGAAAAGAATCTGTATAGTCATCTCAATACACACATTTGACATAATTCAACTTCTATTCATGATGAAAATTCCACTAAGACTATAAGGATATTTCCTCAGCTTGATAAAGGGCATCTATGAAAAACCTAAAACTAACATAATTAATGAGAAAGATAGAGGGCTTTCCTCATAAGATCAAGAACAAGGCAAGAATATCTCACTACTTGTGTTCAACATCATAGTGAAGGTTTCTTGTAAAGCATGAAAAAACTAAAAGGCATATAGATTAGAACAGAAAACATAAAACAGCCTTTATTCACAGACAATATATATGCAGAAAATCCTACAGAATCTTTAAAGATGTACTAAAACTAATAACTAGGTTGCAGGACATTATAAAAAATATATACATATACATATACAAAAGTCAATTTCTATATACTAGATATGAACAACTGGAAAATAAAATTAAGGGGATAATTTCAATTATCATAGTATCAAAAACATGAATGATTTAGTAAGAAATCTAACAAAATATATGCAAAACTTATACACTGAAAACTACAAAATCCTGTCAAAAGAAATTAAAGAAGACCTAAATAAATGGAGATAAATATCTGTTCATGGATTAGACAACTCCAATCTATGCCATTTGGACCCCAAATTGATCTACAGACTCAATGCAATCCAAATAGGCTTTATGCATAGAAGTAGATAAAGTCAATTCTAAATTTCCCATCAATATACACAGGAGCCCAAAGAGTCAAAAGAATTTTGAAAAACAAATACCACTAAATATTAAGGCTTACTACAAAGCTACAGTAATTAAGGAAGGATAGATAAATAGATTAATGGAACAGAATATAGAGCCTAGAAATAGAATCACATTTATATAGTAAATTGATTTTCAATAAAGATGTCATGGTAATTCAATAGGGAAAGGAGTCTTTTAAACAAATGTGCTAAAATAAGTAGATATCCACAGGAGAAAGATGAAATTCAGCCCTCACTTCACACTATATATAAAAATTAACTTGAAATGGACAATAGACCAAAAAGTGAAAATTCAAACTACTATAAACCTTTTATAAGGAAAAAAAAGAGACTTGCAGAAACAGAGTAGAATGGTGGTTGCCAGGAGCTGGGGGGAAAAAGAAATGGGAGCTGCTGGTCAATGAATATAAAGTTCCAGTTGTATAAAATGAATTAAGTTCTAGAGATCTGCTGCACAGCATCATGCATACTTAAAAATACCATGCACTTAAAACTTTGGTAAGAGGGTAGATCAAGTTAAGTGTTCTTACCACAATTTTAAGAAGAAAGAAGAAAAGGAGAAATCTTTGCAACTTTGGGATAGACAGAGATATATTAGATAGGAAACCAAAGGCATAACTCATTAAAAATTTTGATAAATTGGATTTCACCATAATTTAAAACTTCTGCTCTGCAAAAGGTACCCTTCAGAAATTTGTGTAGCAAAGGACTTTTGTCCACATTATATAAAGAACTCTTACAATTCATTAAAATGAAAGCCAAAAATGTATAAAAGACTTACACAGACACATCAGAGAATAACATATATATTAATGGGTGTAAATACAAAAAATACTCAGCATCATTTTGTCATCAGGGAAATTCAAAGCAAAATATAACAAACAATAACAAAGGAGATAACACTATACATCCACCAGAATGGCTATAATTATAATATGTGGTGGTGAGGATGTAAAGAAACTGAATCTCTCATATATTTTTCATGGGAGTGAGAAATGGTACAGCTACTTTGGAAAACCACTTCATAATTTCGTATAAAGATAAACATATGCTTACCATATGATCCAGCAATTCCACATCCAGGTACCTACTTAACCAAGAGAAATAAAAGCATATGTTCTTACGATGATGTGTACAGCAGTGTTCACAGGGGCATTGTTCTTAATCATCAAAAACTGAAAACAACCAAAATGTCCTTCAACTGGTGAAGAGGTAAACAAACTCTGAAACATCTATACAATGGAATACTAGTCGGCAACAGTGAACAACATGGATAAATTTCACATGCGCACGCTAATAGAAAAAAGCCAGACTCAAAATTATTCCATTTATATGACATTCTGGAAAAGGTAAATCCACAGGGATGCAAAACAGATCAGTGGTTGGCAGGGGCTGTGGGATGAGGGGAAATGTTGACTTAAAAGGGATACAAAGGAATTTTCGGGAGTAAAGAATGCTTTTCTATCTTCATTATGGTGATGGTTACACAAGATTTTAATTCATAGAACCGGACACTTAAAGGGAGTGATTTTTTACTATATGTAAATTATACTTCAATAAACCTGAGCAAAAAGACTATATGAACCAAATAAATTTTTTTTTATACCAAAGCCAAGCAAACTCAGCATCTATACACAGGAAAAGTGCAAAACTCCATAAAAACACCCAAACTACAAGCCAAGGTTATGATCTAAAGGTATCAAATATTTTTTATTCTGATAAAACTTAAAATCCAAGAAATATTTATCAAAATTTTGTAATGTGCAGAGCATCTATTAGGCATCAAATTACTCCCACTTACAGTGAGGTGACGCTTCAGTTAATAAGGCATTTTCGAAAACCACATCGCTAGTATTGGCCTATCAACACCTAGAAATAAGTACACCCACAAAGCACATCCCTAACTATCTTCAAGCAGAAGCAATCATCAATCAAATGGTATAAGCTTTAGGAAATGAAGGCAGTGTCTTGCTTCCTGTGAGATGACGAAGGAAAGACTTAATTAACATGGCAGAATGCAGCATAGGTCATGAGAATGGATAGTGATGAAAAAAGATGTCATAGTTTAAAAAGTTCAAGAAGTAGGCATGTTTGCAGAACAGAAAGTAGACAGGTGTCACTGCAGCTGGAAGCTTCTGAAGAGGCACAAAAAAAACAAAAAATCCACTAAGGAAGAATGAGCTCATCCTTGCCAAGGAGGGCCTTAAATGTCATTCGTATGTACCTTAAAACGCACAGGCACATACACACATGCACACATACACAGTTTCTTTTTTTCTCAACTTGATGCTTAAAAGAAAGATAGCCATCAAGAAAGAAATCAAAATAGAAATGTTATAACATTCTAAACACAAGTAGAGTTGAGGTTCTTGTATACTAAGTGCCATTGATCAACTGGCTATAGGACTTTACATAGAAAAGCTAGAACCTCCAACTTTCAAAGGAACCATGTTCAAAAATAACATGGTGCAATGGGGATGGGGAGGTGGGAGCAAGGAGCCAGGCCCTGAGTGAGGAAGCAGGAGCCTAGCAAGGACTGAAGCCTGGAGTGAAGCAGGTGACCTAGTGATACAGAAGACAAGCAATGGAAATAGATTAGTTACAAACAGGAATGAGCAAAAAAGTAAATATAATGTGAACAGTAAGAGCCAGGTTTCTCACTGTCAAAGAAAGGGGGTACAAATGTGGGAAGGGGGAAACCAGAACAAACCCTATGGTGTTGTGTTAGAATTGGAGATATCCATGTGAAAAGGAAGGAAGGAAGGGAAGGAAGGGAAAGGAGAGAGAGACACAGATAGATAGATGAAGATAGGGTAGGTAAGATAGGTAAGGCAGGCACGCAGGCAGGCTGATAGGAAGGCAGGAAGGAAGAAAGGAGGGAAGGAGGGGAGATACATACATGTCTTTCCTAGTTTCTGTTCATTAAGAGGGCTTGGGAGAGTCTGGATATCTCCATTAAAAGGAACTAGGGAGTCTTAGAAAAAATGGCTGATTCGAGGGATAGCAAAGAGAAAGTTACAGGATGAGGTGGGAACATCACCAGGAAATAAACAAGTGTTCAAAGAACGATGAGGACATGTCCAAATGGCACAGAGATCAACTTGGGGGGCTACCACTGGTCAGATCAGGGGCAGTTTGAACAATAATGATAGTAGTACATTACTCTTCAATAAATAATTATAGTAATTGATTACCCCTCTGAGAAGCAAAATAATCTGCTCTTTCCCAAAGAGCATCTCTATACTAAACATACCCACTTTCCAGGAACTGTGAATTCAAACATTCACTCAGTGGTGTGGTAGTGCCTTCTCTCCCTTCAAGAGGCCTACTATCACTTCCACACCTAAGATTCCAGCCTCGAGCTTCTAGTGGATCATGACAACATGAATGCCTGTCTCTAGAATAAGCCACCTAAAACTAGACCAGGCAAGGATGGAGAAGCTGCCTCTCAGCTGAGATGACTCCAGAGAAAGCAACATGCATCCACCTCTGAAGCCAAGGCCGACTTTCCTTCATCTCGGCATAGCGGCCCCCCAACCCAGCCCGCCCCGTAGCTGAACAGGATGACTCTGGAAGCAAATTTCCTATGATCTCTGAATAAGTAATGACCTAATTTTAAAAAAATATATCTGTCTAAAGAAGTTGTTTTCTTTTACAAAGAAAGAAAAGTTGTTTAGCTTTATAAACCAAAGGGCTGTTGCCGTTTTAACCTTGTTTGGGCCCAAGTGTGGTACAGCATCAGCACCTTGAAGAATAAGGAGTGGTGAGGGAAAGAAGCATGTCCTTAATGAGGTAGTTCCTTCTCCACCATGGAGACTTTATTTCTGAGTAACTGTATATAACCCAACATCATTTCTAATTCACATTTCACATAAAGTCATGTTTCATTTCAGACCAACAAGACTTCAAATGTTCCCTGTAGGCTCTCTGCACATGAACTGCACTTCCATGGGTCAGAAGTAATACAATAGAGGAAGGTATTGCCAACTCTGAGGCTAGACTGGCTGCCACATATAAAATTATCCTGGAGGCAATCTGCTTATGAGATTGAATGTTGAAGAAAAAGTAGACAATAAGAAGAAAAAAACCTGGCCACAAGCTGTAAAATGCAGTAGAACTATACGTGTACGTGTGCTCACAATAACATAAAAGCAGGGAGCTTATCTTCATTGTGGTTGATCTTTTCAAGCTAAGACCTGCCCAAAGATTTGGGAAGAAAGTTACATTAACAAGAAGCTCTCCAGCTTCACGGACTAAGTCTCCAATCACGCAAGAAACATGTCTTTGCTTTCCCTTCTTACTTTCTTTGAGGACACCTAAGCCAGGTAACAAACAGAAAGCTATTTTTCATCAACTAGGAAAAAGAGACAAAAGAGTCTCTTTAGAGTTACACAGTCCCTGAGCAGCCCCAAATGCTGCTTTCAAAATGAGCTGCTAAAATCTGTTCTTAAATAAGTTGCTCGGGAAGTCCTAGCTAGAGCAATCAGACAAGAGAAAGAAACAAAGGGTATCCAAATTGGAAAGGAAGAAGTCAAAGTATTCTTGTTTGCAGATAATATGATCTTATATTTGGAAAAACCTAAAAACCACCAAAAAACTATTAGAGCTAATAAACAATTTCAGTAAAGTTTCATGATACAAAATCAACATACAGCAGCATTTCTCTATGCCAACACAGAACAATCTGAAAAATAAATCAAGAAAGTAATTACATTTATAATAGCTACAAATAAAATTAAATACCTTGAAATTAGCTTAACCAAAGAAATAAAAGACATCTGCAATAAATATTATAAAACACTGATGATAGAAATTGAAAAAGACACACAAAAAATGGAAAGATATTCCATGCTCATTGGTTGGAAGAATTAATAATGTTAAAATGTCCATACTACCCAAAGCAATCTATAGATTCAATGCAATACCTAACAAAATACCAATGATATTCTTCATATAAATAGAAAAAAATCTTCAAATTTATATGAAGCCATAAAAGACCAGAATAGCCAAAGCTATCCTGAGCAAAAGGAACGAAACTGGAAAAGTCACATTCTACCAGACTTCAAATTATACTACAGAGCTATAGTAACCAAAACAGTATGATACTGGCATAAAAACAGACACATAGAGAACAGAATAGAGAACCCACTTTCTTCAATAAATGGTGCTGGGAAAACTGGTTATCTAAATGCAGAAGAATAAAATTAGAGCCCAATCTTTTGCCATATACAAAAATCACATCAAAATGGATTAAAAACTTAAATCTAAGACCTCAAACTATTAAACTACTAAAAGAAAACACTGAAGAAACTCTCCAAGACATTGGAGTGGGCAAAGACTTCTTGAGCGATACCCTACAAGCACAGGCGACCAAAGCAAAAACGGACAAATGGGATCACATCAAGTTAAAAAACTGCACGGCAAAGGAAACAATCAACAAAATGAAGAGACAACCCACAAAATGGAAAAAAACCCACAAAATGGAGAAAGTGAGGAGACAACCCACAAAATGGAGAAAATATCTGCAAACTATTTCGCAGATATCCCTTTACAGATGGCTGACAAGGGATTAACAACCAGAATGTATAAGGAGTTCAAACAACTCTATAGAAAAAAAATCTCAGCAATGCCACTACTGGGTATACATCCAAAAGAAAATAAATTGTTCTACCAGAAAGATACATGCACTCATATGTTCATTGCAGCACTATACACAATAGGAAAGACATAGAATCAACCTAGGTGCCCAGTCCAATATTGGACTGGATAAAGAAAATGTGGTACACATATACCATGGAATACCATGCAGCCATTAAAAAAGAATGAAATCACGTCCTTTCCAGCACCATGAATGAAGTTGGAGGCCACTATCCTAAGTAAATTAGCTCAGGAACAAAAAACCAAATACCACATGTTCTCACTTATAAGTGGGGGCTAAACAATGGGTACTCAGGGAAATAAAGACAGCAACAGACACTGGGGACTCCCAGAGGAGGAAGGAAGGGATAGGGGCAAGAGTTGAAAAACTACTGGGTACTATGTTCAATACTTGGGTGACAGGATCAGTCATACCCCATACCTCAGCATCACACAATATAGTCAGGTAACAAACCTGCACATGTACTCCCGGAATCTAAAATAAAAGTTGAAATTATTTTTTAAAAAATTTGTAAAAAGAGTTGTTCTGAAGTCACCTAAGATTCAGGGCTTATGCTGGGTTTGGTGGTGCTATTATTTTTGATAGTTAAGCCAATGGCGAGCCTTGTGATAGTACAGTGGTAGAGTATCTTTTAAAACCAACAATTTTCTAAGCATATAAGTCTAGAATACAAATTTCATATTGTTTTATTTGAATCATTTTAAAAGCTTTCATCTTTTCCCTACTTTGATAGAAGCATAAAAAATGAGTTCAATGTAAGCTGGTTCTGCCATATAACCTTACAGTTTATGCTGTTGCAAGAATTCTTCTGAAAATTATCCTGGGCAGAGCTTTTTGTATACAAAATATCAGCCAAGAACAAATTTTTACAGCTGACTTCTAAACCCTTTGAAATTGCATTCCAAAATGGAAATACTGACAGATGCTTTACCCCAGAAGCACTATTTTAATATTTCTAGCTTTTCCAAAATACAAGACTATGAACTCAGGATCAGCATGTAAAAAAGAAAAAAAATAAGTCATAAGTTATAAAACCATTTAAGAAAATGGGCACAAATAAAAACATGCTTTATGAATCAAACATGTTTAGATGCATCTACCTGCCATAATTGTTACATTTAATTCTGCAATGCTTTCTTACATCACTGAGTCAGGATTTCAATCAGTAGAAACCTTAACCCAAGGATTCTTCACGATCAATGACTGACTTAAACCTGGATTTACACCCACTCACACATATACAGAGTCCAGTTCTGTGTGCACACTGGGAAAAGTAGGGGCATTATCTAACTCCTTATTGACTCAAGAAAGAGGAAGGCTGTAAAGCAGTATGAGTCTGGGAAAATTTGGAAGCGCAGGAAGCCATGTGTGGTAAACAGAAACTCAAAACAAAGATAATTGGTGACAGTGACATCCCAGTACATAGCATAAAGGTTAGGCATAGTAGACATTTGTGGCTAACCGAATCTTTCCCCTACACCTTCCACAACCTGCAAAATTAGCTTACTAGTTCTAATTAGAAACAGAGAATGTTACTCCCCCACTCAGTACCCTCCACCCAGATCAAACTACATCTATGACATAACCACTACCAAAATGCTTGTATTTCCTTTGGATTCCAGAAGCTCTATGATAAGAGGAAATGGGCACAGAATTAGAGCCGTCAAGAACCGAGGTACTGGCTTTGCTACTCAATACTTAACTTGAGGCACATTCCAGTTTCATCAATTTTGAAATAAGAAAGTGAAAAATCATTACATCTCCAGCTTCAAGACTCTACCACTCTCATAGTGAAACCATGGAGGAGGAGATGTAAAATATAAGTGACATGTCAATGAGAGCAAGGACAGAGGGTGAGTTCACTTATGGGAAGAAATATTTAACTTAATTTTGTGACCAAATCTGCTTGTGTTCAAACTAACCATTGCAATTACAACATAACTATTTGATTATATTTGTGTACTGGTTAAAGGAAATACAGAGGAATGCCATTAATTTTTCTCCTGTTTTAAAGTAAACACTTTTGGGTAATATAACTCATTTTTAATTACATATAGAAAAATACACAAATCATAAATGCATAATATGATGAATTTTTACAAAATAAACAATGCCCACATACAACACTAACCAAGATGAGGAAACAGAGTCTCACTAGTATGTCAGTTTTCTATGCGACACAAAAACCTACCACAAACTTAGCAGTTTAAAACAAGACACATTTATTATCTTACAACTTCTGTGGGTCGAGTATCTCGGTATGGCTTAGCTGGGTTCTCTAGTGGTGATCTCAAGGCTGTAATCAAGATGTTTGTCAGCTGGGGCTGCTATCTCATCTATGGTTTAACGATTAGGGTCCTAACGGAAGCCTGGGTGGCTGTCGGCAAAATTTGTTTTCTTGGAGCTATAAAACTCCTGGCAGTTTGTTTCTTCAAGGGCAGCAAGAAAAATCTCTAACTCCTGGATGCTATTTTAAAGGGCTCACCTGATGAGGTCAGGTCCACAAAGATAATCTCTCTTACGGTTAACTTAAAGTCAGCTGATTAGGGACTTCAATAACATCTGCAAAAGC
The DNA here is from genome assembly GCF_000001405.40 of Homo sapiens. NCBI lineage: Eukaryota > Metazoa > Chordata > Mammalia > Primates > Hominidae > Homo > Homo sapiens. The sequence goes on along the minus strand of NC_000002.12, from coordinate 232,057,407 downwards.
CCTTTACCTCTGCCCAAAATTGCGACTTGCTCATAGGAAGGATACCCCACCATATTCGCAGGTCCCACCCACACTCAAGATGATGGAATTAAACATGGTGTGTGTATTTAAGGAGGAGAATCTTGAGGGCCACCTTACAATTCTGCCTGCCAGAACCAATACTCAAGACGTTCTTCTCTTGCCCCTTTCAATTATTGCCCCTTCAAAGACAAATAATATCCTGATAAAACTATAGTTTTATGCTTATAAGTAGAACCATAAGCAGTTTTGTGTTTGGCCATTAGATTCATACTTAATTGCTGCACATTGCTGTAGTTGATCCATTCTCTCTGCTGTACAGTATTCTATTGTATATACATACCACAATACATCCATTCTACTATTGAGATTTGGATGGTTTCCAGTTTGGGGCTATTTTATATAATATTCCTAGGAAGATTCCTAGACATATTTTTTTGGTGTACAAATGTACCCATTACTGTTGGGCATATACCTGGGAATGAAAATTCTGGGCCACAAGATAGCAGCAGCTTTAGCAAATGATGCCAAGCAGTTTTCTGAAGCAGCTACACTGACATTCCCACTAGCAGTATATGAGAATTCCAGTTACTCTACACCTCACCAACTCTTAATATTGTTTACCTATTTATTTCAGCCCTTCAGGGAGATGTGAAGTAGTACTGCATTATGGTTTTGATTTGTGTTTCCCTGATAACTGATAAAGCTGAGAATCTTTTCCTAAGTGCATTGGCCATTTGGATAGCTTTTTGTGAAGAGCCTGTATCAGTCATTCTCCCATTTTTCTATTTGTTGTCTGTTTTTTTTCTCAATTATGTCAGGGAATTCTTTATAAATTCTAGTTAGGAGTCGTTTGTTGAATATATATCTGGTTGCATACATCTTCTCCCACTGTGCAGATTAATATTTACTTTCCTTGTGGTATTTTTGAAGAGTTCTTTAATGTACTCCAATCTATTAATTTTTCTCCTTCATGGTTACTGTTTTTTGTTTGTTGTTGTTGTTGTTGTTGTTGTTGTTGTTTTGAGATGGAGTCTTGCTCTGTCACCCAGTCTGGAGTGCAGTGGCATGATCTCAGCTCACCTCCACCTCCCAAGTTCAAGCGATTGTCCTGCCTCAGCCTCCTGAGTAGCTGTGACTACAGGCACACACCACCAGGCCCAGCTAATTTTCGTATTTTTAGTAGAAACGGGGTTTCACCATGTTGGCCAGGCTGGTCTCCAACTCCTGACCTCAGGTGATCTGCCTGCCTCAGCCTCCCAAAGTGCTGGGATTACAGGTATAAGGCATCACGCCTGGCCTATTTTTTGTGTCCTGTTTAAGAAATTTTTGGTGCCCCTAAAGTCATGAAAATATGGTATTATGTTTTCCTTGAAAAGCTTTACTGTTCTACCTTTCACATTTAGTTATTTTATCTACCTAGAATTGATTTTTGTGCATGGTATGAAATAAAGGTCAACATCCTTTTTCTCCAAGTGGGTAGCCAATCAGCCTTGCACCACTTGTTGAAAAGAGCATTCTTTCCTCCACTGCAGTGCACTGTTCCCTTTATCATAATCAAGTGACCATATATGAGTCTATTTCTGGACTTTCTATCCCATTCACTAGCTTATGTGTCTCTCCTTATACTAAATACCAAACTATTGTAACTGTGCTCACTTATGGTAAGTCTTGATGTTGGGCAGTTTAAGAACTCCAGCTTTGTACTTCAAAATTGTCTTGGTTATTTTGGTCCTTCACATTGCCATCTATTTTTAAAATCAGCTTGTTACTTTCCACACACACACAACAACGATTGCTGGAATGTTGGCTTGGATTCTGTTAAATGCAGCAATCAATTTGGGAAGAATTAATATTTTTACCATAATGAATTTTACAGTCCATGACCATTTAGTTAGAGCATCTTTAGCATCTTTTGATAACATTGTGTCGTTTGCAATGTTGAGGTCTTGAAAACTCTTTTTTACATGCTAACATAAGGGTAACATTTTTTCTTTGTTGTTGATATATAGAAATGCAAATAATTTTTGTAGGCTGACTTTGTATGTAGCAGCCTTTTAAATTCTCCATGTATACAATCAACTAGTCTGAAAATGATGAGTACTGTCTTACTTTCCCAATCCTCATGTCTTTTTTCTTGCTTTATCGCATTAACTACAGTCTACGATATAACATGGAATAAAAGTAATGATAGTGAGCATCCTCGCTTCATTCCCATTATCAGAGGGAAAGCTTTCACTGTTTCAACATTAGCTATGATGTTTACTGTCGGCTTTTGTAAGGAGCCTTTATCAGATGAAAGTCTTCTTCTATTACTAGTACTTATCATGAATGGATCTTTAATTTCATCAAGTACTTTTCTACAGAAACTAGAGTAACCATAGATTTTTCCTTTCTTCTGGTAACGTGATGAATTACCTTATTTGAGTTTTGAATAGTAATCCTCCAATCTTACATTAGTGGAATAAACCTTACCTGTTCATAATCTATTATCCCTACAACATATCTATGGATTCAATTTTCTATTATTTTATTTAGGATATTTGTATCTGTGTTTATAAAAGGACTTTGCCTACAATTTTCTTATATTGTATTATCTTTGTCACGTTTTGATATCAAGGGCATACTGGCCTCAAAAAACATTTTTCTGTTCTCCAGAATAGTTTTGTAAGATTGGTGTTATTTATCTGTTTTAAACATTTGGAAGCATTCACTTGTAAAGCCATTTGACACTGGACTTTTCATACCTCAAAAAGGTGTCAAATAAGTCTCAAATGAATGAGTTTAGGAAAGCCATTTAACTTACTGGTTCTATGACAAAAATCATACTTTAAGCATATAATACTATGGCTGGTTGGTTGTTCTTTCCCTAATGAATTTAGAGGTCTCTGCTAAAAGAAAAAAATTTTCCTTTCAAATTAGAAAAAGGTAAAAATCACTTCTGGCTTTTGCATTTGTTAAAATAGTTTCCAAATGTTAAAGTATTATTTAAATCTTCTATGGTTCTTAAATAAAGACAGAATAGGTTTTGAAAATAAGCCTCTATGGATCCATTTTGGCCTAACAGACAATATAAACTTTCTGTATGTTCCATGAGGACAGTACACTATGTTATATTCAATGATATGTTCTCTTATCTGGTACACAGTAGATGTCCAAAATAATATTTGTTGAATGAATTGTCGCATCACTGAAGAAGAAAAGAAACACTGATACTGTCATATTATGATATAATTAAAAAATATAAATGTGTTCTTCATCCCCAGTTCCTAATACAGAGCTCCTAAAAACCCCAGGAATTTTCTTAGTGATGGGGTGAGAGGAGCATCTTTTGTTATTGGTAATAAGCCCTTTTCGAACATACCTCAGTTTATGCTAATGAGGGACTCTTGGAGGATGGGGCCAGCTGCCAGAGAATGAATCATGTGATTAGAGGGTTGGAACTTTCAGCCCCACCCCCTGACCTCCAGAAAGGGACGAGGGGCTGGAGATTGAGTTCAATGGCCAATGATTTAATCAATCATCCCTGTGTAATGTGGCCTCCATAAAAACCATAAATGAGTTCAGAAAGCTTCAGGGTTGGTAAACACAGAGAGGTGCTGGTAGGGTGGAGGACTTCAAGAGGGTGTGGCAGCTCCATGCCCCTCCATAGAGGCACTATGTACCTCTTCATCTGGCTATTCATCTGCATCCTTTGCAATATCCTTTATAATAAACTGGTAAACATAAGTCAATGCTTCCCTGAGTTTTATAAACCATTATAGCAAATTACTGAACCTGAGGGGGCCATGGGAATCCCCAAATAATAGCCAGTCAGAAGTACAGGCAGCCCGGACTGTGACTGGCACCTGGGTAGAGGGCAGTCTTGTGGTATAAGCCCTTAACCTGTGGGGTCTGTGCTAACTCTGCGTAGTGTCAGGATTGAGTTAAAATGTAGGACACCCAATTAGAGTCTGAGGAGAACTGGTTGGTGTGGAAAATCCATGCAGTTGATGTCAGCAGTGTTGAGAGTAGTATAGAAAAACAGTGTTTCCTTTTAGACATGTAAGTATTCTCCTTGCTTTTATTTTAAAAAGTATACTTTTAAACTACTTTTAACATAATAATAAAACTGACACCAACATATTTTCTAAATTCTGTATAGTCTTAACAGAAGTACCTTGAAAATGAAGTTTAGATGTTGTATAAACAAAAACTCAAGTTCAAGAATTTACTCATTTTCTTTGGATTTAGGAACTGACTTTTTATCTGTTACCAGACATTGTCTCCTCATGAATTAAATCAATATGCTCTGGTCTATTTAGAAATAAGCACATGAAGAATGAAAAAGAAATACTATAGTCCAGTCCATCTCACAAAGAAATCTATGTCTGCAACATGCAGTGTTATCAAAGCCCTAGAAGAGTGCCTAACGCAGAACAGGTACTCAACAACAAACGGCACTTGCCATTTTTAACATCATCACATAGTGGGAGTCATTCATAGTAGGTCATGCAAATACCACCCAGAAGAAAACATCAAATGCCACTGGAATGTGAACAGAGACAATATAAAGGGCCCTATAATATGTGAAAAACATCTAAAGATTTTTCAATTCAATAAAACAGCAGCATTGAATAACAATTGTAAAGATATGAAGGAAAGGCTTCCCAGAGGCAACAACCTGTGAAACCAGTCTAGAAAGATGAGTAGGGGAAAGAGGAAGAGACACATGCAGAGAACTGCAAGCAAAGGAAACTGTGTATAAAAAGAAAATGTAAGCATGCAGCTGCATGGTGCATTCAAAGACCTTCTGTATGTGGTGCCCAAGATTAAGGGTATGCTAAAGGAAACAGAGTTGCCCAACAGGGAAGAGGGCAGGTCATGGAAGGCCTTTATGTCATACAAAGGAATAAGAATGTAATTGGTAATAAAAACCTAAAAGACTCCAGTCTGAGCTGGTACTAACTGAGAAATAGTTAAACTACTGTATTTGAGACCCCAAGGAGAAAACAGACCATCCTGGATCAACTGAAATCTACAATCAAGTTTATTTAACTCTGTAAACAAAAAGAAATTAAGAAGGAGGCTGGGCACAGTGGCTCACGCCTGTAATCCCAACATTTTGGGAAGCCGAGGCAGGTGGATCACCTGAGGTCAGGAGTTCGAGACCAGCCTGACCAACACGGCAAAACCCCGTCTCTACTAAAAATACAAAAAATTAGCCAGACATGGTGATGGGCATCTGTAATCCCAGCTACTTGGGAGGCTGAGGCAGGAGAACTGCTTGAACCAGGAGACGGAGGTTGCAGTGAGCCAAAATCGCACCACTGCACTCCAGCCTGGGTGACAGAAGGAAACTCCATCTCAAAAAAAAAAAAGGAAATTAAGATGAAAACAAATCCAAAATCAACTATAAACATTAATGAAGAAACATTATAGAAGACATTTATAAACAATATATCCAATCTTTTATATTTGGGGGGAGAATTATCCAGCTCCCATGTGCAAACATCCAGCAGAGCTGACTTGATTCATTGCTTTGTTTTCTCTTCCAATCAAAGCTAGTTCTTTTTTTTTTTTTTTTTTTTTTTTTTTTGAGACGGAGTCTCGCTCTGTCGCCCAGGCTGGAGTGCAGTGGTGGGATCTCGGCTCACTGCAAGCTCCGCCTCCCGGGTTCACGCCATTCTCCTGCCTCAGCCTCCCAAGTAGCTGGGACTACAGGCGCCCGCCACTACGCCCGGCTAATTTTTTGTATTTTTAGTAGAGACGGTGTTTCACCGTTTTAGCCGGGATGGTCTCGATCTCCTGACCTCGTGATCCGCCCGCCTCGGCCTCCCAAAGTGCTGGGATTACAGGCGTGAGCCACCGCGCCCAGCCGAAGCTAGTTCTTAAGAAAACAAGTTTCTGCTTTGTAAGATCACTAAATTTAGTGAATTCATCCTGTGTTTTTGGTCTTCCTAGTCGTAAAAGTTTACATCACAATAAACAATCCTATCCTTTTTCTGAAGTTTGGAAACACTGAAATTGTTCAAAAAGTATCTATTCCCTGCCTACTGTATGCCAGTTAACAGGTGGCTAGATAGAAGGAAAATGAAAGAATAAAACTCACGTTTTAAAAGTACCTACTACTTGTCAGACACTATTTTAGGTGATTACAGTTCATTAATCCTTATCAAAAACTTATACCATTTATAGGTGAGGCCCCTAAAGCCCAGAGCCAGTAAACAAAGGATCTAGAATGGAGACCCCAATCTAACTTGAAAGGTTCCTGTTGTTACCTTAACACCATGAATATAAATAAAATAAGACAAAACCCCTGCCCTTACCAGTTGAGACTTGGGAGGAATGCATGCGTCTCTTCCTTTAAACATACAGTTCCCTTGCCTTAAATATTCTCCTCTCCCCTTAATTTTCATTTCGCAAACTCTCCTTTCCAACTGCAATTGAAATGTCACTCTTACAAGAAATTTAAGTTCCCTTAGGCAGAGCCATTGTCTCCCACTCCATACACCTCCTTCATCTCTGTGCTCAGATCTCTGTTAAAACATATCACACAGCAATGTGGCTCTCTGTCTACACATCTGATTTCTGCAATGGTCTCCAAATTCATCGAGGGTAGTCAAAGTGTGTTCATCTTTGTATCTCCAGGACCCATGCCAGTGCCACGTACAAAGCTGCCAATCAAAAAATGTCGAATAAACAAATGGATGGTGGAAATCCTCCAAATAAAAGTGTCAGTTTAAACTAGGAAACTACATAAAGATCTATCTGGAAAAGAACGTAAAGAAAGAAAAGAGGACATAGGCTAGAAGCTTAAGAAATGTCTACAACCGGCCGGGTGCAGTGGCTCACGCCTGTAATCCCAACACTTTGGGAGGCCGAGGTGGGTGGAACACCTGAGGTGAGGAGTTCGAGAGCCTGGCCAACATGATGAAACCCTGTCTACTAAAAAAAAAAAAAAAATACAAAGATTAGCTGGGCATGGTGGTGCACCTATAATCCCAGCTACTCAGGAGGCTGAGGCAGGAGAATCACTTGAACCCGGAAGGCAGAGGTTGCAGTGAGCCAAAATCACGCCATTGCACTACAGCCTGGGCGACAGAGCGAGACTCCGTCTCAAAAAAAGAAAAAAGAAATGTCTACAACTAAGTGGAGAAAAGAGAGAAATCAATAAAAAACAAACATACTGAATAGAAGAAACAGAACTGGGACATGGAGCTAATGAGAGGTTATTACAAAGAAAAGGGAAATCAATGGTCTTAAATCACTGTAGAAAGCTCCAGGAAAATGAAAACTAAGCAAACAACCAATGAAAACAGGTAGGAAATCAGTGACAACCATGAAAAGAACAACTTTAGTAGAAAGCTAGGGTAGAAAACAAACTGCAGAATCCACATCACTAGTGAGAAATAGACACTGAGTCCAAAAAGTCTGGCTACAAGCAAAAGGAAAAGAAACAGGAGCATGAAAGAAAAGTCTGCACAAAATAAGGATGTGTACGCTTACAGAAATATGTCTATGCCCCTAAATACCATGAGGACACAAATCCAGCTTAGGCACACAGAAGTGGCACTGTGCCCAACGCAAAGTGTCAAATGTAGAAATAACATATATAAGAAACAACCAATACTGAAGATGATAAAACCAACATTCAAAATATCAACAAGGTCACAGGATGAAATGGAAAACCAAAAAGTAAAAGTTAAAGAAATAAATGCAAATTTGATCTCTTTTAATTATTTAATTAAAGAATGGATAAAAACCTGTGTCTCAGGTTTTCCCTGTGTCCAGACTGTCTCCCCAGTTCTGGAGGCTCGGAAGTCCAAGATTAAGCCACCAGCATCTGGTGAGGGCTTTCTTGCTGTGTCATCATGTGGACAGAAGGTAGAAGTCGGAAGGCAGAAGGGCAAGAGTACGAAAACCCACTCCTGCAAGCCCTTTTATTTATAATCCATTCAGTAGGGCTCTACCCTCATGACCTAAACACCTCCCAAAAGACCCCACATCTCCCAACGCTGGTGCATTTGAGATTATGTTTCTAACACATGAATTCTGGGGATACATTCAGACCACAGCAACCTGGTAGTACAAAGAATCCATTTGAATAATTTCTTATCTTTTGACCTAGTAATTCCTCTTTAAGAATTTAAAGAAAACAATCTTAAGAAATAAAAAGTCATATATTTAAAGATCTTCTCCATAATATTATTTAAATTTTAAAAATCATAAAAAATTAAAATGTCCTATAACATAGGGAAGTTATTTAAAATATATAACATCCACTCAAGGAAATATTATGTAGTCATTAAAAGTGACAATTTATTCATTCACTGAATGCATTCCATGTGCCTGAAACAATTATAATAAACTGAGATGTTTATGGTACGTAAAAAGCTTACAATACTAAACTATGTGTCTATATATACTATGAACACCAAACTATATGTGTGTATATAATATGAAATGCTTGTATATTTGTAGTATATAAGCATTTTTAGAACTATATAGCAAAGACATGAAATGCTGATAGGACAATAGTATTTACATTAGGTAACTAAGCTACTTGAGTTCCTAAACTATATTCAATAACACACTATAACAACAATGATAATAAACAACCTCCTTCAACAACAGCAACAAACATATTTCGGGCATATACAACTCTTTTTTTTTTTTTGAGAGGGAGTCTTGCTCTATCGCCCAGGCTGGAGTGCAGTGGCGCGTCTGGGCTCACTGCAAGCTCCACCTCCCAGGTTCACGCCATTCTTCTGTCTCAGCCTCCCGAGTAGCTGGGACTACAGGCGCACCCCGCCACACCTGGCTAATTTTTTATATTTTTAATAGAGACAAGGTTTCACCGTGTTAGCCAGGATGGTCTCGATCTCCTGACCTCATGATCCACCCGCCTCGGCCTCCCAAAGTGCTGGGATTACAGGCGTGAGCCACCGCGCCCGGCCTACAACTCTTATTAAGTGCCCACAAGATTTTTTTTTAAGAGAGAACTTTTGATGCTCCAGAAGTAACTCATAAAATAACACAGCAAAGGGCCATCAAATTCACAATCTAGGAGATAGAGGGGCTCCATTTTGAAATGTCCAAAATGGTGACTTGCGTGTGAAAAGAAACGGGAGCAACACAGCTGCTGCTCATATAGTGGACTAAATGCCAAAGAAAACAAGTAATTTTAGGGCTTAACTTGTGTATACATTCATAAGACTAATTCCTTTGGGGTCAGAAAAGTTTGGGGACAGTATCTTTTAGTGATCTATATTTTAAAAATCATTTTTGTTAAACATGGAGTCACCACATGACCCAATAACTTCACTCCTAGACAAATACTCAAAAGAAGTGAAAACATGTGCTTATATAAAATCTTGTGCATGAATGTTCACAACAGCATAATAGCCAGAAAGTAGATACAACCCAAATGTTCATCAACTGATGAAAGGATAACAAAATGTGGCATGTCCACACATGGAATGTTATTCTGCCACAAAAAGAAATGAAGTACTGATATGTGCTACAACGTGGAAGAACTCTGAAAACATTATGCTAAGTGAAGGAACACAAACACAAAACGACAAATATTGTACAATTCTATTTATATGAAATGTCTAGAGTAAGAAAATCCATACAGACAGAAAACAGATTAGTGGTTACCAGCATCTGGGAAGAAGGGGAACAGAGAGTGACTACTGCTTAATGGGCACAGGGATTCTTTTGGGGGTGAATAATATTCTGGAATTAGATGGTGTGATGGCTGCACAACATTGTAAATATACTAAAACCACAGAACTGTATACTTTAAATTATCAAAATGGTGAATTCTATGTTATGTGAATTTTATCTCAATTTTTTAAAATTTTAATCATTTTTGGCATAATCTAACCACCTCTTACCAAAGAAAGTGTCTGAATGAAAAGACAATTCCAATTACAAATAATAAATCATTTTGATAATACAGGTGCCTCATTTATTAAAAAACAGTTCATCTTTCTGATAAACCTCAAATATAGTCATTTAAAGTTTCAGACTGCTTTTCTTTACATTTTCCTCTTGTAGTTCTTTACACTATCAACTACAGAAAGAGCAGCTATCTTCTTTTTCTTTCTAATCCCACCTGATGCACTAGTCTATGATCTTGCAGTAGCATAGGCCAAATGGAAAACAGTAACACTCAAGTTATGAGGAGGTGCTTTGCACTTTGAAGTGTTTCAAGATACAAAAACTCTTTATATTGAAATAACTTTGCAATATTCTGTAAATTTACTTGTCAAAAAGACTTCAAAACATGCTGAAAACTACTAAAAGTGGGTCTCCAACAGAAAGCTGTGACAAACATGTATTAAACATAATGTAACAGGTAATCCCCTTCCAGAAAAAAATGAGTGAAGCTGGAGTCCAGTAAGACAGAAATGACATGATTGTCTGAACTTAATATTAAGATGATCTCCAAGGCTGGGCATGGTGGCTCATGCCTGTAATCCCAGCATTTTGGGAAGCCAAGGCAGGAGGACACCTTGAACCTAGGGTTCGAGACCAGCCTGGAAAATACAGCAAGACCCCATCTTAAAAATAATAATAATAAATAAATAAAATGATCTCCCCAAAATGGGAAGGAGGTGGGTTACAGAACACTTAGTAGGATAAAAATAACTCAAGATATTCTAAAATCTATCTCTTTTCAATAAACTAGTCAGTGGGTTTTTTCCAACTACAAGAACAATATATCCTTCAATTGTTAGACCTAACTGGAGAAGGGGGTGAAGGGGTTACAGTGAGGGATCTAGAGTCTAAAACAAAGAATTCGTTATAATTACTTGAAACCTCTGAAGCCCCAACAAGTTACACTGCACCCATGACTCTCCTCCAGGACCAGCTATAATAATGTCATATATATGTTCCTCCTTTCTCTATAGTGACAAACTAATCTTTATCTTAAGAGCAAAGAAGACCTACTCATCCACATCGATGCTTCTCAAAATATAATGCTCATACAAATCACTTAGGGATCTCATTAAAATGCAAATTCTCATTCAGTGGGTCTTGGGCCTGAGATTCTTCCATGCCGTTAGTACATGGACCACACTTTGAGTGGCAATAATCCAAATTACCCCAAAAGGAAAACCACACCCAACACCAAGTATGTATTAGAGAGGACAGGCAGAAGGCCCAAAGCCAATGTATCCAGGCTCAACCTCCTCCCTTTCAAAAGACACCATATCTTATCCCAAAGGACCTGAGACTATGGTGCTTACAGACTGAAGATAGTGCATCATAATTTCAAGGAAAAGAAATGACCACGCACCAAGTGTTGTGACAGTGTCCAGCTCATCTTAGATAGCATTCATCCAGTGAGACTGGGTAATATGGTTTGAATGTGTCCCCTCCAAAATTCAGGTGTCGCCAGTGTTATGGTATTAAGAAGTGAATGGCCATGCGCGGTGGCTCACGCCTGTAATCCCAGCACTTTGGGAGGCCGAGGCAGGTGGATCACCTGAGTTCAGGGGTTCGAGACCAGCCTGGTCAACATGGTGAAACCCCACCTCTACTAAAAATACAAAAATTAGCTGGGCGTGGTGGCAGGTACCTCTAATCCCAGCTACTCAGGAGGCTGAGGCAAGGGAATTGCTTGAACCCAGGAGGTGGAGGTTGCAGTGAGCCGAGATCGCACCACTGCACTCCAGCCTGGGCAACAGAGCGAGACTCTATCTCAAAAAAAAAAAAAAAAAAAAAAGTGAGGCCTTTAAAAGGTGATGATATCATGAGGGCTCCTCCCTCATGAATGGGATTTAGGCCCTTATAAAAGAGGCTTCACACAGTGGTAGGCCCACTTGCTGTTCCACTTTCTGCCATGTGAGGACACAGCATTCCTTCCCTCTGGAGAATGCAGCCTTCACCAGGCAGTTGAACCTGCCAGTGCCTTGATCTTTGACTTCCCAGCCTCCAGAACTATGAGAAAATAAATGTCTATTCTTTATAAATCACCCAGTTTCAGGTGTTTTGTTACAGCAGCACAAAACTGAGACCAGTAAGACACTGGGTCTGACTGTCTGTGATCTGCCTTTGTCAGTGCCCAGTAAGAAACATCCCCAACAAAGCTGACAAGAACTTACCTCTGCTCACCACTGTTCTCAAAATCTCCCCTCTAGCCATATTTTTAAAACTTGTTGGACTTAGAGAAGGTTAGTCTCTCTTTTCCATCAAGCCTTTTCTACTCTTCACATGGTTAACAGTTTTCCATTCAGACTTCATTTCTTCCCAAAATTCCTTTCCAGAAAGCATTCCCTGGCCCTCTGCAAGCTAGCTGGGTATCCCTATTGCACACTCCCATGACACCCAGGATTTTTTCTCTATCACTGCACTTACCACTCTATTATTGCTCCACTAGACCGATTTTCTCAACCTGAGTTCCCAGGAGAATTAAGCCCCCATACACTAAAGCATCCATTACATGCAATAAATAACAACTCTACTTGTCTGGGAGCAGTGACTCACACCTGTAATCCCAGCATTTTGGGAGGCTGAGGCAGGCGGATCACGAGGTCAGGAGTTCCTCAACTTGGTTTCTGGCACATCATTCCCTGCTGCTGTTCCTCCTTCCTTGCTGGCCACCACTCCACAGCATCCTTTCCTGGATCCTCTTCTTCTGCATACCCATTAAGTTTTGGTATTCCTCAGGCTCTATCCTCAGAGGTCTTCTTTTATCTCTCTATAAAATGTCCATTTATTCAAGTGCAATTGAGGTCACCCAAATCTCTACCTCTAGCCAAGCTCTGACTTCTGAACTCTAAATCCTAATATCTAAATGCCTTCTAGCTTTGTATACCTATATGTCCCTAGGCATCTCAAACTCAACATGTCGAAACAAGTTTATCATCCTACCCTAACTTCTGCCCTTGCCCCCCTTCCTAAATTCCATCTTGGCAAAGGGTGCCACCATCCCCTCAATTACCAGAGCCTAACATGTAGGAGTCACCCCAGCTTCTTCCTATATCCAGTCACCATGTTCTAGCTTATTAAACAGTCTTAAATTCATCTCCTCCTTGTATTCCACATGGGCACTGTGACTTCATCTCTCACTGGGACTCTCAACCCATAATTTTCTTTTCAGTCTCCCACCAATTTTGCCCCTTTGCTTTAAGTCCTTCACACCTTACCACCACAATGATATTTAATATACAATGTGACTATGTCACCTTCCTCAAAATCATTCAGTGACTCCCCAGTGACTACATACCAACTGAACTCTCTTACACAGACCTTTCACAATGTGACACCACCACCACCACCCCTGCCTCTCCATCTGCCAGCCTGGCCTCATCTCTTGCCACTTTATATCCCTAGCTTGCATTTTAAGCTCAAAAATAAAATAATATCTGTAGTTTTCCAAATCTACCATATTTTCAGAAGTCTCCAATGCCTTTGTACATAATACTGCCTAAATTCATAAGACAGCTATGTATATGCCCTAAATCATTACTAGTTCTATAAGACATAAGAGAAATCTATTGAAATTTTAATAAAAAATGAGAATTTGAACAATAGCAGTAGCAAGCAGCAGTATCACAATACTACTATGAATGATAAACTCTTTGTGGTTTATAAATATTACCAAGTAAATGTCAGTACATTTCCTTAAAATATAATTTCCTTGCCTTTCACTTACAAAAACTGTACTACTACACCATTAACTTAATTCCAAAATCAACAAATTTACTTGTTATCATACCCTGTACTTTAAAGCAATAATTACATGACTGAGGGTGATCTTATAGACAGACCATCTAGAACATTTTCAGGTTCCTTCTGAATTCTACTTTCAGTAGTGGGGATATATTTGTAGTAAGCAATATTGAAGCTTTTGCCATGACCAGTGTCATACTCTTTTCAGATGGCTAGTCAGGAATGCAACACATAATGAATCTAATTAGTCCAGCGTGAGAGTCATTAGCACAGTTTACCAGATACATCCTGTTATATCCCTACTTGCAGACATTTGGTAGGATTGCACTTCCTGGTCCTCTTGTGGTTGGGTAGTGTCAGGTGACTCGTTCTTGCCAATGAGCTATGAGCAGAAGTGACTCCATCACTTCTGGACAGGGGCATTTTAAATGTGGCCCTCCTTGGCTCTGTTTCCTTCTGCCACAGAGAAAGGGAGCACTTCTGATGGTCTATGTTCCATCCATCCTGAGCTTTGGAGTAAAGATAATGCAAAGCAAAGCCCCTAGATGATCTTGATGGGCAGTGAGCATGAGTAAGAAACAAACCACATCATTCCAGAATATAACCTTGCCTATCATACAGTTGCTCAGCAGTGCAGATGACTCAAAGAAACACATACTAAAACACCAACATTTTATGTGAATATTTTGTCTTCTGTCAGTAAATGTGGTACACTCAAGAGCTAGAAAAAGTAAATCTGAATTATCATGTGTTGTGGCTGAACCATGTTCTTGGTCCTCATTTCTAAGACTAATAGTAGTAATACCTGACATCTCTCAAGCACTTAGAATGTGCCATCACTGCCCTAAGTATTTACCTACATTAACTCTTTCGTTACAATGAATGTGGTTTTCACCAAAACATCTCCATGGGGTTAAGGAGAAATAAATTAGTTTTCTAGAAAATAACCCTGAAATATTAATTAGGAGTTTCCAGCATAAATAAGCTACTCTATCCTTAAACAATACACTCCTTATTTCAGACATTTCAACTTGAATTACAAAGATCTGAGGGCATGTTTAAAGCAGGCAAGAACCTGAAGTATTTGATGCAGAGCTGGCAGTAATGAAGAAAAAAGATGACTGTTAAAAATAGGCTGTGTATATAACAATCTTGGGAAAATCTGATCATGTTAGTGGATATACCTTACCTACCATACTACTCTTGATGGAGGCTCCGAAGATCTTGCCCTCCCATCACTGAGTACCTTCCAAGTCTTTTTCAGGCCTGCCATGCAGGCCAAGAAACCAAACAGTTCTAAGAAATTCTAATTCCACTGGAATTGAGAACAATCCAAAATGATAGTGGTTATATAAGAGATTGGATTAAATATAATCTAGTATGATGGGTGCACATTTAAAGAAGAACTTGGAACACAAAACTTTAAAACAATCACTTGAAGGAAAAGTTAGTTGTCAAAGGAAACACTTTACTGTACTAGACCAATTTCATGTGACCATAAGAAGGTTTGAAACAACCATTGAAAATTAGGGATTAAATGTGTACTTTGATTTCTGCATTTGTTTAATTTAGAACAAGAGTAGCCACTCCTATCAACACTTCCTTTATTCTTTCAGACTCAAGTTATTTCTTTCTTTCAGTGCCAATCTCTTCCGAAACACTCACCTATACATCTATTATTCCCTTGCTGAACGCTACTTCCTTAAATCATGTATAGACTTTGCTCTGCTGTAAGTTAAGTGAAATAATCCTGTCTTGAGAGAAATTTAGACTTGCTAACAAAGTACTTGACTGATTTATTCCCACTTTATCCTCTCAGTACCCTGCAGGTGCTGCACAAATACATGTGGGAGAAATAAATGAGTCCCTAGCATTATAGGTTTCCAACAGGTATCAATGTATCAAGCATATTCCTGCCTGTCTTACTATATTTTTAACAGTTTCAATGAGTAAAAGTTTCACTTGAAATCCATCTCTTTTGCTAGTTAGGTTCTGTATCACATTGTTTTGCCGATTGAGTGTAATTTTAATATGCTCTGTCAGCCTCTTTTACTCTTATTTTCTCTGAGCCAATCACTATGGCTGCATCAACTAAAATACCACAGCTGAATTCTGGGCTCCCAAGACTCCTTTGGTACAACCAAAAAAAGTTTCAGAATTCTGGCTCTCAAGGCTGGTCCTCTGCTTTGGTTTTTGCTCCCAGTATGGCTCTAGTCAATTCTCCCAGCTTGAGGATCAAATCCTATCCTTGACTCCTAGCCCAGTGGCTGCTTCTACCACTCTGCTTATAACAAAACAGTCCCACATTTCTGAACTTAGCACCCTGTCCCAAAGCCCCAGTAGGACCCCCTTCCTCCTATATGACAACTGCCTACCTGCCTTTTGAATACCTGTGCATCCAAATACTATGAATTTGGGATCTGCTGCCATTGAGTCAGGAATGGCATCTAGGTCTGTAACCCCTTTGACTCTGCCTTGAACAGCAAGCTGCAACTCTGATGTGACTTTTATTGTTGGGTCATCTCCACTGTCTAGGGCAAGTATTTGTTAAGGTTCTCCCTCATTCTCAACACCTGTCTCCATAATGTCCTATCATACCTCTCCAGTCCTAAGATACAACCACTAGAATTCTAACTAATATTTTCTGAATTGTTTATTTTCTGAGACTAACACTAAGCTTTTAGTTATGTCAACTGATAGTCACCTTGTTTATCCATGATGGCAACTTAAGATATTACCTATTACCTAATGCTGAAGCATATATTTTTATTTTCTAAATGTGTGCTAATTATTATGACACTGACAATATCTGTATACAGATCAAATAACTCTCTCCTTGATATCTCTGGAATAACAAATAACAGTATGATCATGAAGCCAGGAGATGTAAATCTGAATACCACTCTGTTACTCCTTAGTTATATGTGCCCTAAATAAGAGGCTTAAACCGAGCCCCAGTTTTCTCATTCACAAAATTGGGATACAGACAACAGCATACAAAAGAATAGTACAAGACACTAAACACAGTACCTGGTACACGGTAAGCACCAGTAAGTTAGCAGTTGTTATTAGCACCCACAGGGTTTATATATGCATATTTGTAATTTACCGTATTGGGGTATTAAGAGAAGGAAAATAATAGAATAAACTCATTATGGTTAACCAAAAGATGAAAGACAAGTATGGGCTATGGTTATGGGAGGTGAACTTGATGAAAAAAAGGGAAAGAGAATGGAAGAAGCAGGGCAAAGATCAAATAAATGGCAAACAAGAGTTTACTGAGCTGGCAGCAATGTTCGAAGAGTCTCTGTAAAAGGGTGCCATGGTCCCCCTTTCAGTTTCCCTTGAGGGCAGGATCCTCAGAAGAGTTAGGAGCCCACTACTTCTTCCAATGTCTGGGAGAGTTAGTAGAGGGGCTGCTGTACTCAGCCAATAGTATACCAGGAAGAGAAAGCTTTGATCCATACATGCCTCCCTGAAACCTAAAATTTTCACAATCCTCTCTTGCCAAATCATTCTCATCTTGAAATAAAACAAATCCTCTCTCTTTCTCTATTCCCATCCTTTAAACCTTAGCTCTAATGTAACCTCTATGAAGTCTTCCCCAATTCTTTCAAATAGAGTTTGTTTCTCCCATAACAGTGTGGTATTTCTGTTTCCATCCTGCAAACCGTACCATAATTGTTTCCATTCTCTTCCCAACCAGCCTATGAACTCCTTAAGCGCAAAGCCTGTGACCTATTCTAGTTTGTATCTCTAGAATCTAACACAGGGCAGGATGAATGGTAGATGAGAAGCCACTGGGTACCTTGAACTGCTCCAGGCAGAACTGTCAGGATCAATGCTTCCTAACCATTTGGGGACATGATCTCCACTTTGAAAATCTGAGGAAAAGGATATTAAGCTGTAAGTCAAGAGATCTGGATTCTATCCCTGGTTCTGCCAAAAACTCTCAGTCCTCAAACCAGTCACTCTCACAGTACCTTAATATTCCAATTGACAAAGGAAGAAACTATCATTTGCCCCTCAACTATCTTTCATTAGATGTCTGTAATAAAAAGTATAAGGAGACAGTAAAAATGTGGAAGAATCTGAACTTCGAAGAGTTATATAAGAGTAAATTATTTTTCATTATTGCCTCACAGCTTGATACTCATACAGCTATCTATTTTGCCAAAAATCATGCTGTGAAATAAATTGACTATTTACTACTACAACGAAAAGAACTGTTGTTTTTCTAAAACCCCAAAAGCCCTGTAGTTTACATACCCAAGAGGAGTGAGCACGACAAGCAGAAAGAAGCAAAGATGAATAATCCAATTAATCCACATTGGCTCACGCTAGTGACTACAGATTCCTTTGATAACAATATGCTTTTGTACTAACAAACCTGTAAGACAATTGGCCAGTATGTTTGGAGATGTTTATATTCTAGACGTCAGGGATTCTTGATGACAGTCCGAATATTCTCTTCTCCCTACTTTGACCCTGTCACCAACAACTATCACAGGTGGGCTAAGGACAACAGAACTCCCCCACTTCAGAATAAGAAGCTGTGAAATATTCTAACTAATGAGGCCTGAGAGATGTACCTAATGGGGCTGACGTTAACACAAAAAGCAATTGTCAGGCAGCCACTGTGAAGACTCTCGGGAGCTCCACAGAAACAAAATAATAAGGAACCCGGGGCTACCCTCTACATTTCAAATCTTCTGAAAGCTTCAGAGGCAGCCAGCAGCCCCTCTGTAGGAGCTAGTTAAACAGATAACAGTTTGTAGAAGTAGGTAGCACTAAGCTAATTTTATGACCTAGAAATTCATAAAATTAGGCCTCTAGGGAGAAACACAACTTTGTTGTATTCAGTTTTAAAAGAGGTACTGATTTTTGTCCAAGAAAAAAGGCACCAAGGCAGAAACAAGAATGCTCAAGTCCCAAACCTTTCCTCCAGACCTCAACAACAGCAAACACTTTAACCCTCAACCTACCCCCAAGCTTTGGTTAACAATCTACCCCATCGTCTTAGACTTCCTGCCTGAAGCAAGAGCACTTCTAACAGCACAGGAAAGGCTGTGCTGACTGTCTTATCAATAAAGGGGGTGAGAAACAAGGAAAACAATGCAACAGACTTACTTATTCATATGTTTGCTTATTTTGGCCATCTCTTGCCTGGGTCCAAGGGCAGAAAGGATGCCAGGTTACTTGGCCTTGCTCTTTTAAGCAATCTCATCCACTTCTGTAGAGCTCCACTGGTGCTCTACTGTATGCTTTCCATGCCTACTGTACAACCAGTCAGCACCTATACCTGCTCTGGTCTGCTCTACACCCACCCAACTTGCTAACCATTCTTCTGTTTCTCCCTATTCTACCACTCTCATGTCTTAGGGTAAAAGATGCCACCATCTTTCTGTTCTTTCTTTGGCTCTTCTTCATTACAATGCTGCCTCTTTACTCCCTCAAATGACCTCTAGGAATGTTTCCTTTGGTTTGACCTGGCCCTAATACACTTCTCTTATCTTCTTGGACCTGGTCAACACTATGCTAGATTCAAGAAAACAAAGTGACCTAAATCAACCTATATACCTAAAACATGAAGCCAGCCTTTAGCTATGCTTTCAAGGAATCCAGGGAAGACACTGTATCAACAATTGGCAGCAACTGGGGATGAAGCTGGGAGGTGGATCTGAACTAGGAAAGTTCACTGTAATTCAAAAAGAAAAAAGAGGATTCCCAGACAAAATGGTCAAATAGGAACAGCTTCTGCCTGCAGCTCCCAGTGAGACCAACGCAGAAGGCTGGTGATTTCTGCATTTCCAACTGAGGTACCTGGTTCATCTCACTGGGACTGGTTAGCCAGTGGGTGCAGCCCACGGAGGGCAAGCCAAAGCAGGGTGGGGCGTTACCTCACCCAGGAAGTGCAAGGAGTCAGGGAACTCCCACCCCTAGCCAAGGGAAGCCATGAGGGACTGTGCTGTGAGGAACATTGCACTCTGGCCCAGATATTATGCTTTTCCCACAGTCTTCACAACCCTCAGACCAGGAGATTCCCTCGGGTGCCTATACCACAAGGGCCCTGGGTTTCAAGTACAAAACTGGGCAGACGTTTGGGCAGACACCGAGCTAGCTGCAGGAGTTTTTTTTCGTACCCCAGTGACTCCTGGTATACCAGTGAGAGAGAACTGTTCACCCCGCTGGAAAAGGGGTTGAAGCCAGAGAGCCAAGTGGTCTAGCTCAGCGGATCCCACCCTCATGGAGCCCAGCAAGCTAAGATCCACTGGTTTGAAATTCTTGCTGCCAGCATAGCAGTCTGAAGTCGACCTGGGACACTTGAGCTTGGTGGGGAGGGGCGTCTGCCATTACGGAGGCTTAAGTAGGCGGTTTTCCCCTCACAGTGTAAACAAAGCCACCAGGAAGTTCAAGCTGGGCGGAGCCCACCACAGCACCGCAAAGCCCCTGTAGCCAGACTACCTCTCTAGAGTCCTTCTCTCTGGATAGGGCATCTCTGAAAGAAAGGCAGCAGCCCCAGTCAGGGGCTTATAGGTAAAACTCCCATCTCCCTGGGACAGAGCACCTGGGGGAAGGGGCGGATGTGGGTGCAGCTTCAGCAGACTTAAACATTCCTGCCTGCCAGCTCTGAAGAGAGCAGCAGATCTCCCAGCACAGCGCTCTAGCTCTGCTAAGGGACAGATTGCCTCCTCAGATTGCCTCCTCAAGTGGGTCCCTGACCCCTGTGCCTCCTGACAGGGAGACGCCTCCCAGCAGGGGTCAACAGACACCTCATACAGGAGAGCTCCAGCTGGCATCTGGCGGGTGCCTCTCTGGGATGAAGCTTCCAGAGGAAGGAGGAGGCAGCAATCTTTGCTGTTCTGCAGCCTCCACTG
Organism: Homo sapiens; assembly: GCF_000001405.40. NCBI lineage: Eukaryota > Metazoa > Chordata > Mammalia > Primates > Hominidae > Homo > Homo sapiens. The sequence goes on along the minus strand of NC_000002.12, from coordinate 232,036,843 downwards.
ATGATACCCAAGCAAACAGGGTCTGGAGTGGACCTCCAGCAAACTCCAGCAGACCTGCAGAAGAGGGGCCTGACTGTTAGAAGAAGAACTAACAAACAGAAAGCAATAGCATCAACATCAACAAAAAGGACCACCACACAAAAACTCCATCCAAAGGTCACCAACAGGAAAGACCAAGGGTAAATAAATCCACAAAGATGAGGAAAAACCAGTACAAAAAGGCTGAAAATTCCAAAAACCAGAATGCCTCTTCTCTCCAAAGGATCACGACTCCTTGCCAGCAAGAGAACAAAACTGGACGGAGAATGAGTTTGACGAACTGGCAGAAGTAGGCTTCAGAAAGTGGGTAATAACAAACTCCTCCGAGCTAAAGGAGCATGTTCTAACTCAATGCAAGAAAGCTAAGAACATTGATAAAAGGTTAGAGGAATTGCTCACTAGAATAACCAGTTTAGAGAAGAACATAAATGACTAGATAGAGCTAAAAAACACAGCATGAGAACTTCGTGAAGCATATACAAGTATCAGTAGATGAATTGATCGAGTAGAAGAAAGGATATCAGGGACTGAAGATCAACTTAATAAAATAAAGCATGAAGACAAGATTAGAGAAAAAAGAATGAAAAGGAACTAACAAAGCCTCCAAGAAATATGGGACTATGTGAAAAGACCAAACCTACGTTTGATTGATGTACCTGAAAGTGACAGGGAGAATGGAACCAAGTTGGAAAACACACTTCAGGATATTATCCAGAACTTCCCCAACCTAGCAAGACAGGCCAACATTCAAATTCAGGAAATACAGAGAACATCATAAAGATACTCCTCGAGAAAGGCAACCCCAAGACACATATTGTCAGAAATGAAGGAAAAGTTGAAATTAAGGAAAAAGGTTGAAATCTAGGAAAAAATGTTAAGGGCAGCCAGAGAGAAAGGTTGGGTTACCCACAAAGGGAAGCCCATCAGACTAACAGTGGATCTCTCTGCAGAAACCCTACAAGCCAGAAGAGAGTGAGGGCCAATATTCAACATTCTTAAAGAAAAGAATTTTCAACCCAGAATTCATATCCAGCCAAACAAAGCTTCATAAGTGAAGGAGAAATAAAATCCTTTACAGACATGCAAATCCTGAGGGATTCTGTCAGCACCAGGCTTGCCTTACAAGAGCTCCTGAAGGAAGCACTAAATATGGAAAGGAAAAACTGGTACCAGCCACTGCAAAAAAACAAACCAAAATGTAAAGATCATTGACACTATGAAGAAACTGCATCAACTAATGGGCAAAATAACCAGCTAGCATCGTAATGACAGGATCAAATTCACACAAAACAATATTAAACTTAAATGTAAATGGGCTAAATCCCCCAATTAAAAGGCACAGGCTGGCAAATTGGATAAAGAGTCAAGACCCATCAGTGTACTGTATTTAGGAGAGCCATCTCACGTGCAGAGACACACATAGGCTCAATATAAAGGGATGGAGGAATATTTACCAAGCAAATGGAAAGCAAAAAAAAGCAGGGGATGCAATCCTAGTCTCTGATAAAACAGACTTTAAACCAACAAAGATCAAAAAAGACAAAGAAGGGCATTACATAATGGCAAAAGGATCAATGCAAAAAGAAGAGCTAAATATCCTAAATATACATGCACCCAATACAGGAGCACCCAGATTCATAAAGCAAGCTCTTAGAGACCTATAAAGAGACTTAGACTCCCACACAATAATAGTGGGAGACTTTAACACCCCACTGTCAATAATAGACAAGAC